>NC_000016.10:25759213-26062243 GCF_000001405.40 Homo sapiens
AATTACAATAGCTTGCAGTTAGAAACAACTTACTCTGCCCTGGGCACTGTGTTAAGGGCTGTGTATCAACAATCTAGCTTAATCTTCCCAATAGTCCTTCCATCCTTCCATGTTGTCACATAGTAGCTTCTGTTCATCTTCCAGGCACAGTGCTAGGTGCTGGGATGCTAAGATGAGCAAAAGAAAACAGCGTTTCTGCCTTGAGTAGCTTGCAGTCTAGTGGTGCAAACTTGAAATGAAATGACCACACATACCATGTCGACAGGTGCCAGGAAAGGCGAGGGCCACAGAGATAGCAGAGATTATAATGGTGGAGTGGGGGTTGACCCCATCAGGAGGTCCGAGTTGTGACTGTTAGCTGAGAGCCGAAGGATGGAGTTCCGTGTTAGAAGAGAGGAGGGAGAGGCTTCCTTAGAAAAGGAAACAGCCAGCGAGGCTCAGTGGCCCATGCCTGTCATTCCAGCACTTTGGAGGCTGAGGTGGGGAGGATCGCTTGAGGCCAGGAGTTTGAGACCAGACTATGCAACATAGTGAGACGCCATCTCTATGAAAAAAATTTAAAAAATTAACCAGACATGATGGTGGGCTCCTGTAGTCCCAGCTACTCGGGAGGCTGCAGTGAGCTATGATGACACCACTACACTCCAGCCTGGGTGACAAAGCAAGACCCTGTCTTAAAAATAATAAAGAGAAAAAAAAAGGAAATAGCCACAGAACAAGAGAATGGTGAGTATGAAGGAGTAAAACCCTGTGAAATAGGAAGTAGTGTTTCCCTGGCTTATAAACAGGAAAACTGAGGCTAACAGAGATGAAGGTGAAGGTCAATGGCATCTCCGGGACTTGAACTTCAATCTGGGAGACTTTGTGCGTCTATGAGGGCTGCCATAGCCCTAACCCTAACCCTAACCCTAACCCTAACTCTAACCCTAACCCTAACCCTAACACTTTGTTTAGGGCTCAACAACACTGTTAAAGCCACTGGGTGCCTTAAAAAACAGAAATTAATTTTCTCACAGTTCCAGAGGATGGAAGCTCAAGATCAAAGTCTCAGAGAGGTTGGTTTCTTTGGAGGCCTCTTTCCTTGGCTTGCAGATGATGCCTTCTCACAGTGTCCTCACCTGGTCATCCATTGGTCTGTATTTTCTGTCTAATCCCTTTTGTTATAAGAACACCTGTCTGTTGGATTAGGACCCACCCTAATGACTCCATGTTTTTTTTTTTTTTTGATGGAATTTCACTCTGTCACCTTGGCTGGAGTGCAGTGGAGCAATCTGGGCTCACTGCAACCTCCACCTCCCTGATTCAAGCAGTTTTCCCACCTCAGTCTCCCAAGTAGCTAGGATTACAGGCACCTGCCACCACACCTAGCTAATTTTTGTATTTTTAGTAGAGATGGGGTTTCATCATGTTGGCTAGGCTGGTGTCGAACTCCTGACCTCAAATGATCCACCCACCTTGGCCTCCCAAAGTGCTAGGATTACAGGTGTGAACCACAGCACCGGGCTCTAATTACCCCATTTTAACCTTAATTACTTCTTCAAAGGTACTGTCTCTAAATATAGTCACATTCTGAGGTACTGGGGGTTAGGACTTCAACATACAATGTTTATTTTGTGGGGAGATATAATTCAGCCCATAACAGTGACCTCTAGAAGAGACTTGGGATATTCTAAGGAAGTGGAGCAGGGCTGAAGGAAGTTAATGCTGAGGCAGAACCCAGGTAGAACAACTGCATAAGCCCCTGATAAAGGACTCAGGGCCAGGGTGTGTAGCAAATAGCAAAAGGCAAGCCAGATGGCAGAGAGAGTGATTGCAGCTTGCCAGGGTGAATGCATGCATGGAGACCGACCTCCCCATCAGACCCCAGAGCCAAAAGGAGTCAGGTTGGAATCAGGAGCAAGCTGGGTGAGGCTCAGGTCTTGGGGACACCAGGGCCTGGTCAGGACCCACCTGGTGGATCTGCTTCAGTCGTATCTTGCCTATAATTTCCAGTGAAGTCCATCACCATGCATCATTACACAGCTGCCATCCAATTCACGGGGCTCTGGACCTGCCCTGCTCAATAGGACATTCTGTGAGATGGAAATGTTCTCTGTGCTGTCCAAAAGGGTGGCCACTGGTCCCAGGTGGATGCTGAGTCCTTGAAATGTGTTTAGTGTGACTGAGAGTTGACTTTTACTTTTACTGAAGAGTTAATAAATTTACATTATTTAAAAGGTCACAGGTACCTAGCAGCTACCATCTTGGAGAGCATAGTCCTGGACAGTCAACCTCAGCCTAAACTGATTGGCAGGTCAGCCAGGAGAGGTTTGGCATCTCCATCAGCCAGGCACGGAGTTGACTTTGTTGGATGGAGAAAGTCATCCACATCAGCCTAACATGAAGATTGAGCTGAGAAATGGATGGGAACCAGATCTTGAGAGTCAGTTCTCCAATTTCCCCTTCTAAACAAAAGGCAGAGCATGTGCACACTCATTCATCCAACAGAGATCTCCTGAGTGCCTCATCTATGTCTCTGCTCTGACACCTCTATTGTGCCCCACGGGCATAATAATCATGATCTGATTATAACATTAACAGAGGGGTTGCCACGTGCCAGCTACACACTCTTTCTATATGTACTAATGTAATCCTCATGGCGATCCTCTGAGGTAGATATTACCTTTCTCGTTTTACAACAGGGGAAAGTGGGTTTTGGAGAGGTTGAGTGACTTTCTCAGTGATATGGAATGAATGTATGTGTTCCCCCGAAATTCATAGTTTGAAGCCCTCACCCCACTCAGAGCAAAGATGATGGGAGATGTAGTCTTGGGGAGTCACTTAGGTTTAGATGAACTCATAAGAGTGGAGTCCCCATGATAGGATTAGTGTCCCTCTGAGAAGAGGAGGATCCATGAAGCCATAAGAGGATGTAACCGAGAAAGGGGGCCCTCATTGAGGAACTGACTGTGCTGGCACCCTGATCTTCTAGCCTCCAGACCATGAGAAATAAATGTTGGTTGTTTAAGCCAACAGAGTCTATGGTATTCCGTTACAGCAGCACAGCTGACTGAGACACCCAGGTACTTGGGAGAGGCAGGATTTGAACGTGGGTCAGTCAGATTCCAGAGCCCATACTCATCTTCAAAGTACTTTTTTGGAATTTCTCGCTGGAGAAGGGGTGTGGGTGATGGGCATGGGCTGGGCAGTTCCTTGAAGAGCAAAGAACCAGAACATCTTGTTGACTTCTGGAGATGCTGTTACTTGCTAGACCAGCCGACAGAAGGAGGGTGCTGAGGCAAGGCTTTCAGAGGCATTGGCAAGGGATTTAACTCCAGCAAAAGCCAGGGGGAAGCTGACTGAAAATGCCAAACGTGGCCAGGCATGGTGGCTCACACCTGCAACCCCAGCACACCTGCAGTCCCAGCACTTGGGAGGCTGAGGTGGGAGGATTGCTTGAGCTCAGGAGGTTGAGATCAGCCTGGGCAACATGGAGAAACCCTGTCCCTACTAAAACAAACAAACAAACAAACAAACAAAAAAACCACCCGACGTGTACCTCTAGTCCCAGCTACTTGGGATGCTGAGATGGGAGGATCCTTTGAACTCAGGAGGTTGAGGCCGCAGTGAGCTGTGTTTGTGCCACTACACTCCAGCCTGGGTGACAGAGCAAGACCCTGTCTCAAAAAAAAAAAAAAAAAAAAAAAGAAAAAAGAAAGAAAATGCTCAACCAGAAGGGCCAGGTGCCCAGGCCCAGGCACAGACCCAAATCTGCTCAGCTACTAGCTTCTGAAATGCATGTTAGAGACAAGAGACAGACACCAAGGTACCCAGGAGCCAGGAAGCCAAAGAGCTGGTCTCGTCTACCTGATTTTGATTATTTCCCACACCCTTATCCCCTCTGGCAGCTGCACTATTTCCATCTTAGAGCAGCAATCCACTCAGGTAGCAGGCTGCCTGCTAAGAAGGCTGCCACTACCCCAGGTAAGGTCATGTGAGGTCTAAGAGTTATGGCAGGAAAACTTCAGGTTTATAGGAGAAACTTGCCTTTGGGGAAGCTGTGGCAACTTTTGATTTCAATGGCTGTTTTGTTTTCTCCTCAGCTGCATCTCCAGGATGGAAAACAGCCCAGGCAGAAGGAAATGCCACCTGATGGCTGTCTCCCAAGTCTCCCCCTAGCAGACTTCTACCAGATTATGAGAATGGGGTTTGCAAAAGTAAACACAAGCAGGGCTCTTGGGGAGTGCAGGTTAGACGTTTTCCTGCCACGTCTAGGCAAACCCTTGAGTGTCAAATTATTCTTGCATTTACCAACGATCACCAGGCACTGTGATGGGTGCTGGGATGTAATTGTGTGCAGTAATAGACACTGTCTAAGTTAAATATCTGAAGGAAGAAGAAGGGTTAGCCATGTGAAGTGTGGCTAGGGGAGAGACATGGAATATTGCAGGCAGAGGGAAGGAATATGTGCGGGGCTCTGGAGCATGCATTCAGCTGGAAAGAAATTCATTGTGGACCCCAAAAGCAAGAGGGGCAAGAGGTGTGGCTAAAGACAATGAAGGCTTCAGATGCCACCACATATAAACAGATTGTATTCTATGTTGAGGGCAGTGGTGAGCTGTGGAAGATTTTAAGGCAAGCAAGAGACTTGTTTAGATTTGAATATTTAGAAAAATTTCTCTAGCTGTGGGGTTGGAGAATGGGTTAGATGGGGACAGGAAAGGTTGCCTGGAGATCAGTTAAAAACTGTTGTAGGTTGTGGCCTGCACTGAATTAGGGAGACAGAAGCAAGAATGGGGAGAAGTGGATGAATTCAAAAAATGGAGGGGTAGGTTCTAACGGAGCTGATGAAGGAGAATGCGGCATACCAGCTGATTCCTGGCTTAGGCAACTGGGTGGAAGGTGGTCCCAGGCAGTGATGCAGGGAGCACAGAAGGAGGAGCAGGTGTGTGCGGGAAGATGATGGATTCTCCTTGGGACATATTGGGACATTGCAGGGAGGTGCTCACAGGCAGTCAGATGCAGAGGTCTGGAACTCAGCAGTTGATCTGGACTGGGGATGACTTGCAGAGCTGCAGGAGAAAGAGAGGGTGAGAAAGGGCATATTTGCACCTACTCTAGGGCAGACACATTTATCAATGTCTTTTAATTTAGCATTCACAGTACAATACCATTTTACAGATGGGGAAGCAGAGGCACAAAAAGGCTAGGGATCACATACAGCCAGGACATATCCAAGCTTAGATTTGAACCTCACCCTGTGTGTGTGTGTACATGTGTGTGTGCCTGCAACAGTGTGCACCCGCATGTGTATGTGCGTGTTTTTTCCCCAAAAGGCAATGCTATCATCACTTTTTCCTGTGCCAGCCACTGTTTGAAAATATCATAGTTGCTTTTGCCAGCTTGGCACATCTCACTGGCTTAATTCTACAGGACATCTAGCTTTGACTGCCCCTAGAATAGGGATGGCACATTGATACCAGAGCTTGGGATCCAAATCAGTGCTAGCTTGATGGATAGGAAAATGAAGGGAGAATAATGTAACCATGAGTGGTGAATGCTAGATTTAGAAGGTTCTTTTTTGCACCCTGCCATATGGGCCACTTGCATGGCCATGAACATAGATCTTGGTGAAATCCTTTTCTAGTGAAGATCAGAAAATAATTCAGCTCAGTGCTGTGTGTGCATGAACTTGCTGTGGTATTATTTGCAGTAAGAGTAACCGGCAAGAGGCTACCTTCTGATCCTGCTAGCCATTTCCTTTACCTGGAAAAAAAGCTTAGACATAAAAGAAGAGAAATGGCTTAAGAAGAAATGGAGGTGAGCAGAAGAAATAAATAGCCCAGGCTGGTAGCACAGCCATGTTTTTGAGCTCTCTTGACCATTGGAGCATGGCGGAGGGAGAGTCTGTGTGAAGCATTTCAAGAAATAGCAGAGAGCAAGACCACAGCCACTGGGCTTCCAGAGGCCGCAGCCTTATTTAAAGTTATGTTTTGATCCTTAGAAGCAGACTCTTTTTTTTGAATGTGAAAAGGAAACGAATTCTGGCATGAAATTCTGTTCCACTGAATTTATTCTCAAAGGTACTCCTGTTCAGTGGGCCAAGGTGTTATGAAAATGCGGAGACGCCGCTGGGAAGCCAATTCTAAGGGATTCAGATTGTCAAGACCCAATCGCCAGGAGCCGCTTGCCGCTTCTGCTGAATCCCCGAATGCTCCTGAATCAAGGGCCAATTCAGAATGGGTTTAGAGCTGGGATTAGGGTACATGGACCTGGATTCTAAATCAGATCCAAAGGCAGGAGGGGCTACCATTGCATTGGTCAGAGAGATTCAGTGGAGGCTGATTGCATCCTTCTGTGAGTAGGACTCAGGACTGGGGCACATCCTCAGCTAAGGGCTGTGACAATCTCGGAGCCTCTTTTATGCCCTGCCTGGGCTCCTGGCTTCAGAGCATTTCTTGGTTAATTTGCCGCTACCAGTCCCAGGGGAGCACCCTCATCTGCTTAACTTAGTCGCATCACCTGCTAATGGGCAGAGCCCCCTACAACAAACCTCATGTAATTGTTGGCCAACCTGTAGACCTATTTTCTTTGAGTCAGGTGCCCCATGTAGTCCAAGCAGTGGGCCAAGTCAGACAAAACGTGTCACTTTGCTGAGGGGGCTGTGCTGGGAGGGGGTTTGGATGTGGTTGGACCGTGGCTGACTTGCCAGCGTCTCTAGTCAAGGGAGAGGGCTTGGCTCAAGGCTGAGTTGGTGTGTTAGCTGACCACTGTGGTTAGGGAGCGGTCCCAGAAGAGCACAGTGCATTGATTAGCAAGTCGGAAATCCCAGAATGATACAAACACCTCTTAGGCTCATCTGTTCTACTCTGTCAGAGATGTGAGGACATCTCTGGACTTGTGTCAAAGAGCACGGCTCAGAAATAGGCACCATCATCTAGTAGCTGTGTGGTCTTAGGGAGCTTGGTTAATCAGACAGAGCCTCAGTGTCTTATGCTGTGAACTGGGCTATCAACAAGGCCCACCTCCCAGGGTAGTGAGGATGAAGTGAGATGAAGGCGTCTCCCCAATCTCCTGGCACCCAGGAGGCATGGAATAAAGTTAGCCTCCTTCCAGTGAAATACAAGTGGCCAATCAGTACAGAAGGAATTGTAGAAGGAGTATTTCTACCCAGGGACAAATGAGGAATATAACTAGCAGAGATTTTAGTTATTGGAGTCAAAAGAGCTTGGTAGACTATGGCCAAACTTTCTAGGTCAGTACCCAGAGAGAAGCGAATATAGATGGTGTTAGGTGGTGACAGTTCTGTCTGTTTTTCCTGTCCACTCACTCACTGTTTGACTTTATTTAATCTATTTGTTTATATATTATCAATTATTTCATCTATTAGTCATCTGTGTGCACACACATCATTTTAAAACCAAGAAATATTTATTGAATGTCTGTTATATGTCAGACACTGTAATAAACATTGGTGATACAATGATGAAAAACACCCAAATACCCTGACTTCATAAAGCTTACATTTTTTGGATGGGGGTGCAAGCAGGCGATACAAGCAAAATCACTGCAGATGCCTGTAATGACAGTGTAATGAGCAACCACAGGCCTTGCCTCAGTTTACCCTCAAGACATCTCTGTGAAGTAAGAGGGTCCTGTCATCTCCATTTTAAAGATAAGAAAAGTGAAACTGAAAAAATGCATTGATTTTACCAGATACACGCACCTAGTCTGGGCAAGAGCCTCCCACTTCCAAATCCTGCATTCTTTTGACTTCCCCATAATCTAACTTCTGGGAGGAAGGAAGAAATGCAAACTGACAAAAAAAAAGGAAGGTTTTCAAAATATGACTTTATAAATGTACCTTAAGAAGTTCCATGAATTGCAAAGGGAAAAAATAGCTCACTCAGTTACTTTTATTTTTATTTCTGCCTTTAAATTCCCATAGCACACTTCCTCTGAGTGGTTGGGGGAACTTTAGCTTCTTGTTTTGCCAGGCAAATGTTTATTTATACGGATAAGGCAATGCCATAGTCATCTGCATGGTCGTACTAAAGAAAGTCTCCCCTCACTCTGGGGTTTTATCATCCAGTGTTCTTGAGGAGTTTCCTCCTTTCTTCTTGGATTAGCCCAGGGACTACAGTGCAAATACCCAGTGCAAACAGATGTGTCAAATTAGTGAAGGGGGCCAGGTGGGAATATTGTGAACCCTAAGCGAATATGTCTCCTCGGGGGGTGGCTGAGTGTCAACTCCATCCAGTTTCCATGGGAGGTGGGGGGTGACAGTCCTCAGTATTGTCAAAACTTCTCATTTTGAAAGAGAAACGTAAGTCAAATATTTTTGTGTAATACTTTCATTTTAAGTTTTAGCTCAGATTCAACAAAACAGAACAAAACTCACAGTGTGGGCCAAGCCAAACACAGGTACAGGCCATTTTGGACCAGAGGCTGAGAGTTTTTGGTCTCTGGATTATGGCAGTTTCTGGTTATGGGATACTGATAACTTCTGAGCACCCACTCTGTGCTCGAGTACTCAGCCATGTCTGGCACATGGCAAACGCTCAAGAGATATTTCTGAATGGGAAGGGAAACTCAAAAAGGCAAAGTCCCATACTCAGGGTTGCACAGCTAGTGAGTGCCAAAGCTGCCACTCAGCTGCATATGAAAGTGTTCTCTTTGGTTTCTTAATGGTGCCCCAGTCAATTAGTTCATTCCTAATATGCTGTGTCCCTGGCACTGTGCCACCCCTAAGGGTGGGTACATGAACGAGTAGAGTCACATCTTTTCTTCTTGGAACTCATGGTGGAGATGAGAAATTTGAAACTTAAAGCTTGAGCTTCCCATTTTACAGGGGGTGGCAGGGGAGTGCGGGGGAGCAGAAGCCCAGCAGAGAGAGTGACTGGTCCTGTGAACATCACATGTCTGGGGCGGAGCAAGATGCAGAGTTGGGTCATCAGTTTTGGAGGCCACTGCTCCTTCTGATGCCCAACATTTGTGCCACTTCTGTCTTTTCTCCCCAATGCATGTCTAAATCAATATGTACGTACACACACATTCATCAGTGCATACCCTTCCAGACTCATTTATTTGCTTATTTTAAAAAATTGACATAACTTTGCTGAATAGGGAGTGTGTCTCTTGGGGAAATCAGACTGATTCACAGGCCCTAGTAGGGCATCTGCATTAGATCCCTCTCTTCTCTACCCCCTTCCTTTCCCTCTCTCTGTTTGTTTTGCTTGGTGAACAGACACACAGATGAGCTTCTGGATGATGGGAATTCAGGGCAGGGGATCTCACCAGGTGTGAGCCGACCAGGAGCTGAGAAGCCAGAACTTGGCTTAGGGATGTAGATTGGACATTTTGCAGACCGCATGTGGAGTGGAACAGGGCCTGCCGGTCTTGTGAGTGAGCTTCCTAGGGTAACTTTGGGTCTAAAGCTGTATGGCCTGAATGACCTTCCTGCATTTTGTATTGTAAAAGTTGCTCTGGGAGAGTCACTGAGGTCCTCCCTGTCTCAGTGGAGAGGAGAGATGGTTATATATCAGAAATCAGATTTGATTTGTTTGGCCCTGATGTTTTAAGACAATTTTGAATCAGTGGCTAATATTTTAAAATTGGGAGATGTCATATTAAAAATCTGGATTTCTGGCTTCTTTAAAAGATGGAACAGCATTGGATCCCACTCAGCTGCATTGCACTGGCTCTGGTTGGTAGCAGTCCGTTTAAGCAGTTAGGAGCTCTCTAGTTTGCCATAGTCCCCACCATTCCCTGTTGTTGACCTTTGGTCCACTCCACTCACTGATGTGGTCTTTCTGGCATCATAAAGGCATTTGAGTTTGTGATCCTGGGTTCAAAACTGTGTTGGGTCAGAACATGAAACCCAGGGCACACATACGAATCTGGAGTCAGTGTGGATTGGCAGCAAGAATCAGAGTTCTGTCCTTCGCCAAGCAGGAGACAGCTTGCAAGAGCAAAGTCAGGCCTGCTGGAATTGTGCTACCTCAAGATTTGTTGGGGGTGGAAGGTGAAGGTCTCTCTGTGTGTGTAGGGGTGGGGAGGGTGTGTGGGTGGCTCAGTGTGTGTCTGTGTGTGTGTGCCCACCATGTCATGGAGGTTTGATCTTTCTCACCTCTTCATCCCTCTCTCTTTCCCACTACACAGTTATCTCTGCAGTCTTCAGCACTGACTCTCAGGTTTGGTAAAGTAGTCCGTAGCTAACAGGGCAGGGAGGACTAGGGGTCTTCAGTCTCACTGCAGGGCCCTTTGAGTGGCTGTCCATCTAGGCATTTTACCTGTTGTTTGCCTGTCACAATAGTTTTCCATTTGTGATGCTCTGAAATCTTAGCCGTCTCCTTGAGAGATGTGTGCTCAGCAGGTGGTACCAGGCAGGGCTTTATCCCTCTGTTCCGGCACCAGCACCCTTCCTACGGAAAGGATTTGAAAAGGAAGCCTTGACTTTCTATTGATTTTTTAATAAGCACATATTTAGCTGTTAGTACTTGAAGTACAGGCTGTATTATATTCATCCAGCTAGCAAACAGTGTTTTAATTGATTCCGCTCCTAGATAATGAACGCAGGGTGTCTGCAGGTAATTCTGCAGCAGCCTCCCTTTGTGTAGATGCCAGAGATGAACCTGATATTTACAAGGTTGTAGCCAACACAGGGGCAATGGGGAGACAACAAGAAGCAAAGGCAGGAGGAGAACCCTCCCTCCTCTCTCCATCCTTCCTCCTTAGATGTCTCTCCAGCCCCTTCTCCTCCTTTCTAGTTCTGTCACCATATTTTTGGGGGTCACTGAAAGGATTTTTTTTACCCCACTTCTAAGTGCAAAATGCAGACTAGGATGTATTGTTTGGTTGTTAATCTTGTGGGATTTCCAGTAAAGATCGTGGGACCGAGTGCTTAAAATTGCAACAGAACTTAAAAGTTTCAGAATTCATAGTTGCCTCCCACTCGGTGAATATATTTCTCTGCTTTTTCTAGGGATGCCTAGAATTTAAAATGCTTTCAACAAGAGATGAATAAAAGTTCCTGCTCCTCCACTATGACTTCCTAAAGAGTGAGAAAGAAAACATATTCTCCTTTCCTTCAAGTAATCATGGCCTTGGAGATGATAAGTAAAATAGCTAGCAGTTACCCACTGCTCCCTTTATGCTGGATGCTGGGCTCAGTGCCTTACATGATCATCTCATTTCATTTTCACAACCACCTTAGGAATTTGGTTCTATTATCACCTCTAGCTTATAGATCGAAAGACTAACACACAAGAGGGCAGGCAACCTCTCTCAGGCCACACATTGAGGAAGGGATGGTGCCTGAACTTGAGCTCAGCTCACTCTTTTAAGCCTAACACGCTCTACAATGGCTGAGGGGTGCAGTTGGGACATTTTGCAGACCAGGTGTGTGGAGTGGAACAGGGCCTGCCAGTCCTGTGAGTGAGCTACCTGGGGTAACTTTGCATCTGGAGCTGTACGGCCTGAATGGCTGCCCTGCTTTTTGTACATATATTGATGCATTTCGTTTGGGCTGCTTGCTTCCTGATACATTTCTCTCAACCAGTTAAAGCTTCGATGGAAGCTGAATGTTGCAACTGATGAAAAGCAATTAGTTTGGATGACATTTCTGATTGGCTTCCATATCATACTATTAATCATAACGGTGAATGTCTATTCAGTGCTTATGACGTGTTGGGAACTGCGCTAAGTGTTTTATACACATTGTCACTTTGGGTCCTCAGGATGATCCTGGGACGTGGCTACAGAAGTCACTTATTATGGTCCAACAGCCAGGATTTTTTTTTTTAAGTTCTGAGATACATGTGCAGAACATGCAGGTTTGTTACGTAGGTATACACGTGCCATGGTGGTTTGCTGCACCTATCAACCTGTCATCCAGGTTTTAAGCCCACATGCATTAGCTATTTGTCCTAATGCTCTCCCTTCCCTTGCCCCCCACACCCCAACAGGCTCCAGTATGTGATGTTCCCCTCCCTGTGTCCATGTGTTCTCATTGTTCAACTCCTACTTATGAGTGAGAACATGTGGTGTTCAGTTTTTCTGTTCCTGTGTGAGTTTCAACAGCCAGGATTTGAACCAGGACTTGGTAGAGTAGGGCCAAACCTCTGGAGCCTGTTCTTAGAAACTACCATCTGGCCACCATGTTGCAAGTTCATTTTCTGCTGTTCCCCATCCAGTGCTCTGTCTGCCCCAGCCACAGGACAGCTCCCTGTTGTGGGTTTCACATGCTAAGTGATTTCCTACCCCAGGGCCTTTGCACAGACTCTCCTCTCTGCTTGGTGTACCTTTCCTCCTCCTTTCCCCTTGGCAAACCACACTTCAAGACCTAGTTCAGATGTTACTATGGGAAGCCTTCCTTATCTTCTGTGGAAAGAACGGGTTGCTTTTTTCTCTGAAGACTTCTCATTGCTCTCCTTAGACTTTGGTGTCATAACTTGTGTGCCCCATGTAGTTGTCAATTCTTTGAAGCAGAGAATATAAGGGAACTATCTCACTAGCACTTGCAGTTTATGTTTATTGCAGTCTCCTCAATACCTAGTCCAATGACTGGAACAGAGTAGGTGCTCAAGGGCTTAATAAATATTTGTTGAGTGAATGAGTCTGTGTTCCTAGTGCCTTGGCTGGAGGAGAATAGAACATTGAGTACATACTGTAGGAGCTCAATGCATTTTTATGGATGGCTTCTTATCTTTCTGTTCCCTCTCTTTTACCTCTTTTTATCTTCTGGTTCCAAACAGCATTTAGTGGAAGATAGGATAACGTTTCTAGTCTGGCGTTGGCAAACTTTTTCTGTAAAGGGACAGATAAGAATTTTAGGCTTCATGAGCCATATGGTCTCTGTCACACCTACTCAACTCTGCCCTTGTAGCATGAAATAAAACTTTATGTACAAAACAAGGCAGCAGGCTAGATTTGGAACACAAGCTGTAGCCCGTGGACCCTTATTGTAGAGTATTCTTGTCATGACAAGTACTGAAAGATGGTATTTGGGCTTCTCTTATCACAATCAACATTATCTTAGTTGCCTAAACCACAGTCTTAAACTGAGCCTTGAAGAAAGTCTTCTCTGTTTGTTGTCATGCATAGTGTTTCTCTGAATGCATCATTGATAGCCCATTTAGCTGACATCTTACTAGAGAATTACAGTAGAGCTATGGTTATGTTTTGGAGTCAACTATATTTGGTTAGGATTCTGTGTTTATGCTGTGTGATCCCGGGTAAGTTACAGAGCCTCTCTGATCCTCTCTTTTGTCATCCGTGATACTGGCCTTAGGTCAGCATACTTATCTCCAAGAGTTTTAATGGGTTGATCCAAGTGAAAATGTTCAGTGTGTTTCAGTGTGTTTAGGGATTGAACAAATATTAGTTACTTTATCTTCTTATGGGCTTTTATTCAGAACCTCAGCCTTTCAACTGAAACATGGAAATACACACTGTAAAAGTCAGTGGAGCTCAGAAAGGCCCCCATGTCTATAGGATTCTAGAAAGAGTCTTTGAAAAGTGAGAGACATTTAAGTCTGAGGAATTCAGCGCTTCTAACTGTCTCACCATTCTCTTAGAGAGAGAGGGTGAGAAACGTTTGACATTTCATTTTCACACCTGTAATGTTACAAGTCTAATGCAAGCCTGGGAATCAAAGGTGGCTATGACGTCGAGAGATGGAGAAACGGCCATGGCAGGGTAGGTGCTGGACAGACCAAGGTTGAAGATGCCACGTTCAGCTCTGCTAGGTAGGTACCTTTGAAACTACAAGGTATCGAAGGGATTCTTAAGAAAATTCTGGGATGGGAAGGAGTAAGTATTCAGATTCTCTATTAGGAAAAAGAAGAAATTGGATCAGACAACCATACATAGCGATACATGCCACATACCGTACTTATATACATTCCTCAAGGACTTGTGTGTGGCTTACAGCAACTAAATGTCACACAAAACTGCTGCTGTCTGGTTCCTTATCTACCCACACTTCCCCAGTTTTGTTCCCAGACAGGATCTCTGCACAGCATTCTCAAATGTCTCCGTTCAGTTCAGGCTGACTTCTGTGTTCCTCAGCTCCAGCACCTCCATATTTTTACTGCTGAACTTTGGTGGCCTTCGATATTTTATGTCCTGGGAGTGGGGTCTACCGTGGCTTGGAAGACTGAGATGCTCCTTCCTGTCCAGTCCCATTGGTTTTGGCTCCTAATACTACAGAACACTTAAAACTTGAATTTGCCTTGGTTGTGAATTTGTCTCCCTAATAGATGAAAAGCTCCTTGAAGACAGGGGTTGTACCTCATAAACCCCTTTAACTCTCATCCCTAGCATGGTGTGTGGCACTTAATAAATGTTTGATGAGTGTTGCTGAATTTGAAAATAGGAAGTTATTTATCAATTTGGAGACACTTTCAAGTAGACAAACTGAAAACATCTTGAAATGCTGGCGATGCAGGAAAACAGGTTAAAAAAATTCAGTAGCTTTAGGGATAAAAGTGGTTTTTGGTGACATGGATGAATTGTATAGAGGTGGACTCTGGGCTTTCCATGTACTTGTCACAGAATATTGTACATTGTACCCAATAGGTAATTTTTCATTCTTCACCCCCTGCCATCCTCCTCTCTTCTGAGTCTCCCGTGTCGATTATACTACTCTGTATGCCCCTGTGCAAAACAGATTTTGTGCTGACTTCAAGATAGAGTGACCTGTCCCTTTAAACCAGCCCCCCTAAACCCTTGATGAATCTGACTATCTCGGTGACCAAAGCAACATCACTAGAGACTTGTTGCAATTGGTTGTATCATTGTCATTCCAAATGTCTGTTTTCTGGCACTTTCTTGTGGGAGCTCCTAGGAAGACAGCAGTCCCTCCAGAAATACCCCAGTTTCTGAAAGTTTTGTTGCTAAGAACTAGTCCCTGCCCATGCAGGTAAATAAGTAAGAGATAGTGTGATTGGGGAACAGGATGAATGAGCTAAATGAAGTACTTTGTGGAAAGTATTTAATATTTGGTAAGCGTGAGCTATTAAATCAGGGTAAACAGCCACAGTGAGAGTGCTTTGGATGGTTTCGCAGTTTGGGATTTAGCAAACATTGACCAGCTGCCTATGTGCCAGGCACTTCCTTAGTTGGTTCAAGACCTTCTGAGATAAACATTACTATTCTTTTCATTTTATAGTTGGTAAAACCAAGGTTCAGAAGATTAAGCAACTATCCCAAGACTTACAGCTCAAGGGCTGGAGCAACTAAAATTCAAACTCAAGTCTTCTGCCTTCAAGAAGCAGTCTCTTCCCTTGCTACAGCAATGGTGGTTTAGACCAAGAACCCTAAGGCCAGACTGCCTGAGCTTTAATTCAGACTCTGTTGCTTATGAACTGTGTGACCTTGGACAAGTTACTTATTAATATGTCTATACTTCACTTTCCTTCTGCAAAAAGTGAGGATAATAATAGCTTCTACCCCAACGTGTGGATGAAATAATGCAATGTGTAGGAAGTGCCAAGTGTGCGTGGCATACTATAGGCACTGTGTAAGTATTCATTTTGATTACATTGGACCACCTCTTCTGCATGCAGTACCTACATGATCTATTAGTTGTGTAGTTTCACCTTCAGAATCTTGATGGGCCAATTGACTGGCAGCAGTCTGCTTGCATTCCACAATGCACTCTTCACCCACTGTCCCTGTCCCCAGCAGCACTGAATTTCCAGGGATGCAGACACCTTTGCTTCATAATGCCCCAGCTCATAGCATGGCATCTGGTGGCTTTGTTATTTTTCTTCTGCAAGATTATGCATCTCAGGGATTTCTCTGTTAGCATTGACTAAATAGAGTGTTATTTATGCAGGGGCCTTGGTGACTGAGTCGCTGTCGCACCCACCACATTTATGTATAGTTCGTGAACTGGCAGATTGATCCATCAAGGATTCGAGGAGCAGAAGTGCATTTCATTCTGTTATTCTATGAAGACCTTGGCGACGCTGTCTGTTTGATGTGTCGGAGGATGGTTTGCTAAGGGCCTCTGGCTTACAGGACATCAATACTGAGGATTCTAGAGAATGGATTTGGACAATAAGTGTTGTTGGCATGTGTCTGCAGGATGAGCAGCTGTTGCCTGCCTCTTGCCCTCCCATAAAAAAGACAGCACGTGACTACAGAATGCTCTGTGGCTGAAGGGACACTGATTCTGTCATTAAAAGACATCAGGGCTTGTTATATGGTTTACTAGGAAAAGCCCTTCCTGTGCCAATTCGAGCATCTCACCTAACCACTTGTTGGCCCGTTAAGTACAAAGTGAACTCCAAACTCCTTAGCTGACATCTAAAGCCTTTATGATCCCAGGTGCCCCACATCTTGCTGTGTCTGAAAAGTCACTCCATCCCCACCACATGCACCTCGTAATCACTTTCCCCTGAATTCTTGACTGGTCTCCAGATAGCTTACAATTCCTCACAACTTTTGTCTGTGCACGTGTTCTTCTTTTTTCTGAATGCTCTTCCTCCTCTTTGCCAATGGCAAACTCCTACTTATTCTTCAAAACCCAGCTCCAATAGCACCAAATCCTCTAAGCAGCATTACTTGCCTTCTCTTCTGTCCCTTTCCTTGATGCTCTTCTCTGCTGTGACTGTGAATCCACTTTCTTTTTGTTATGTCTCTTCATCAGATCAAATTCCATGATGGCACAGACCATTTATCTTGGAACTCCGCATACAGTCTTAGTCCTGTGTTTTCTTGACAGGAATGAAAAATGAGTTAGAAGTCTTAGTTTGAAGTCTGGTTTCTGCAGAGCCATGCACACTTGGTGAAGCTCAGCTTTGGGTCCAGCAGTGGTATTTTGCCAAAGAAGTTAGCCTCCTCCTCTCAGTCCAGGAGTCTGGCCTTTGGTTGTCTTGCAACCTTAGTACTGATGGCTGGTTCCTCCTCTTGACTCCTGTACCTTGATTTGGCTCAGAGTTTTTCTACATAGCAATGTAGGAACATGAGGCGGGTGACACAATCTCAGTCCTCAAATGCTTGACTCAGTCACACTGGCTATGACTGTGAAAGGAATATATGCTGGGCCCCAGAATCACTAAGTTAAAGGGAAAAGTCAACCTGGGAACTGCTTAGAGCAAACCTGCCTCCCATTCTATTCAAAGTTACCCCTCTGCTCACTGAGATAAATGGATATCTGATTGCCTCCTTTGGAGAGGCTCATCAGAAACTCAAAAGAATGCAACCATTTGTCTCTTATCTACCTATGACCTGGAAGCCACCTCCCCACTTTGAGTTGTCCTGTTTTTCATCTTACATATGTTGATTGATGTCTCATGTCTCCCTAAAATGTACAAAACCAAACTGTGCTCTGACCATCTTGGGCAAATGTTGTTAGGACCTCCTGAGGCTGTGTCACGGGTGCGCATCCTCAACCTTGGCAAAATAAACTTTCTAAATTAACTGAGGCCTGTGTCAAATTTTCAAGGATGATCATGCCTACCGGAGAAAAAATGATCAGATACCGTGGTCAGTGTATTCTCAGATACACACACTCAACACATTCCCTTTTATCTGAAGCTCAAACCCTTTCACGAATGTTCTTCAGTTCTTTCCTTGTTCCATCTTTTCTCTCCTGGCCTCGACAATGTTTAAACTCTAAAATCTCTTTCTTTGTATCATTTCTAAGTTTCTACATATCTTGGAGACTGAGATGTCATGTTCTTGCTGACTAAGTCATGTTTGTCTAATTCTACTGATTGAATACGTTCTGTTTTTACTAACAAAATATAACAGAGATATCCCCAATATGCATGCCCTCATTACAGGATACTTTTTTCCATTGCAGGATACTTTTTTCCATGGTTATTATTTATCCAGTATTTTCTCTTCATTTTAATCCATGTCTCTTCCTATAGTGCTTCGTCACTGAAAAGCATTAGGTGTCCACAATGCTCCCCTGAAATGTGGGTAGGGGTTCTCTCTTGACTCACGCACATTAATCTCTCCACATAAGTGAGTGACTCATGTTGGAATCGATACCACCTTAGAATTAACATTGCCTATCCTCCTTATGCATTTTGTTTGTTTTTCTAAACTTCTGCTTTTCTTGATATCTGCCAATATCCCCCACACCTCTATAACTTTGTTAGGATTTAGTAATCACTTATTTATTCAGCAAACATTTGTTGTGTGCTTTCTGTGTGTCCAAGACAGCTCTAGGCACTGGAGATACAGCAGAAAGCACACCAAAGTGTGTGTGTGTGTGTGTGTGTGTGTGTGTGTGTGCACGTCCGTGTGTGTGTGCATAAGATACAGCTTATACAAGGCTGGGCGCGGTGGCTCGCGCCTGTAATCCCAGCACTTTGGGAGGCTGAGGCGGGTGGATCACCTGAGGTCAGGAGTTTGAGACGAGCCTGGCCAACATGGCGAAAAACATCTCTACTAAAAATACAAAAATTAGCCGGGCATGGTGCCAGGCGCCTGTAGTCCCAGTTACTTGGGAGGCTGGGGCAGGAGAATCACTTGAACCCAGGAGACAGAAGTTGCAGTGAGCTGAGATCGCGCCACTGCACTCCAGCCTGGGCGACAGAGTGAGACTCCATCTCAAAACAAACAAACAAAGAAATCGAAACAGCAAAAAAAGAAATATGTTGTACTGAAAAGAAATTGTGTAGACCTCCAATATGCCAATATAGAATGCCTTCTGGTGACATTTTAAGAGAAAATAAGTAAAATGAAGCACACCATGTATAGTTTGTTTCCATTTGCATAGAGAGAGAAATAGATAGACACACATGGTGTATGCTTAGGAGAGTTCTGGAGAGGGGTGAGAAATTGGAAATAGTGTTTGATTGCTAGGTTGGGCCAGGTGGATTGGGGGTCCATGTGGGTGGGTGACTTATTTTTCAGTATTTCTTTTATGCTGTTTGATATTTTAAAAAGTGTGATTACTCATATACACACATACATACTAAAATATATATATATATTTTTTCTACAAAATCTGGATAATAAAAAGTACTTCCCAGGTGTAACTGACATATTTTATCACCTTCTAAGACCTAGTTGGCCTCACCTATCTCCAGGGATGTTGGCCATTTGGCCTGGGACAGCCATGGTTGAGGGCCTTAGCTCTGGTAGACTGGCTCCTGAGTTTGCAACAATCCAGTGCCTCACCTTATGGTTCCCCTTTGAGCCTCCTACCTCCTGCCCTCAGTTTCTGTCCTCACATCCTTTCAGGCTTAGGTACAGCAGGAAGGAGAAAGTTGGCTTCTCTTACAGCTCAAACAAGTACTAGGACTGAATCTTATTGACTACTGTCATGGCTAATTTGATGTCAGCTTGGCAGGGCAATGGTGCACATTTGTTTGGTCCAACACCAGTCTAGATGTTGCTGTGAAGGTATTTTTAAAGATGTGATTAACTTTGAAATCAGTAGATTTTGAATAGAGCAGCTGACCCTTTATAATATGAGTGGGCCTCATCCAATCAGTTGGTGGCCTTAAGAGTGAAGAAGGAGAGTTCTTGAAGAAGAAGAAAGAGGAGGAGGAGAAGCAGGAGAAGGAGGAGAAGGAGAAGGAGGAGAAGAAGGAGGAGGAGAAGAAGGAGAAGGAGAAGGAGATGAAGACGAAGGAGAAGAAGAAGAAATTTTACTTGAAGACTGCAACATAGAAACCCTGTCTGAGTTTCCAGCTTTCTACCTGGCCCTGCGGATTTTGGACTCAACGATTGCAAATCAAATCTTACCTGATTCTCCAGACTGTTAGTTTACCACATGGATTTTGGACTTACTAGCCCCCATATCATGTGAGCCAAAGTCTTAAATCTCTCTGTGTCTCTACACACACACACACACGCACACACCCTACTGGTTCTGTTTTTATGGAAAACCTTGTCTCTTACAGCTGTGATTGACCTGACTAATGCAGTCCTTCCCTCTGTAAGAATGCAACACAGGGGTTGGCCTAGGCTAAACATATAAGTGCACTCCTGGGACTGTGGGTGGAGTTGGATCCACCCAAATCACCATGCTACTGAGGATGGGAGAAAGGTGGGTCACCAAACCAAAATCAGGGTGTTACAGGGAGTAAGATCAATGGAGGCTGGAAGAAAACAAAGCTAAACAGCGAATGGAAGTCCATCACTGTAGCTATCATTATATCTTTTTACAAATGTGTTAACAGGCTCAGAGAGGTCAAGTGGCTTGGCCAAGTCACACAGGAAGTTGGTGGCTGAGTAGGATCCAAGGCTATGTAAGTCTGATCTTGAAGCCCATATTCTTTCCTTTGTACCAATCATTTCATTCGTTTGCTCATTTATTCATTTAATCAACCAACCAATTAGCATTAAACTAACATTTACTACCTGTCCACTTCATGCTTGGAGTGTGTCAGACCCTGAGGAGTCTAAACCGTCTAACCTCAAAAGTGTCCCTTGTAGGAGAAAACATTTCCTGTGCTAAAGACCACTTTTCAGATATTCTGAACAAAATCTACTTTTCTTGAGCTTCTCAGAGCAGGCACACTTAAATCCTGATTGGTCTTCAGAGATGAATACAAATTCTTTTTTCCACCAAGCTCACTTGTTTTTAATTCACTCCATAAAGCCAGGCAGAGAAACAGGAAGGTAAAAACAATAATAACAACAACACCCACTGCTGTTTACAAGAGGGAAACATTCCTGATGGATGAGAGGAAGATGTACGGCGCCTCTGTGCCAGAGCTGGCTTGGCATCTTGGCACGCTGCGGATTTATGGCACTGGCATTGTCAAAGGAGGAGTCCATTTCCACTGATTTCATTCCGAGGTCCCCAGGTTGGTTATTGCTCCATTTCTTCGTAACGTGAGTGATGAGAGTGTCCTAGGAGGCAAGCGGGCGCACAAGTGTGAACAGTTGTTTCATGGATTTATTGTTTATTCTCCACTTGATTCACTTCCCTGGCTGCCCCTGTGAATGAGTTCCTCAGTGAGAGCAATTCCTGGGCTTGTAGCTTCTAGGATGCACCGTGTTCAATCCTGCCTCTGGGCCCTGGCTCTTGCCTTTGCCTGACATGCCCTCTCTGTTATTTTAGGTCAGGCCAAGCCCCGACCTTTCCATATGGCCAAGCTATAATAATAATGGTCCCATTTGACATTTGCAGTAGATCACACTGGTTAGGAGCATGGTCTTTGGAGCTAAACTGCCTGGGTTCAAATCCCAGTTTAGCCTCCATAGCTTGACAATCTTGTGCCACTGACTGTCTGTCTCTCTCTGCATCGGTAAAGTTTGGGTGATCATAGGGGTCTCTTGTTGAGAATAATTTGAGCTAATTCATGCAAGTCACAGAGTAAGCCCTAAATAAAGGATCATTATTATTTTTATTATTTAAGCCATCCCTAAAGAAGGAGGAGAAGCAAAGAATTGGCATAGTGGCTTGAAATCCTTGCTTTGTCACTAACTCTCATGACCTTAGGCAAATTATCAGTTTTTCTTGTGTATAAAGTGGGAGAAATAACAGTGCGTACCTCATCTGTTGTGTTGGTAAATTGGGGCGTTGCATGTAAACTGTTGACCACAGTCAGTCCCTGGAACTCAGTAAACTGCCTAATGGAAATAATTGTTTTTAACTATTGCTATGAAACTTAAGACATTTAACCACTAGGTTAAATGAGCATGATTTGTGTGATGTCATCCTAAACTGACTTCATTTTTGTCTGCTACTGTCTCTTTATATTTACTCAGTGGAGTTGGTCTGTTTTTGCTTTGGGTTGAAAATTCTGGAAGGCCCCACTGACTTACCGGTACCTATTCAGTAGTAGAAGGCTGGCCCCACACCCCCAGGAAGTTGCAAAACACAGTTGCACATTAATAATTAAAATATGGAAGCCTGTGCAATTACCAAGACTTTGGACTTGGTTTATTGGGCTTGCATGCAACATACAGGGCAGCTTGTTGTTATAAAAGGGAAGTGGTTGACTTCTCTCTGTCTTCTACCTCACCTACCTTCTGTCCTCTCCAGGATTGAAGCTGGGTCAAGAAGGAGAGGAAAGGAGGACATAAAAGTGTTTACTTGACTGGAACTGCCGTGAGCTGGTATCAGCGCTTTCTGGACTTGGCAGAGGTTTAAAGTAGGCTCTTTTGCTCATGACTGCTGATGGGTTTCTTTGGAGTTTCCCATACACACCAGCACCCTTAGTTGCTAGAGGTCCCTCATCAGCGGTTCTCTTGAGGGCAGTAATTGCACTTCTATTTCTGCATTGTACTTACTAGTTCTTCTTCGGCCCTTAGGAGAGGAGAATTTCATTTTCATCCTCTTTCTACCGAGGTTTCGATTCTCTTCAAAAGCATCCTCTTGGATAGAATCTCCTCTCTCACACACATAACTCACATCTAGACCATGGACACATGAGCTTCTGCACAAACTAATTTAATCCTCACCCCTCCTTATGTGATAGGAGCTGCCGTTACCTGCATTTGAAGGAGACACAACCTGAGACCTTGAATATCTATGTAACTTACCCAAGACCCCACAGCTGGTATGTGATAAAGTTGGGATCTTCATCCCAGAGCCCAAGGTTTGGACCATCCACACTCTACTGCCCAACTGAAAGTTTAGCAGTATTATTTCTTTTACTATCTGAGGAAAGATGTTTGAAGATGATGCACAGTTATCCTTCTTCTCTTTCGGGTGGTTGTGTGGGGCTGAAAGCTTCTAGTCATCTTCATTGAGTGTTTCCTCCCTTCTTGCTTCTCCACTCCAAAAAACCTTACTGTACAGAAAAACAAAAACAAACTCAGTATATTAGTTTGTTTTCATACTGCTAAAAAGAACTGCCCAAGACTGGGTAATTTATAAAGGAAAGAGATTTAATTGGCTTACAGTTCAGCATGGCTGGGGAGGCCTCGGGAAATTTACAATCATGGCAGAAGGTGAAGGGGAAGCAAGACACCTTCTTCACAAGGCGGCAGGAAGGAGAAGTGTGTGAGAGCGCAGGAAAAACTATAATTTACAAAATCATCCGATCTTGTGAGAATTCACTCATTATCACAAGAACAGCATGGGAAACCGCCCCCATAATCCAATCACTTCCCACCAGGTTCCTCCCTTAACACCTGGGGATTACAATTCAAGATGAGATTTGGGTGGGGACACAAAGCTAACCATGTCACTCAGCCACCAAACGGAAGTACCTCCTGGCTCTTGCTTTTGCTAGTGTTGGTTTGTTTGACTTCATAGAACTTGGTCCTGTGGACTGTCTCCTTCCCCCAAGTTGTCTTTTTGCCTCTTGCTTTTTCTGTGTGTTTCACGACAGCTCTCTCTAGCTCATGCTTGCATTTTTTCCACCATTGGATTTTAGCCGTATGGTTCAGAATTCAATTTATAAGAAAAATACATTACACTTGATCAGGTTGCACTGGATACCCTCTGTATCTGTTTACCAATGTCTCTGGTGTCTCAGGATTATATTATAGCAAACCTGATTAAGGCAGTTCTAGATTAGTTAAAGTCAGATGCACCTTACAGCTGCTTGGATAGCCCATTTCTCTTTAATAAAATATTGGATAATCTGAAGCAAGCAACTCAAATATCAGCTTATTTTATTAATTTCCTAACCTCTTTTAAAATTAATGAGATTTTATTAAATGTTATTAAATTCAAAGCTCCAAATAAGTTAAAATAAAATGGATTCATCTATGTTTGCAAACATGAGCGTATGAAATGCCCGTCTTATTGGCTTAATAGTTTAAAAAATCCTTTTCATAGATTTTAGTTCTCTTGTGGTAATAGCTTGTCTGTTTCAGTGGTCTTGGGTCTCTTGTCAAAGGCTTTCATTGTAATCGGCATCTTCTTTCCCCACTTAACACAAAGAAAGTCTAATCCACCCTCATTTTGTTGCTTTCTTTGAAAAAAAGAAGAGGGTTGGGAGCCATGTAGCCAATCTGCCTGGCTCCAATTTATCACATCAGAGGAAGCTGTTCTTTTTTTTTCTTTTTATTTTGTGGATTGCAAATATGTCTGAAGATGTCATTGTCAGTGAAAGCAGTCTATTCAATTTTCCAATATGTTTCTTTTCACCAATCTAATTATCACTTTAACCATTGCTTTTATTTATAGATTGGGACTCCTCCTCCAAGCCTTTGAATATTTTCCAGAATGGTTCCATTTTTAAATGTACTGCTGATTGCCCATATCTCTAGTTTTTGCAGTTAGAACCACAGGGGTTTAACTTCCCTGCCCTCTGTTTTAACAGCCGCTGCATTGATGTCAGTTGTCATTGAAAATCACTTTTCTCCTTTCCACCAGAGTTGTGGTAATCAAGCCAATTCTAGTTTTTTTTTTTTTCTGCCAGTGGCATAATGACAATTTCCTGCATTCCAGACTCTTGAGCTGCTTTGATACTTTAGCTACTCTTGGGGAGAAATCTGTTATATTGAAGGATAGGGCAAGGTAACAGCAAAAAGTATAATTAAGGTAGAATTTGTGCTTATTCAGCCGCTGAGGTTAATTTTTTTTACACTCAGAAAAAGATGTTTCTGAACTTTTTTATTGTGGTAAAATATACAAAACATTAAATTTACCATTTAAATCATTTCTAAGGGCACAGTCACGATGCAACCATCACCACTATGCTTTTCCAGAACTCTTGGAGATTTTAGAGATTTCAAAATACTTGGGTAACCAAATTTCTTAAACGCTTTAAGTTATATACAGGTATACTTTAATTTTTGTGCTTCACTGCAGTGCAATTTGCAGATACTGTGTTTTTGTTTGTTTGTTTGTTTACACATTGAGGGTTTCTGGCGACTGCATTAAGCAAGTCTATAAGTGCCATTTTTTCAACAGTGTGTGCTCACTTCACATCTGTGTGTCATATTTTGGTAATTCTTGCAATATTTGAAACTTTTTCATTATTCTTATATCTGTTATGATGATCTGTGATCAGTGATCTTTGATGTTACCATTGTAATTATTTTGGGGCATCATGAACCTTGGCCATATAAGACAGCAAAATTAATCAATAAATTGGTGTGTCCTGACTGCTCTGCCGACTGGACATGCCCTTACCTCTCTCCCTCTACTTGGGACTTCCAATTCCCTGAGACACAACAATATTCAAATTAGACCAGTTCATAACCCTACAATGACCTCTAAGTGTTCAAGTGAAAGGAAGAATCTCATGTCTCTCACTTTAAATCAGAAGCTAGAAATGATGGAGCTCAGTGAGAAACGCATGTCTGCAGCTGAGATAAGCCAAAAGCTAGACCTCTTGCACCAAACAATTAACCAAGTTGTGAGTGCAAAAGGAAAGTTTTTGAAGGAAATTAAAAGTTCCACTCCAGTGAACAAATGAATGATAAGAAAGCAACACAGCTTTATTGCTGATATGGGGGAAGTTTTAGTGGTCTGGTTAGAAGATCAAACCAGCTACAGAATTCTTTTAAGTCAAAGTCTAATCTAGAGTAAATCCCTAACTCTCTTCAGTTCTATGAAGGCTAAACGAGGTGAGAAAGCTGTAGAAGAAAATTTGGAATCTAGCATGGGTTGGTTCATGAGGTTTAAGGAAAGAAGCCATCTCCATAACATAAAAATGCGAGGTAAAGCAGCAAGTGCTGATGTAGAAGCTGCAGCAAATTATCTAGAAGATCTAGATAAAGTAATTGATGAAGGTGGCTACACTAAACAACAGATTTTCAATGTAGATGAAATAGTCATTCTATTGGAAGAAGATGCCATCTAGAACTTTCAGGGCTAGAGAGGAGAAGTCAATGCCTGGCTTCAAAGCTTCAAATGACAGGCTAACTTTTGTTAGGAAGTAATGCAGCTGGTGACTTTAAGTTGAAGCTCATTCACCATTCTGAAAATCCTAGGGCCCTTAAGAATTATGCTAAAGTTACTCTGCCTGTGCTCTAGAAATGGAACAACAAAGCCTCATTGACAGCATATCTGTTTACAGTGTGGTTTACTGAATATTATAAGCCCACTGTTAAGACCTACTGCTTTTTAAAAAAGATTCCTTTCAAAATATTGCTTCTCACAGTCAAGGCTCTTGGTCACCCAAGAGCACTGATAAAAATGTACAAGGAGATTAATGTTTTCATGTGTGTTAACACAATATCCCTTTTGCAGCCCATGGATAGAGGAGTAATTTGGACTTCCAAGTCTTATTATTAAAAAGGTCACTCAGCTAGAGATGAGTGTAAGTAGAGTGTAAATAGTGCTAAGTAGAGTCAGGATTCAATTCGACTCCCTGACCTCGAAGCATGTGCCATTACCATTTTACCACACCATCTCTTGTTGTCTGTTAATTCAGGAATTTCAATCATTCAGAAAGAATTTCATTCTAATTAGTCCAAGTAAATGATCTAGTAGTCATGGAGCTACAAAGGTAAATTGTGGCGAGTATTTCAATGGAGAGATAAGTGGTTTTATGTCAGAAGATTGGCATGATCTCAGCCATCCCTCAGCTTCTCTGTCTCAGCTTCCCTGAGGCAGTTAGATAATGAGTAGAGATTTGAAGGGTGAATAAGAGTTAAGCAGGTAAAGAGGAAGAGACTTCTGAGCAGAAGGAACACCATGAACCAAAGCTGTGATTAGAGGGACCTTACAGCTTCCGGTAACCCAAAAGTCCATTTGTGTAAAGCACAGAGAAGAAGAGGGGAAGTGAGTGACACAAGCCGGGAGAGGGGTGGTAATGGGCGGTGCAGGGCAGGCAGGCAAGGTGCCTTCAGTGAGAACAAACTGGACATGGCCCAGACTGGAAGGTAAAGAAAGCTGCCATATTTGAAGACATAATGGTGGCTTGGACAAGACTGGCAGTGGTGAAGATGGGGAGGTGTACATTGATAGAATTGCTCTTGAAGACGTAGAATCAACAGGTCTGTGAGAGAGATTGAATTTGGGTGGGGAAGTAGGGAGAATATGAATAATACTGTTTCCTGAATTCCGGGCTGAGCAGCGCAATGGAAAATTGGTGACATTGTGACACTCACTAAACCAGGGAAGATTGGAAAATGACTAGGTCTGGGGGGAAATGAGGAAATGGGCATTATTGCGCAGGGTAGAAGACTGGGTTGATCTCCTAAAAACCCTCCCAACTTTATAGGCAGTGAATGGTTGGGTGGTTAAGAACATAGTCCCTGTTATCAGATACCGACTGGAGTCCATGCTCTGAAACTGACAGCAGCTGACAGTCACTTCTGTGAGTCTCAATCTCCTCTTAGGATATTATCGATACCTGCCTTAAAGGGTTGAGAGGATTAAGCAAAAAATGGGCATGCAACATTTAGGCCAGTGTTCTGCAGATAGTAAGTACTCAATCAGGTTACCAAGATCATTATCATTATCACTATTGTTATTATTCTAAAATGATTTGTAACTAAAATTCTAAGTGACCTCTGGATGACAGAGGAGATAACTCTTTACCCTTTCACTATATCCCAATGAAATCTTCTTCTTGACTTAACAATGGACTCCCCTGAACAATGTGATCTTGTTCTCTGTAGAGAACATTTTATTACAAGTAAATCAGACAAACAGTAGCCTTTGAATGCATGTTGTACAAGAACTATCGCACATAATTGGAAAGGTCACTAGTGACAGTTTTAAATTAATTTTTCCCTTTCTTTAATAGTTCAGATCAAATGCTTGATTATACTATTTAAAAAAAAACCCTATAATTTCAGAGTATGCTACTGCTTCAAGAGTGACAGCCACGTGACTGTGATTCCGGGAGGGGGATGCTGTCAGCAGCATGAATGGAAAAAATTACTTTTATGAACAGCAGATTCTCATGGGAGGACCCCCAGCTTCTGACATGTATCAAGAAGTAGCTGCCAAATTATTCTCTTCTCCATACTTGCTAAATTAAAAGCAATTCAAATATTGCTGGTCGAGGTTGAAACTTCGAGGCTGTTAAAAATATCATATAAAATGTGAGTGTATCTATTGGAAAAGGGTAATTTTCCTTCTAGAGATTGCTTAGGTAAAGCCATCTGATTTTCAGAATATATAATATAGTTTCACTAAATAAATATATGCCAAGGCTTCTGTGCCTGATCTCTGTTTGAAAGAAAAATGTTTTATAAGAAGAAAAATGCTGGTTATTTGGGGAATGGATGTTAGCAACAGTGTAAGTATTGCCCATATGTTAGGTGGGAAATACGAGAATGTATGCTCAAAATCAGAGCTGAGGAAGTGTTCACACTGTATTCATCTTGCAGATGTGTTTGACCAGCATGGGGATTAAAAGAACATACAGTTGAGTGGAGCTGCCCACCTTGGACTGGGCTTGTGCTGGCTTTCTTGTATACACTCTTGCCTTACAACTGGCCCATTACAACATACCTGCCTGACCCTTGTAGGGATTTGAGTTTGTAACCTCTCCCTAAATCTGTTCTTCTAAAATAGGGATATGCTGCTGCCAGGAGCACCATAAATGGTAGGATGCAGATGGTCTGGGTCACCTGCCACCTGCACACTTAGGTCCTGCCTAAGAGTAAATCAAAAATAGAGGAAGCCAGGCCTGAAGGCTCACACCTTTGTGGGGCTGAGGTGGAAGTATCGCTTGAGCTCAGGGGCTCCTTGGACTCTCGATTTTATGTGACAATTTGAAGGAAATAGTTACATTAAGAGAAACAAAATATTATGGAATAGGTTAGAAAATTCATATGATTTTCTGTTTTTTAAGATGCAATGTAAGACTTGAAAGAAATGTCAAGGTTGCTGGTGGAGGAACGTAACCCCTGAGTGTGTTGCTTGTTATTTTAGGCCATAATGCATGCTTAGTTGGCAAAGTTTGGAATGCATTGTGTACGTCATAGAATGTTAAAGCTGGAAGTGGCCTTGGACATTTGAACAGTCAGGGCTGTTAGTTACAAGTGACAAAATCCCAACTTACCACCTCAAGCAAAAGTGAGAATTTATTGGCTTGCAAAGTTGAAAAGTCCAAGAGTGTATGTGATTATATTCAGGTTCTCACAAAAGATGCCAGGCCGGTGCAGTGGCTCACACCTGGAATACCAACACTTCGGGAGGCTGAGAAGTGTGAATCACCTGAGGTCAGGAGTTTGAGACCAGCCTGGTCAATATGGCGAAAACTTATCTTTACTAAAAATACAAAAAAAATAGCTGTGTGTGGTGATGGGTGTCTGTAATCCCAGCTACTCTGGAGGCTGAGGCGGGAGAATCACTTGAACCTGGGAGGCGGAGGTTGCAGTGAGTCAAGGTTGTGCCATTGCACTCCAGCCTGGGCAACAAGAGTGAAATTCTGTCTCAAAAAAAAAAAAATGCCATTACAATTCAGTAAGTCTCTGTGAATAATCTACGTATTATTTCACTTTCTCCCTGTTATCATTATCTTCTTCTTCTCTATCTTCCTACATTTTTTTTTCTTTTCTTCTTTCTTTTTTTTTTTTTTTTGACAGGGTCTTGGTCTGTTGCCCGGGCTGGAGTGCAGTGGCATGATCCTAGCTCACTGCAGCCTCAAACTCCTGGGCTCAAGCTATCCTCCCACCTTTGCCTCCCAAGTAGTTGGGACTATAGGCATGCACCACCACACTGGGCTAAATAATTTTTTTTTTGTAGAGATGGGATCTTGTGTGTTGCCCAGGCTGGTCTTGAACCCCTGAGCTCAAGCTGTCCTCCCACCTCACCCCCACAAAGTGTTGAGACTACAGGTATGAGCCATCATGCCTGACTTCCTCTATTTTTGCTTGATTCTTAGGCAGGACTTGTCAGTGTGATAGCAATGCCAAGATTATGTTTACAGGTGGGTTATCAATGTCGATGGTGAACTTTCTTGTTCTTTTCAGATAATTACATCCAAAAGCTGCCCTAAAATCAAGTCTCATTGGCCCAATTTGGGTTATATGTGCATTTCTTTATCAATCCATGGTGGGGCCAGGAGATAGAATGCTCTGATTGATCAGGCCTGGGTCATGTGGGGCTGGAAGTCAATTTTACCTCAGCTTCCTCGTCTGTGAGTGGATGATGTGTGTTTGCCCCCAGAAGAAGATGAAATGAGAGCCATAAAGGATGTTATTTAGTCTCAATTCCTCATTTTACTGATAGAAGGTTCCAGGTCCATCACCTTCTCCTCCTCCTCCAACTGGTCTTCTTCTTCCTCCTTCTTGTCCTCTTCTTCCTCCATCTCCTCTTCTTTCTTTCTTTCTTTCTCCTCCTCCTCCATTTTCTCCTCCCTCTCCTTCCTTCTTTCCTTTCCCTCTCTCTCTTTCTCTTTCTTTCTTTCTCTTTCTTTGTTTTTTCCTTCCTTCCTTCCTTCCTTCCTTCCTTCCTTCCTTCCTTCCTTCCTTCCTTCCTTCCTTCCTTCTTTCTTTCTTTCTCTTTCCTTCTTTCTTTCTTTCTCTCTCTTTCTTTCCTCCCCCTCCTCCTCTTTTTTTCTTCTTTTGTCTCATGAAAAAATAATGATGAATACAACTGGATTTTTCTAAAGTAATTGTAATGTTAATATAACATGTACATGAATGTGCCTAAATCCTAAGTGTACAGCATGATGAATTATCACAAAGGGAATACACCCATGTAGTCACCACCTAGATCCAGAACACTGCCCAGAAGGTCCTCCACCTGTGCTCCTCATAGTCACTACTCTCCAATAACTAGGACTATTATTGCTTCTATTTCCACAGATTAATACTGCCTATTCGAACTTCATATATATGGAATAGTAAAGTATATAATTCTTGTGTCTGGTTTAATAGTCCCACGTTGTTTGTGAGATACATCCAGTTGTAGTGTGTTCTTTTTCATCACCATGTAGTATTCCACTGTATGAATATACTGAAAATAATGTATCCATTCTACTATTGATGAATGCTTAGAATGCTTCTAGGTTTTGGCTATTATAAACAGTGCTGCTATGGACATTCTTAAACATTCCTTTAGGATGGTATATACACATTCCTGTTGAGTATATTCACATAGTGGAATTCCTTGGTCATAATGTGTACTTACCTTCAAATTTTGGCTGGATGCCATGGTTCATGCCTGTAATCCCAGCACTTTGGGATGCCAAGGTGAGCAGGTGATCACCTGAAGTCAGGAGTTCAAGACCACCGTGGCCAACATGGTGAAACCCCGTCTCTACAAAAATACAAAAATTAGCTGGATGTGATGGCAGGTGCCTGTAATCCCATCTACTCAGAGGCTGAGGCAGGAGAATTGCTTGAACCCAGGAGGTGGAGGTTGCAGTGAGCCGAGATCGCACCATTGCACTCCAGCCCGGGCAACAGAGTGAGACGCTGTCTCAAAAACAAAAACATAAAGAAAAACAAACAAATAAAAACTAAATTTAGTTGATATTATAAGCAGTTTTCTGTATTTTGTTAACAATTTAAATTCCCATCAGCAATGTTTGTGAGTCCAGGATGTAACACATCTTCACCAGCACTTGGTATTGTCAATTGTTTTAATTTTTTAGCTTTTCCAGTGGTTGTAGTATATCATGTGGTTTTAATTTGCATTTCTCTGACCACTGATAAGATTGACCACTCTTTCATATACTTACTGAACACTTGGCTGTACAATGTACTCTCTCATGAGGTGCATTTTAAAGTGTTTTGCCCATTAAAAAAATCGATTTGCTTTTTTCCTCTCCTATTGGTTTATAGATGTTCTTTACATATTCTGGGTAAAAGTCCTTTGTTGGATATAATTATTGAAAATATATTCAACTAGTCTGTGCCGATGTTTTTTCATACACTCTATGGTCTTTCTGAGTAGTAATTCTTAATTTTTATATAGCCTAGTTAATCAATATCTTTCTTTATAGTAAGAGATTTTTCATCCTGCTTAAAAATTAAGACTTTATCTCAAGGTTTTGAAAATATTCTCCTTTTTCTTCTTAAAAGTTTATTCTGTATTTTTCAAACAGAGCTCCAATTTATATATGATTGATTTTTTTTATAAGGCATGAAGTGGAGGCGAAGCATCTTTTTTTTTTCTGATGGGGTATCCATGTGATATAGAATCATTTATTAAAAATCCACTTTCCCCGCATTGCAGTATAATGTTACTTTTGTCACAAATCAAGTTATTATATGTTTGTGGGGCTATATCTGTTCTCTGTATTCTGTTTTGCTAGACTATTTTTCTGACTTTGAGCCAATTTCACACCATTTTAGTTCCTGTAGCTTTAGAATAACTGGATATCAGCAAGTCTAAGCCCTTTAGGTTTGCTCATTTTCTTCATGGTTGTCTTGTCTATTCCTGGCCCTCTGTGTTTCCATTTATATTTTAGAATCGTCTTGTTAATTTCCACAAAAACAAAATATTGGCTTTTGATTGGAATTACATCCAATTTGATTGGAATTACCCCCAAATTTACAGCCTGATTTGGGGGACAATTGGCATATTTACTTAATTGATCTTTTAGTCTAAGAATGTGGTATAACCTTTCATTTATTAAAGTGTCTTTTAATTTATCTCAATAATATTTTGTAGACTTTTGTATAGAGTTTTATGTATCTTTTCTTAGATTTAGTCCTAAGTATTTGATGATATTGCAAATGGTATTTTGAAATGCTTTCATTTTTGAATTGTTACTAATGTGTAGAAATACAATTAATGATTTGGATATTGGCCAGATTCACTTTTACTTTTAGTAATTTGACTGTATATTCTTTTGTATTTCCTGTATATAAGCCAGTAAGTGGCGAATAATGACAGTTATACTTTTTCCTTTTTAATGTTCTTATTTCATTTTCTTGTCTTATGGCACCATAGGTCTGATATATTGTTGGATACCAGTGAGGAGAGCAGACATCTTTACTTGTCTCTTATTTCAGAGAGGAAACTTGCAATATTTTAAATTTAGTTATGATCATTGCTCTAGGGTTTTAGTTGCTTTTTTGTTAGATTTTAAGAACATTTCATTTCATAAACAATTTGCTTCAAATGATTATGAATGGATATTATACTTATCATTTTTATGGATCTGTTGGTATAACTTTTTCACCCTTTTTTATTAACATGGTGAGTTACTTTGATTGTTTTTTGAATTACTGGGATTTATTATATTCACTTACTAGACATATTTTTAATTTCATTTAAAATTTGTTTATTCATGAATATTAAAGAGATTAATCTGTAGTGTTTCTTTCTTGTACCAGTCATGTCAAGTTTTGGCATTAAATTAATGCTTGCCTCATAAAACTAGATGGGAAATATTCCTGTTATTTTTTTCCCTTCAGGAATGTTTCGTGAAAAACTGGTGTTAAATAATATAATTTAAATATACGGAAAAATTTGCTGATGAAGCTGTCAGGGCCTGGAAATGTCTCTGTTTGGCAGTTTTTATTTACATGTATAATTTCCCTTATTTATAGAGGACTGTTGAGGCTCACCACATCTTCCTGCATCAGTTTTGCTAAATTGTGTTTTTCTAGAATATTTTTTATTGATTTGAATTTTCAAATACATGGGAATAAATTTCTAAATATTCTTATGCTACCTTTAAAATATCTGTAGGATTTGTAATGTTATCGCTCCTCTGATTCTTGATATTGTAATTTATGCAGTTTCTCTGTTTTTCTTGACCAGTTTTGTTAGGTGTTTATCAATTTTTTTTTAGGTGTTTATCAATTTTGTGTGTCTTTTCAAAGAGCCAACTTTTACTTCTTTGATTTTCCTTGTTTTCTTATTAGGTTTGCCTTCATATTATTTCTCTTCTTCTACTTTTTAGTGTATTTAGCTGTTTTCCAAATTTTTGAGCTAGACAATTGTTTTTAACTTCTTTTCTAATGGGTGCATTAAAAGCTGTACATTTCCCTCTTAATTACAATTTCAGCTGCATTCTACCAACTATATTTTCATTAATAGATAAATATTTTCTAATTTTTATGGTAATTTTTGTTTTACTCATGGTTACTAACAATTGTGTTACTTACTTTCCAAACATTTTGGATATTTTAGTTTTTTTCTAGTTTTCCTTTGGTTATCAACCTGTGGCTTAATTCTAATATAATCAAATGGTATAGTCTGAATAGTTTCAGCCCTTGATGTTTGGATTTACTTTGTAACTTTACTTTATAATCCAGAGTATGGCAAGTTTTAATAAACATTCAGATACACTTGAAAATTTTGTTTATTAAATTATTGTTAAATGCAGCATTGCGTATATTTCAATTAGATAAACATCGTTAATCTTATTGATTAACATGATTTTTTTGGATATTTTGCTCTGCTTGTTCTACCAGTTACTGTGAGTTACTGGGAGAGTTTGTTAAAGTCTTCTATTATGTTTGTGCATTTATTTAGTTCTTTTTTAGTTGTGTCAATTTTTGGTTTATATATGTGACATGTTATTAGTTGCAGACAGATTTAGAATGCTTGTATCTTCCAGAAGGAATGACCCTTTCATCACTGTGAAACATTCTTCATCTTTAATTATGTTTCTTGCCTTAAAGGCTACTTTGCTGCATATTAGTATACCTGTATCAACTTAATTTTCTTCAGCGTTTGCAAGGTATAGCTTTCCCAGTCCCTTACTGTCAACCTTTATTTGTTCTTATATTTAAGTTGTGTCTCTTACAAGATCAGCATATAGTTTTAATTTTAATTCAGTTTGATGCTTTCAATTGGTGTATTTAGACTATATTTAATTACTGATATGCTGGGATTTATAAATATTATATAAACATTTCTTTTTTACCTTTTTACAGTTTTGTATTCTTCCTCCCTATTTTTGCTTTCAGTTTGGTTAAACATTTTTTATTACTTTATTTTTTCCCTCTATTTGTTTTTAGATTTTTAGTTTTCCATGTCTTCCTGTATCACATTTTCTAGGATTTGTTTCATTGATCTGAATTTTTAAATGTGCTGGAATAAAGTTCTTCTTAATATTCTTGTGCTATCTTTTAAATATTTGTAGGATTTGTACTGATGTTGGTCCTTTGATTCTTGGTGTTGTAATTTACGCTATTTCTCTTCTTTTCTTGACCAGTCTTGGATTAAGGTATGAATTTTTGAATTATTACTGCTTAATATTAACCAATTCACAAATAACACTAGGAATGTAGGACATTTTAACTTCTCTCTCTTCTAGGCTTTTGCATGATCATTGTCATGCATTTTAATTCTTCATTATTTTATGCATTATAAAACATGATACTTCTCTGTAAAGTCAGTATTTCATTATATTCACTCTCATATTTAATCTTTCTTTATTTCTTCTTGCATTTCCTGTTTGTATATGGGATATGGGATCATTTTCCTCCTTCCTGTAGAATTCTCTACAGTATTTCCTTAGCACAGGTCCCTGGCAATGAATTCTCTCGGGTTTTATCGTTTAAAAATGTCCTTATTTTTTTTTTTCACTAGCGAAAAATGTTTTCTCTGATTATAGAATTTTAGACTGGTGATTATCTTTCCCACCACTTTAAAGATGTCATTTTGTTGTGTTCTGGTTTCCAATGTTTTCTTGAAAAATCACTTATTAGTCTAATTTTTGCTCCTTTGACAGTTAATCTTTTTCCCCTGGATGCTTTGAAATTTTTCTCTGTTTTTTGTTTTCTCTGTTTGTTTCATTTTCAGCAGTTTATCTATGAGGTATTTAGGTGTAATTGTTTTCTATGTATTCTTATTGGGAGTTGTTTCACTTCCTGAATCCATACCTTGATATTCACCAGTGTTAGAAAATTCTGAGTTATTATCTATTCCGATATTGACCTGGTCCCATTCTCTTTACTCTTCTTTTAGGATGCAAATTCTATATGTGGTAAACCTTTACTCAAGAATACACACACACACACACACACACACACACACACACACACACACATATATATTCATAATTTTCATCTTTTTTTCTTTACTTTTTTTTTTTTTTTGGTGATGCAGTCTCTCACTGTCGCCTGGGCAGGAGTGCAATGGCACAATCTCAGCTCACTGTAACCTCCGCTTCCCGGGTTCAAGTGATTCTTCTGCCTCAGCCTTCCGAGTAGCTGGGATTACAGGCGCCTGCCACCACACCCGGCTAATTTTTTGTATTTTTAGTAGAGACGAAGTTTCACTATGTTGGCCAGGTTGGTCTTGAATTCCTGACCTCGTGATCCGCCTGCCTAGGCCTCCCAAAGTGCTGGGATTACAGGCGTGAGCCACCGCACCTGGCCCCCCATCCCGCCTTTTCTTTTCTTTTCTCTTTTTTTTTACTTTTTATGCTTTAGTCTGAGCCTTTCTACCCATGCATCTTCCAGCTCTCTTCACCTTTGTCCAACCCACTGCTTAACTTACATACTGAATTCTTAATTTCAGTTATTGTAGTTTTCAGTTCTAGGATTTCTATTTTATTCCTTTTTATTTAATTTCAGTTATGTGCTCAAACTTTCTAACTTCTCATCTATTTTATTGAACATTTAAATCAAAGTTCAAAGTGAGTCTCATAACTCCAGTAACAGAGTCAATCGTGAGTCTCTTTTTATTGTTTGTTCCTTTTCCCATTGATGCTACTTTTTGATATATGTGGTAATTTCAATTGGATGTTGGAGATTATGTATATCAAACTGTAGGGTTTCTGGAGGCTATTATTGCCCTCCTGTGTGGGTTCGACCTTTTCTGTGGCAGGCAGCAGGGGAACAGGCATCTCAGACCATCATAGATAGAGCTGATTTGAGGGTGAGTTGCATTCTTTGTGTGGCTCAGTCTATCTTTTGTTCGAGTCCAATCCCAGTGCATCACCCTCTACGTGTCCCAACTTAGGCCTTGTGATATTTCCTAGAACACTTCTCGCTGGCGGGTATTTCCATCTAATTTTTCTCTCTTCATCACTGTGAGACTGTCAAAACTCTTTTTTTTTTAATCCCTTTTAGTTTGATTTCTTAGTCTTCTCCCCTGTAATATTTCATAGATAAATGCCAAGAGGAAAATTGGTGCTGTTGAATGCTGGTCTCACTGACCTGTTCTTTCCTTCTGTCTCGGATATTTCCTCCTCAAGCCCTTGCTAATTAGGCAGCCCTGAACCCGTTTACTTTGCCTCCACCCTCGTGCAATTGCCTATCTCTTTACTTGTTTCTATCCCTTGTAACAATTGTCCCTGCCTATCCTTTCAGCCTCTTAACCTGTCGCAGTCATTGATCAATGTCCTGTGGAAAGTATCAACATGCAGAAAATTGAGCTCACCCTGGTGAGCATCCCTTTCTTTTGGGGGTTTGGGGGTTTGGCTTTTAAATCCCAGCTGCCTCTTAAACTCTCTGGATGTTTTCAAACAGATGAATTTTGATGTGTTACTGGCTTTTATTATTGCTTGTAGTGGGAGTGCTGGTTCTCCACAAGTGACTCAACCTTAGAAGAAACCGCATGCTCAGATTTGATATGACACTCATGTCTGTCTTCCGGTCTATAGTGCTTGTCACTATCAGTTCATTGTTGCCACTGAGCAACCGAGTATGGCATTGCAAAAAAAAATTGTAAATGACATTTAACATTTTGGGTTTTACATCTACCACTGATGCAGGGCAGGTTCTTGGCTTTGCTCGGGAAGGAATTCAGGAATGTGTTGGTGGTGGAAGAAAGCAGCTTTACTGAGGCAGCTGCAGTGCTAGAGTTCTATGAAGGCTCCTGCCTCGCAGCACTAGCCCATAGGCAGTGCACTGAGAGTAGCAGTGTATGTATGGTTTGCAGTCATATTTAGACTCACTTTTAATGACATGCTAATTAAGGGGCGGGTTATTCAGAAATAGAAAATGGGAGGTAACTTTTGCCATGGCAAGGGGTGGGAACTTCCGGGCGTTGCGGTCGCATTGGTAAACTGTCATGGCACTGGTGGGAGTGCCTTAGTGTCATGGGCCACTAGAGCCAGAGGTATTTTCTGGGCCTCCTTCGGGTTTCAGCCAGTCTTAATTCCGGTCCAGAGAGAAGTCCTCCTGCCCTTGTCCCTCACTACCATTTTCTGTCCTCACTGTAGCCCTATAAAACGAGAATTATTGTCTTCATTCTATAAACGAAGTAACTGGTTTTTCAGGAGTGGTTGCATGCCGCGTCCAAAATATCACAGTGAAGAAATGCCATTGTTTCGAATTTGAGAAAAACCACGTAGACAGGTTTTCAACTTTATCCATGTAACTTCTCTTGAAAGAAGATTCTAGATGGGAAAGAATTCCCAAATATTTCTATGTATTTATATCCTTAATCTCAGGCAGTATGATAGGATGATTAGGTATTTGAACTCTGATGTTAAGATATCTGAATTCAAAATCACGGTATTGCGTTGAATTATGACATGGCGTTTTGCAAGCTACCTTTTAAATCTTCTATTTTCTCATCTTTAAGGTATGGAGAACAAATAGTACCTTATTCTCAGGTTAGTTAGGAATGGCAAATGAATTAATACATGCGAGGGGCTTAGGACACCAAAGACAGCTAGCAAGGGCACATGTTAGCTGTTAGATTTAATAATAATATCATTGTTGTTGCTATTGTTGTTATTAATACCTCTTGACCATTCCAAACACTCCTTGTATTTTCATTTCCTTCTGAAGCTTCCTCTGTAATAATCAAGTGATATGTTTGCAGAGGTCCAAAAGTACTGCTCATATACCATTTACAAAGCAGGTACTTGCACTTTATTGCCAGTGACGATGATGCCTTGTTAATGTCTAGAGCAATGGATAACAGTTAGAATCCTGGACTCTTGGAAATTGGCATTACTCAAACTGTAAGTTTCTTTATGCTGGAGAAATCAAGAGCCCTCAAGGATGCTGGCTAGAACAGGCATTTTCTGTTTCATCATCTTTTGGCTGTGTGTGAAGGCTGGCTTCATTCTCCACTGGTCAAGCTCTTCATTGCTTTTCATACCCTGTTATCACATGCATGGCAGAGGCCATATGACAGGCTGGAAGAGGAGATTTTTGATGTAAGTATGTGTTGAGTGTGGGGTAGAAGGAGGGCTTGAGGAAATCAGTCTGTCAGTCTACTCCAGAGAGGGACCAGTGAGTTAAGTCATCATATCTCAAAGGGAGTAAAAAACTCCCTCACTTCCAAGGAGAAAGATGCACTCAGGCCAACTTCTCTATCTCTAAGAGTGCAGAGAATTGCCGCAGAGCTTCTAGAAGGAAGTGATTCCTGGTGTTAGGTGGGTCTTGAGTATGAAAGCCAGGATACAGTAGTGTATCAGTCAGTTTAGGCTAAGATATGCTGCAGTAACAAATCAGCCCCAAATCTCTGGCTTACAACCACAAAAGTTCATTTCTCACTCACATTTCATGTTTATGTTGGGTCAGCTGTACTTATCCTACAAAACTTATTTATTCTTGGATTCAGGCTAATAGAGCTCCCCTCATCTGGGATGTTAATGATTTTATGACAGAAAAGAGAGCATAGCTGAATATGGCAATCATACAATGACTCTTAAAGCTTCCAATTAGAAATGTGTACTTGCAAGTTTCATTTTTATTTCATTGGCTAAAGAAAGCCACATGGACCATTCTGATGCTAATGGGGTGGTGGAAAACAGTCCCTCCACAGTGAATATTTTGAACAATAATAAAATCTAGCACAAGGACAAGTTCATCCACAAGGAAAGGGATAGGATGCCCTAGGGTAGTAAGGCAGGAGAAAAATCGGAATTTTAAGCACTGGCAGTTGGGAGCATTAAATCATGTGGGGCTTCACGGCACCCTCATTCTTTAGATGCTTGTCTCTAATCCTCCCCTGGAGCCTGTAGTCCCAGTATGACATATTCCCATCTAAAGACCTTGATTCATCAGACATGCCCGTCTGCCTGTTCCAGCCATGAGTTTGTCCTTCCAGCACCTCCCTGGACATTGGGTTACCATTGTTGGCAGTGAAGCATAGACGTTACATGTTCTCTCTAATGGGCAAATAAAGACTTCCTTAATGGATCCAAGTCCAGTTTTCTTGTTGGTATATAAGCAGCAAGAATGGCTGTGCTACTTGAATACCCCGGTTGTCAAAGTCTCTTCAGTGAGGAAAAGGCGCTTGTTCATTTTCATTAACAGACTGGAAGTTTGAGCTAAAATTTTTCTGAGCCTTCACGTGTTTATTTTTTGGTTGACAGCTGCAGTCTGGAAGTGGATGGAGGTGTTGTAAGTGATTTCCATGCCACCCACATTCAAATTCCCATTGTTACCTTGAAGTACCATGTTTTTTCAAAACTCTATGCCTTTCAAAGGTTCTTTCTCTGCTGGTTGGATTTTGTAGAGCTTGTCCTCTTAGTGAGTTCTTATTCATTTTTATTAATAGAACAAAAAGTCCCCAATTAAATATTTATCACATTGCCCAAGTAATATATAATCTTCAGAGATAAGAGAAATTACAGACATAAATGAAAACAAAATTTAAATTACCTTTAATTTTATGACCCAGTTGTTAATGTTTCAGTGTCTAACCTTTCAGCCTTTTCTCTGTGAACCATCATCAACAATTTAAATGATATCATATTATACCTGCTGCTCTCAGCACAGTTATTACCAATGTGAACTCTGGAGACATAGACATGGGATCACAAGCTGGCCTCACTACTCACTACTTTGGTGGTCTTGGGCATATGATTGAGACTCTCACATGTTTCCTCATCTGTAAAATGGTAATTTCACTTTTCTACATGGTTGTTAGGGCTAAGTGAATTATTTTTTATAAAGTTCTTAGAATTCTGCCTGCCGTGTATTAAGTGCTTAATGTTGATAGTTCTGTCTGTCTGTCTATCTATCTATGTATCTACCCATCTATCTATCTATCCATTTTTTTAGAAATGGGTATCTCACTATGTTGGTCAGGCTAGAGTGCATGGCTATTCAGAAGCATGGTCATAGCACAGCCTTGAACCTCTGGGCTCAAGTGATCCTTCCGCATAGCTGGAATTCCATGTGTGCACCACTACACATGATCTGACAGCTATATTTTTGTTTCTCTCCCTCTCCTTCCTTCCTTCCTTCCTTCTTGCCTTCCTGCCTTCCTTCCTTCCTTCCTTCCTTCCTGCCTTCCTTCCTTCCTGCCTTCCTGCCTTCCTGCCTTCCTCTGAGTGTCCCCTAGATCATTGACTCCATTGGTTTTATTATTTTTCTTAATGCTGTTTATTTGATAAGTAGAAATAGTTGTCAAATTTTAATGTAAGTTTCTTTTAACCTTAGTTGAATAGAATGTTTGAAACCTACCATTATTGAGCAATTTTGGCCTATTTATGGGAGTGGAATCACCCACTTAAATATCTTGTCTATTTTTCTGTTAGCTGGTAACACTTTTCTTCTTTCCCTTTTTCTTTTTCTCTGTCTCTTTTTCTCTCCCCCTCTCTCTTTTTCTCTCTCCCTTCCCCCTACTTTCTCTCCCACCTCTTTCTCTCTCTGATGGAAATATATCTACTTTTTTCTTTGTTATTAACTTCAAATACAATACATGGCAGTTGGAATACAGAAGTATATAAAGCAGAAAATGAGTTTTCCTCTGAAACGCTACCCTAAGACCATGATTATAAACAATTTAGTGTCTTTTTTTTAAGATTTGGCAGTGGTTCTCAGAGTTAGTGTGCATGAGAATCTCTTAGATGATGCTGTTGTCTAAATGGGTTCCTCTAAAATTCATATGTTGAAACTTGATCTTCAGTGTGATCATGTGAAGAGGTGGGGCCTTTAGGAGGTGATTAAGTGATGAGGGCAGAGCCCTCATGAATGGTATTAGTGACCTTATAGGAGGGGTGCAAAGTTGCTGATTGCCTCTTCTGCCTTTTGAGGATGGAGCAAGAAATACTGTCCTCAAAGCAGAAAATGAGCCCTCACCAGACATTGAATTTGCTGGCACCTTGATCTTGGACTTCCCAGCTTTCAGAACTGCAAAAAATACCTTTCTATTATTTATAAATCACCCAATCCAAGGTATTTTGTTACAGCCGCGTGAACAGACTAAGACAGATGGCTTGTGAAAACAGATTGCTAGGTCCTATAATGAAGTTTATGATTCAGTAGGGTTGGGGTGAGGCCTGAAAATTTGCATTTCTGACAAGCTCCCAGGTAATGTTGATGCCGCTGGTCTGGGGGATTCATTTGGAGGACCACTGTTATATACGCACACAGACAGGATACTCATGCTGCCTGGTAACTTTGGCATCTTTTGCTTAATTTATCGTGGGTAGTATTTCATGAAGTTCTGACCTATGCTGGTATGCAACATAGTGCATGACATTCCATTGTGTTGGTGTACCCTAATTTATTATCATAGATGTGTAAGTTGCTTGCAGTTTTTAATATTATTATGATAGCAGTGCATCAAAACATTCTTGCTCCTGTATGTCTGTGTACTTGTGCAAGTCTTTCTGTGAGGCAGCTTCTTAGAAGTGGAATTTCTGGTAAACATGCATTGACAAATACAATTTGGACACATTTTAATGTTCTCTAGAAAGATTGGACTAAAATAACTACTTGCTGTTTGCTGGGTGTTAAGAGTTCCTGTTTTCTCATACCCTGGAGGAAGATAAGGTCTGGTGAGACTTTGCCAGTTAGTGAGGAGATGAATTATGTTTCACTTTTATTTAGTTTAATTCTTTTGGTATCTGTGATGTTACACATTTTAAATGCTTACTCGCCCTTAACGTTTTTCTTTGGGACATCGTCTTTGTCCATTTTTCATTCTAATCGTTTTATAAAGGCTATTTATTTAATCATAAATATTCAGCCTCTTACAATATAGGTTACAAATATTTTTACAACCTATCATATAATTTTGTTGCTTTTTTTGATGTAGACAAAAATTTAATTTCCTTTATATTTTATGTATATATTTTTGTTTCTTCATACTCTCCTCTTGGATTTTATACTTAAATAAATGTTTTGCAATCTGATCGTGTTCATTTATTCACTTACGCAAATATTTTCTTTTTTTTTTTTTGCTTAGCTAATATGTATTAGAAGGCATCCTAGACACTGGGGACGAGCAGTTAAAAATTCTGTCTTCATGGATCTTACACTCTAATGTGAAGGGACAGACAGCAAACAACATGAGACAGACAGCAAATAACATATTAAAAATTGATATGATATTTTAGAAGCTGATGAGTGCTGTGGAGAAAAACAAACAGGGAAGGATGCTAGGAATGTTTATTTAGATTTAACTCTGTAAACAGAATTTTATAAATTTTTCAACTTTAGAATTTTTATTCATTTACGTATTACATTGGTGAAAGAACTGAGGTGCAGTTCAAACCTTTTATCTAAATTTGTTTATTGAATGTTATTCTTTTCCTACATATCTGAAATATCCATTTCTGGGCTCACTAAATGCTTATATATTGGGGTCTGTTTTCTTTCCTTTTTATTATATTCTGTTGATCTACCTCTGTTATGGTTTCAGTATACAGCGGCAAATACAACAATTTTTTACTGTTCCCTTCTGTTATAGTTTATTCTTTAATACTGCAGTCTCTCCTTCCTTGTCATTCTTTTTCAATATATTTTGGGCTATTTTGATCTGCTTATACTTGCAGATTAATTTTGGAATCATGTTGTCAAGTTCTGAATGAAATCACTGTAGAATTTTATTTAATAATATTACATTTGTAGATTACTGTTTAAGGACTTAAAATCAATACAGTATTGAGTTGTCCCATCTAGGGACATGGCTTGTTTAGCAATGTATTCGTTATGTTTATATCCTCCATCAAAATGTTGTAAATCGTTTCCATCTGGGTTGCGTGTATTTTTTTCTCTGAAGTTATTTCAAGGTGTCTTACACTTTTGTTGCTAGTGTGAATGTGATAATTACGTATTATATTTTTAGTTGGATATTATTGCCTTATAAGGAAGGTAGTAGCTTTTAAGTTATATATGTGTGTGTGTGTGTGTGTGTGTGTGTGTGTGTGTGTATATATTTCTTTCTCTGTTTCTTTTCTCATATATATAGTTTTATATACATATATATTTCTCTTTCTCTGCCTCTCTTCTCATCTATATAGTTTTATGTATATGTATTTCTCTTTTTCTGTCTCTTTTCTCACATATATATATATGTAGAGAGAGAGAGTGCCTGTACACACTATTGAATGATTGTAATTGTAATAAGTTTGCAGTGGCCTCTCTTGGATTTCTGAGTGTTGTTGTGTGATCCACAAATAACGATACATCTGTCTCTTCCTTCTCAATATTTGTATGGTATTACTTCATCTTGTGTTTTCACATTCCCTATAATTTCCGGAATGATGTTAAATAAAAACTGAGACAATTTTCTTTTCTTGCTCTTGACTTTAGTGAGAATTCCTCCCTGTCTCATCATTCATAAACATGGTGGAGCAGACATTTCTTGAGCACTTGTTCTTTTCTTTGTTGTTCGTTGATCTGAGCACTGGAGCCAGGAGAATAGAAGATGTAATGTTTTCAGCACTCACCTCTCATGATGCTTTGGTGTTTTTGTGACTTGTCTTCCCCCAAAATGAAGTTTTTTCCCAAATTATTATTTTTAAATTCATGCCTTATTTTACTGAGTTTTTCTTGTAGACTTTTTAGTTTTTCATGAGAAGTAAATGAAGACTTCCTATCTTTGGTTCTCTTTGTGTCAGAGAATTTTTTTCTGACTTTCATAAAGGAGTTTCCACTTGTTCAAATATTAAATTCCTGGGTTACAACTGTTTTTCATCAAAAGGACATGCTTTGTTTCATTGTTTCTGACATCCATTGCAGCAGAGATGCAGGAGATAGGGACCAGTTCAGTCTCTGCTTCTTGGTTTGTGATCAGCACCCCTGTTCCTTGGTAGAACTAAAAATCACAATGTGTGTCTAGAAGTGCTTTATTTTCCCTTTCTTAGGTAATCAGTGAGTCCTTTCATTTTTCATATTTTGGTTCCCCCTCCCCCTCTCCTTCCCTCTCCTCCTCACCTCCAGAGTCCAGTAGCCTCTGGGTATAAATTCTGGGTGTAAATTCCAACTCTGTCCCCTGAGGTTATCACAGACTTGAAAACTCTGAGTAGGTTACTACCTTTTCTAGCCCTCAGTTTCATCATCTTTAGAATTAGTATAAAATGATATCTTCCTCATAGATAAGACGTGAGAATTCGATGTGATAGTGCTAGGTGTAGTCATGTTAATATGAATATATTTTATATTTCAGGATTTCTAGTTTGTAATTTCTAGGAGCATTATCAACATATCATCTATAGAAACCACGATAACAGCAATTTCTAAATAATTTTAACCTTTTTCATTTTTCTTCTGCATCCAGAAAGAGCTCTGCAAATTTGTTTTGCTCAACGAGGTGATGAAATTTCCCGTATTGTCAATTCAGCTCTTCACCACCTTTAATGTTTTAATCCCATAAGTCATTCTTCGTTTCCTTGAATTAATTCCTTAACTCCATCAGGTTTCCCTTTCCCCATTCAGCAAATTGCCTCATTATTTCTTCTTATTTTACAAAGTCTGTGTTTTCTATGATTTCCTTGAGAGTGGAAAGCAGATGGTATCTAAAATTTCCTGAGCAATTCTGCTTGAAAATATGATCCTCCTCTGCTTGTTGTATGTTATGTTTAAATCCTTTTTCAAAGTTACAAGTTCTTTTCCTAGGCCTCTTGTGGTGATGGAGGTGGTGTTTGTTCTTTAAATTTATCCTTGGATGTCATATACTAGCTTGTTATTTGCCCCCCAAAACCGCACAACATTTTTTTCTAGGGTTTTATCCTGTCCTCCCTTAGGCCATTGGGAGCCTTATCTCAGACCTTGTAAGACTATTGTATGATGAAACGAGATAATGTGTTTAAAGGGCTTAACCCATTGGCTAACACTTAATATTAACACTTAATAATTGCTTAGTTACTATTATTGTCTATTACTGTTATTACAGTATTTTCTCAAGCTGAAGAGGAGGTTGATCTAGGTTGGCATCAGCAGGTCAAGGGTACCCCAACCTCAGGTGGGGTACACAGGGGCTTGGGACCAAAGCAGTTCCATCATCTTCTCCTCCAAGTGTGTTAAGACCCCAGAGCTTGTGTCTGTTTGGTTGATTGCTTGGATGAGTGGTGTCAACCTAAAAAATTTTCAGAGGAAAATATCTCCTAATATGATAAATTTATTCACCAGTAAAAAAGGATTATAATCCCAGATGCACGGCTGTAGCAAGCCACAGATACACTTGAGGAGGGGAGGACAAAGGGAAGCTTTTATTGGCAAAAGGAGAAGTTCACATAAGCTGCTTAGAAACAGAATTCATTGATTTTGGAGACTGAAAGCCATAGCTGGCATCAGTTCATTGGTGGAGATGCCGTTACTGGGCAGGTATTCTTTCGAAGGCATCTTATCTGAATTACTGCAGTCCTAAAGAAGGAATTTCTTGTGGGATTATATTAGAAAGTCCTTGAGACAGTCTTTATCTCAGACATGCGAACATGAGCTCTCCCACTTCATGATTTCCCGCCTCTAATTTGATTGGTTCTGACAAAAAGTGATTTCACCCTGGTATCGGCAACTTTCACGGTGGGATGACTGAATCAGTCCTCTTCCTTGATGTGCTGGCTACTGAGCTGGGCTGTGCCTGACCCCGGACTCCTATCTTTGTGTCTCTAAGAAGATCCTTATGGGATTCTGTTCAATTTGCCTCAAATTACTTCTTTTTAAAAATTTTTTATTTTAATTTTAAGTTCTGGGGTACATGTGCAGGGTGTGCAGGTTTGTTACACAGGTAAACGTGTGCCATGGTGGTTTGCTGCACCTATCAACCGAAGACCTAGGTCCAGCTTGCATTAGCTATTTTTCCTAATGCTCCCTCCCCTCAGGACCCCACTCCCCGACGGGCCCCATTGTGTGTTTTTCCCCTTTCTGTGTCCATGTGTTCTCATTGTTCAGCTCCCACTTATAAGTGAGAACATAACAGTGTTTGGTTTTCTGTTCCTGCGTTAGTTTGCTGAGGATAATGGCTTCCAGCTCCATCCATGTCCCTGCATAGGACATTATTTCATTCCTTTTTATGGCTACATAGTATTTCATGGTGTATGTGTACCATGTTTTCTTTATCTAGTCTGTTATTGATGGGCATTTGGATTGATTCCATGTCTTTGCTATTGTGAATAGTGTGCCCATGGTAATTTACTTCCAAATACTTACCTCTGCAGTGCACATTGCCTACATCTCTCAGAGTATTGGTAAGTAGATGGCACTCTTTTGTTAATTCAGCACAGGCACAAAGGTTTGCCATTTTGATTTTTCTCTGGTCAATTCATCTGTGTATGTGAGTGCAAGCGTGTGTGTGTGTGTATGTGTCTACGTGGGGGCAGGACATTAGTCCAATCCTCGTGCCTCCATTTTCCTCAAGTCCCCTACTCATGAAGTGCCAGCTCAGTGGCCATTCCCCATGCTCTCCCAGACAGTCCAGGGAGAAGTGGGAGTTACATCCACCAAATCCCTGTGCCAACCGTGTGCACTTGTACTGTGATAGTGAACACAATCCATTTTATATTTATTTAAAGTGTTTGTCTTCTCCAGCTGCTATCATATTTTCTAGTGTGGAGTCTTCTTTTGCTCATTTTTTTTAATTGAACTTTTTATTTTGAAATAGTTGCAAGTTCACATACAGTGGTAAGAAATAATGTGGAGAGATAGCATACATTCCTCATGCAGTTTTTCCCTAATGGTAACATATTGCACAACTATAGCTTAATGTCAAAATCAGGATATTGGCATAGATAAAATCCACCAATTTTATTGAGATGTTTCCAGTTGTACTTGTACTCATTTGTGTGTGTGTTCATATGCATGCATATGTGTGCATATGGGTGCGTGTGTGTGCATGAATATTTAGTTCTGTGCAGTTTTCTCACATGCATAGGTTCATGAATCCATCACCACGGTCAAGACACAAAACTTTCCATTACCACAGGGACCCCTTTTGTTGCCTTTTTTGTTTTGTTTTGAGAGGGAGTTTCACTCTTGTTGCTCAGGCTGGAGTGCAATGGTGCAGTCTCGACTCATTGCAACCTCGACTTCCCAGGTACAAGCAATTCTCCTGCCCCAGCCTCCTGAGTAGCTGGGATTACAGGCGCCTGCTACCATGCCTGGCTAATTTTTTATATTTTTAGTAGAGACGGAGTTTCGCCATGTTGACTGGGCTGGTCTCGAACTCCTGACCTCAGGTGATCCACCCACCTTGGCCTTCCAAAGTGCTGGGATTACAGGCGTGAGCCACCACGCCCGGCCTCTGGTTGCCTTTTTATAGCCACACCCCTTCTTCCCCAACACTCTCCACCTCAGTCTAATCCCTGGCAACTATGAATCTATTTTCAATTTCTATAATTTTGCCATTGCAAAAACATTATGTAAATGGTACCATAAGATATGAAACCTCTGGACTCTGACTTTTTTTTATTCAACATGATTCCCTGGTGATACATTCAAGTTGTTGTATGTATCAGCAGTTACTTCTTTTTATTACTAAGTGGTATTCCATAATATTGATGTAGCCCAATTTGTTTAAACATTCATCTGTTGAAAGACTTCTGAGCTGTTTCCAGCTGTATTAGAAATAAGGCTGCTGTGAAACTTTATTTACAATTTTTTAGGTAAACATAAATTTCTATGTTTTTTCTAGAATAAATGCCCAAGAGCGCAGTTGGTGGGTTTCCATGTTTAGTTTTCTAAGAAAATGTCAAACATTTCCAGAATGGTGGTACCATTTTACATTTCCGCTAGCAATGTCTGAGTGATCCAGGTTCTCTGCAGTCTTGCCAGTATTGGAGTTGTCATTATTTTTAATATTAACCATTTAAATAGGTGAGTAGTGGTATCTCATTGTGATTTTAATTTGCATTTTTCTAATGGCTAATGCGGTTGAACATCTCGTCATGTGCTTATTTTCCATTTTCTTTGGTGTGTTCATGTCTTGCGTATATTTTCTATTTGGATTGTTTGATTTTTAATATTGAGTTTTGAGAGTTCTTTATTCTAGATACCAATCCTTTTTCAGATGTGTGATTTGTAGATATTTTCTTCTAGTCTGGAGCTTGTCTTTTTATGCTCTTATTAGGATCTCTCACACAGCAAAAGTTTTTAATTTTGATGAAATTACAGTTACCAAAATTTTATTTTATGGATCATGCTTTTGGTGTCAAGTCTAAGAATTCTTTGCCTAGCCTGGATCCCAAAGACTTTCATCTATTTTTATTCTAAAAGTGTTATAATTTTATGTTTTACATTTAAGTGCACAATCCATTTTTGAGTTAACTTTCCTCTAAGGTTTGAGGTTTAAGTCTGTGTTTGTATTTTGCCTATGCAAATTGTCTAATTGCCCAAACATGATTTATTTAAAAGGCTGTGTTTCTTTTTTTGTGCTGTTTTGATACTTTTGTCAAAAATTTGTGTGGGTGTATTTCTAGCTTATGTTTTCTCTTCCACTGATTTATGTGTTTATCCTTCTACTGATACCACACTATCCTTATTACTGTGGCTATATAGTAGGCCTTAAAGTGAATGGATTACTCTCCTTTTATTTTTCTTTTTCAAGATTGTTTTAAACATTCTAGGGCCTGTGCCTTGCCATATAAATTTTAGAATGTGTTTGTTTACCTCTACAAAAACCTTGTGCAGTTTTTGATAGAAATACAGTAAATCTATAGATCACTATGGGGAGACTTGACATCTTTACTGTGCTGCTGAGTCTTCCAGTTCCTGAACATGGCATGTCTTTTCACTTATTTAGCTCTTCTTTGATTACTTTTATTGGCATTTTATAACTTTTAGCCTACAGATACTATACCTATTAAGCTTATAACTATTTTATTTTCTTTGGAGCAGTTGTAAATTATAGTGTGATTAATTTTGGTTTCTACATGCCCATTGTTAGTATATAGACATGCAAATGATTTTTGTGTATTGACCTTGTATGCTGCAACCTTGGTGGACACACTTACTAGTTTTATAAGTTTTTTGGAAGTAGGAATCTATGTTACAAGCATGTTATCTGCAAACAGGGCTAATTTTGGTTCTTCCTTTCCGATATCTATAGCTTTTCTTTCTTTTCCTTCCCTTATTGCATGCCTACAACGTCTAGTACTATATTGAATAAGAGTGGTGAGAGTGGACATCCTTGCCTTGTTTCTGATATTAGTGAGAAAGTACGTAGTTTTTCACCACTAAGTATGATGTTATGTATAGGTTTTTGTGGATTATCTTTATTAGGAAGATTTAGTTACACTCTATTCCTAACTTGATTTTGTCAAATGGTTTTGATGCATCATTTTTTAAAATCATTAGCTTGCTGATATAGTGGATTACATTGATTGACTTTTGAATCTGCTTTGCATACCTGGAATAAATCCCACTTGGTCATGATACATTGTTGGACTTGCTAACATTTTGTTAAGAATTTTTGCATCTAGTTCATGTGAAGTATTGATCGGTATTTTCTTTTTTGTACTGTCTTCATCTGGTTTTTGTAACTAGATAATAAAATGGTTTGAAAGTGGTTTCTCCTCTTCTATATTTGGGAAGAGACTGTGTCCAATTGATGTATATTCTTGTTGAAATGTTTGGTAGAATTTTCCAGTGAAACCATCTGGGTCTGAAGAGTTTTTTTTGGAATGTTAAAATTATAAATTCAATTTCTTTTTTGGTTATAGGACTATTCAATTTTTTTGTTTCATTTTTGAGTTTTGTTAGTGGCTTTTGAGGAATTGGTTCATTTCTTCTAAGTTGTTGAATAGTGTATAGTTGTTCATGGTATTTCTCTATCTTTTTAATGATCCCAGGACCTGCAGTGAGATACCCTGTTCCATTCCTCTTATTGGTGACTTGTGTCTTCTTTTTATTTTGTAGGTTTTGCTATAATTTTATCAAATTTATTGACTTTTCTTCAAAGAACCAGCTATTTGTTTCATTGATTTTTTTCCTGTTTTCAATTTCATTGATTGCTACTCATTAGTGTTTCTTCTGCTTGCTTTGAGTATAGATTGTTCTTCTTCATCTGGTTTCTTGAGGTAGAACTTACATTATTGATTTGAGATCTTTCCTCTTTTCTAAAGTAAGAATTTAGTGCTGTAAATTTCCCTGTCAGTACTACTTTAGCAGCATCTAACATATGTAGTTACGGTGTACTTTCAATTTTATTTAGTCCTCTATATTTTTTTGAGACTTTGTCTCGGACTCTTGAATTATTTAGAAGTGTGGTGTTTAATTTCTAAATGATGAGAGGTTTCTTCTGTTGTCTTTCTGCTATTGATTTTTAGTTTGGTTCCATTGTGGTGGAGAAGATAGTTTGTATGAGTTCCATTCTTTTAAATTTGTTAAAGTTTATTTTACATCCCAGGGTATGCCCTTTTGTAATGAATATCCTATGGTGGTTGAAAAAATATATATTCTGCTGTTGTTGGGTGGAGTGCTACATATAGGCCAGCGAGATCCTGTGGGCTGCTTGTTTTGTTGAGCTCTACTTCTCTGTTGCGTTTCTCTCTAGTAGTTCTCTCATTTGCTGAGAATAGGGTGTTGACGCCCCCAGTTTCTCCTTTCAGCATTGTCAGTTTTTGCTTCATTCTTTTCAGGTTCTGTTGTTTGGTGAGTACACATTTAGAACCATTCTTTTACTCATTTTTATATTGCTAATGCAGTGCCTAGCATATAATATGGGCTTTCAGTAAATATTCCCTGAATGACTTAGCAAGTTAAAATTAAATAAGTACATAAATGAAAGATAGGAGTGATTTCACTTTCTCAAGCTGTGTTTTCCCCCGGTTGTATAAATTATGCATCACATAGTTTTCAATTAAATGTCCTTATTTCCTCATTTATGTTTTGTAGCTTTGATTTGAATATTTTTAAGTGTGAGAAAAAGCAAAACTCAGGAGAAAAAAAATGGACTTTTGAGTGAGACAGATTTGATGTTAAATATCAGCTGTGTGACCAAACAGATAATGTATCTTTAATCTTCAGCTTCTTCTTTTGGAGAATGACAATGATGGCACTTGATTAATTAAGAAACGGTTGGTGGTGAGCTACAAAACTGCTGGCTTAAAAAACAACAAAAAATTGGTTTATTTAACAGAAAAATTTCACAAATGACTACAGTTGGTCCTTAACAGCATGGGCTTGAAATGCGTGGGTTCACTTACATGTGGATTTTTTTTTCAATAAAACACCTGCCTTTCCTACCTCCCCTTCCATCTGCTCCACCTCTTCCACCTCTGTCAACCCCAAGAGAGCAAGACCAACCCCTCCTCTTCTCCTTCCTCCTCTTCCTCAGCCTACTCAACATGAAGAAGAGGAAGATGAAGACCTTTCTGATTATCCACTTTCACTTAATGAATAGTAAATATATTTTCTCTTCTGCATGACTTTCTTAATAACATTTTCTTCTTCTTTTTTTTTTTTTCTTTTTTTTTTTTTTGAGATGGAGTTTCGCTCTTGTTGCCCAGGCTGGAGTGCAATGTCACGATCTCGGCCCACTGCAACCTCCGCCTCCCAGGTTCAAGTGATTCTCCTGCCTCAGCCTCCCGAGTAGCTGGGATTACAGGCATGTCCCACCACGCCTGGCTAATTTTGTATTTTTAGTAGAGACGGGGTTTCTCCTTTTTGGTCATGCTGGTCTCGAACTCCCAACCTCAGGTGATACCCCCGCCTCGGCCTCCCAAAGTGCTGGGATTACAGGCATGAGCCACTGCGCCCGGCCAGTAACATTTTCTTTTGTCTAGCTTACTTTATTGTAAGAATACAATATATAATAAAAATAACATACATGTGTTAATCAACCGTTTATGTTATTAGTAAGACTTCCAGTCAATGATAGAGTATTAGTAGTTAAGTTTTTAGGGAGTCAAAAGTTGTATGTAGATTTCTGACTGTGTGTGGGGTTGGCGCCCCTAACCCCAATGTTGTTCAAGGGTCAACAACTGGCCCCCAGCTGCATCCAAGTTACTGCAAAGGACATGATTTTGTTCTTTTTTTAGTGCTGTGTAGTATTCCATGGTGCATATGTACCACGTTTTCTTTATGCGGTCTACTGTTGATGGGCATTGAGGTTGATCCCATCAGATTTTCTTTTCATATGAATCACATGAGATATTGTCAAAATACAGATTTTGTTTTGATCATTTCTAACCAGCTCCTAGGTGAGGCTGAAGTTGCTGCTCTGAGGATCACACTTTGAGAAGCTAAGTCTACGGGACAGGGAATACATACTCCATGTGGCAAATGTCACAAATATCTAACCTCACCTACATCCCTAGCCTCATCTTCCATTACGTCCCAGCTCACACCACATGCTGCAGCATTGCCTAAATGCCCACAGGATTTACATCTCGGTAAACACTGTACGTGTCCTTCCTGCTGTGCAGCAACTCTATCTTCTCTGCCGTTTCCCTTTCAAGTCTTACTATTGCCTAATAGTCTTCTAGTCTTTTTTGGAAAGTTTATTTGACATGCCTTTTCAGGTTTAATTAAGAGATTTTCCTGTAAATTTCCATGACACCAAATTCTTCTTACCTCTCTTCTCCTATAGAGTTGCTTTAAAAATATATTAGTAAGAACAATGAAGACCAGCTTATTATGTGCTAGGCACTGTGTTAAAGACCTTCCCATGCAGTATCCCACTCAATCTCATTTAATCCTCATTTCTATTCTGAGACTCTGCAAAGTACTTCCTTTTTTTTTTTTGTTCTTGAGACAGAGTTTTGCTGTTACCCAAGCTGGAATGCAGTGGAGTGATCATAGCTCACTGCAGCCTCGACCTCCTAGTCTCAAGCGATCCCTCCACCTCTGTCTCTCGAGTAGCTGGGACTATAGGTGTGCACCACCTTGCCCAGCTGGTATTTCTTAAATTGTTAAGCAGGATTCCCACTTTTAAGGTACAAGAGATTCAGTTCAATTTACCTCTTATAGAAAGAATTTTCTTGGTTCATGTAACTGAAAACTCCTGGAGGTAGGTGTGGTTACAGATATGGCTCAACTCACAGACTAGATAAACAACACTCACAGTACATCTATCTGACAAAGGGCTCATGTCCAGAACGTATAAAGAACGCCTACGTATCTACAATACAAATACACAAGCACATTAAAATGAGCAGAAGGCTTGAACAGACACTTTATAAAAGAAAGTCTACGAATGGCTAATAAGTGGATGAAAAGATGTTCAATATCATTAATCATTGAGGAAATGCACATTAAAATCATGAGATACCATTCTACAGCCACTAAAATGGCAAACACAAGCCAACCAACAAAATTAACAAAACAGGTGTTAGGATGTGGAGCAACTGGGCGGAACATTAACATTGCTTGGGCCGGGTGCGGTGGCTCACACTTGTAATCCCAGCACTTTGGGAGGCTGAGGCGGGCGGATCACTTGAGGCATGGAGAAACCCCGTCTCCACTAAAAATACAAAATTAGCCAGGCGTGGTGGTGCATGCCTGTAATCTCAGCTACTTGGGAGGCTGAGGGAGAGGAATCGCTTGAACCTGGGAGGCGGAGGTTGTGGTGAGCCGAGATCACGCCATTGCAATCTAGCCTGGGCAGCAACAGCGAAACTGTCTCAAACAAATAAACAGACAAAAACATTGCTTGCTGGGGGAGGTGTCAAGTGGTACAACCACTTTGGAGAACTGTTCATTAATTTCCTATAAAGTTAAACATCCATTAACCCAATGACCCAGAAATTCCACTCCTAGATATTTACCCAAGAAAAATGTAATCATGTGTCCACAAAAAGACTTGCACACAAATGTTCACAGCAGCTTTATTTGCAATAGCTAACACCTGGAAACAACCCAAATGTCCATTATCGGGTGAGTGGATAAATAAATTGTGGTGAGATAGGAATATTCCATTCACACAGTGGAATATTAACAACAACAAAAAGACAAGCAGCTAAAAGACAAGCAGCTGATGATACAGTGGCATAGATGCAGCTCAGAAAACATTATGTTGAGCAAATGAAGCCAGACCCAAAAAGATAGTTACAGCTGATAATATTTATCTATGATGAGTAAAGTCAGGAAGTGGTTGTTTCTGTAGGGCACAGAATTGGTCCAAAAGGGGGAAGAAGGGAATCTCTGCGGGTGATGGAACTCTTCTATATCTTGTTTTCAGTGGAGGCTAAATGGAATTACATGGCTTCATTAAGTTGAACACTGAACAACTGTGAATGTTAGTGTATGGAAACGATATGTGAATAAAAATAATTATGGAATGCAGCAGAAAATTAAACAAGAAAGAAAAACTTGTGGGACGGGCAGAAATAGAAGATGCTCACTGATGTTGTTATGTCTGGTTTTGTTTTGTTTTTTTTTGGCGGGGGCGGGGGGAGATGGAGTCTCACTCTGTCACCCAGGCTGGAGTGCAGTGGCGCAATATCAGCTCACTGCAACCTCTGCTTCCCGGATTTAAGCCATTCTCCTGCCTCAGCCTCCTGAGTAGCTGGGATTACAGGTGCACACCACCATGCCCAGCTAATTTTTCTATCTTTAGTAGAGACGGAGTTTCACCATGTTGGTCAGGCTGGTCTGGAAGTCCTGACCTTGTGATCCGCCTGCCTTGCCTCCCAAAGCGCTGGGATTACAGGGGTGAGCCACAGCGCCCGGCCTATGTCTGTTTTTTAGTGGAGATAAGTTTGGACGCAGGCCAAATGACTTGCACAAGTTCACATAGTCAATGGGAGAGTGAGAATGCAACAGCTCCGCATTAACCACCATGGTACCCCATCTTTTCCACAGCTACAAGATCTGCTGTATGGTTGTGGAGTAAATGAATGCATTTGCAATGATTTCTGGTGTAATTGCACGTTGTCCAGATAATGGAGCCACAAATTCAGGAAGGCATAAGACATATAGAGACGCATCTTCATGCTAGGGTTGGTGCAAAGGCCAGCCTTCGCACATCCATCTCAGGACTAGTGCATTTGTCTGTGAGTGAAGCATGCCTGGAGAAATTAGACCTGCAGGATTTGCTGGATTGAACCTGATGGTGACAGTGGATGGGACACAGTGACCATGCAGCGACATGTCTGTGTCCATATGTGGACTGTGCAGAAAGCAAATCTGAACAGCTTAGTCTGTTTCACTGCTTTGGAATAGGAAATGGCAAACAAGAAAGTTTATTCTTGAGGGAGGAAGAGTGTCCAGTGACTTTTGTGCACAGAGGGTTGTGTCACTTCTTTGCTTAATCTCACCCATGTGTTCCCCATCATTGAAGTGTGAATTTCACCCCCGTGGGGCTGGGTGCAGGGTTTGTGGGGCCCTCTATATACAATTTTGGAGTCTTTCTTTAAGCACAAAGGAAATATTTTTCAAGTCTCGCTTTATTGCCCAAGCTGAAGTGCAGTGGCTCCATCTCGGCTCACTGCAACCTCCGCCTCCCAAGTTCAAGCGATTCTTCTGCCTCAGCCTCACGAGTAGCTGGGATTACAGGCATGTGCCACCATGCCCAGCTAATTTTTGTACTTTTAGTAGAGACGGGATTTCACCTTGTTGGCCAGGCTAGTCTCGAACTCCTGACCTCAGGTGATCCACCCCCTTGACCCCCCACAGTGCTGGGATTCCAGGCATGAGCTACTGTGCCCGGCCATAAGTATTATATTTTTAAAAGCAAGCAAATATATGACTGTATGAACCCTCCTAGGGCCTTGGATGGGCCCCAAGCATGTGAGGGGCTAACTGAAACTTCAGCTTCATTAGCTTCATGGTCAACTTTTGCCCAAGGATTTTTAGATAATCTACATCTTCCTTAACTCACTCAACTCATCACCTGGTAACTCCTACCCTCAAGCCTCCACTCAGCTCCAGCCTCACGAAACTTTCCACTGCTCCCTGAATTCTCTAAGCTAATGATTTTCAATATCCATTTGGCCCAATGTCCCTTTTTTATAACAATTATTTTGGAGGGCCTTCTCAAATGAAATTCATAGATAACATAATCAATTTACATGTATAACTAAAAATCAAAATAATGATCTAATTGGAATGATCTTATGTTTGCTTGCTTTTAAAAATCTAAAGGAGAAATAAAATAAAGGGAATTTATTATAAAATACATATATATTCTATGTGAAGTACTTGGTCATGATTTATACCAAAATCCCAATCATGTGACCATGATTTACTACTCACCCTCCGTGGCTTTGCAGGGCATGGTGCCTTCCTAGTTGGAAAGCTGCATGAGACCATTTCTGACTCTAATTTTAGCATACCTTGTACCTCCATTCTGGGCTACCTTTAGGGACTGTCCTATCTTCTAAAATCCTCCAGACGCAAGGTGGAGGCCGTGGCCCTCATCTCATCACTTCCGAAAGCTTCCATTGACAGTCAGAGGCGATCGATACCTTTGCCATCTGTACCTCCAGCACCCGTCCAGACTCGTGGACTGTCTTAGGTGCACCACATCATTCCAACTGATGTCTGATCTGCTTCATATGATTCATTATTTTTGTCCAAAGGTAGAGGTGGTGGCAGAATTGTGAGACTTCAGGCAGAGATAAGGCTAGAATTGTCTCTATTTATGATTCCAAGAGGCTAGAACATAAACGGAATCAGAACTAAGAGTATGAATCTCTGGTGTTGATTTCAGAGGTGTCTTAGTCTTTTTTTTCTGTTGCTTGTAACAAAGTACCCCAAACTGGGTAATTTATAAATAAAAGGAATTTATCTCTTACAGTTACAGGCTTACAGGCTACGAAGTCAGGCTTACAGGCTACGAAGTCAGAGGTCGAGGAGCCACACCTGGTGAGGGCTTTCTTGCTGGTGGGTTCTCTCCCCAGAGTCCCAAGAGGTGACACAGGGCATCACATGGTGAGGGGGCTGAATGTTCTAGCCTAGGTCTCTTTTCCTCTTATAAAGCCACCAATCCCACTCCCGAGATAACCCATTAATCCATTAACCCATGAATGGATTGTCCATTCATGAGGGCAGAGCCTTTATTATCCACACCTTAAAGGCCCCACCTCTCAATACTGGCACATTGGGAATTAGATTTCAACATGTGTTTTGCAGGGGACAAAAATTCAAACCATAGCAAGCTGCATTGCATTTCAAAGCTGCAGTTTGAGTCTTAGCTCTTCCCTTTACTAGCTGCATGGCTTTGGCAGGTTATTTAACCTTCTCACTCTTCAGTGTCCTCAACCTTAGAGTTAATAACAGTACTTGCCCAATGGGGCTGTTGATAGAGTAAAATGAGAGATGCTTGCAAAGTGGTTGCATGGACTGGCACGTATGTAAATGCTTAGTTAATATGGCTGTGGTTTCAGAACGCCACTACTCCAAGATTCTTGGACAGACTAGTACAGAGGTTGGCGAATTTCTTAGGAAAAGGGCCAGATAGGAAGTGTTTTAGGTTTTGAGGGTCATACAACCTCGTTGCGGCTACTTAACTCTGCTGTTATAGTGTAAAATCAGCCATAGATAATATGTAAATGAATGAATATGTCTGTGTTCTAATAAAACTTTATTTACAAAAATAGGCAGCAAGCCATATTTGGCCATGGGCTATACTTGACTCACGGCTGTACTAAAGGATCAGATAACAAGATGGATGGTACCCAGAAGAGAGAAAGTATAACGTGGCAGTTAAAAGCCTGAGTGATGTTTCTGTGCCTTTTCTTTTATCTTTTAATAAAAATGGGATTATATTTTGCAATCTGTTCTGTATCCTATTTTGTATTTATTCATCAACATACAGAGGACATATTTTAGGTAAATAACTGTATTTATACAGCCTCATTTTTATTGCTTACATTAGTAATTCACTGTATATGGTTGAACCATGATTTCAACTGTGCCTCTGTGGCTAGGGATATAGATCCAGTTTTGCTTATTGTGGTTCACAATCACATATTTGTTACATCATTTAGGTAATACCTTTCCCCCACCAGACTGTATGTCACTGGAAGGCAGGAATTAGTGTGTACCGGTAAGCACATGCCTGAAACTTGGGAGTCATAAAATCCTTGTCTTGACACCACTGTCTCGCGGCAAGCCAGCCTACTTCTTCCAGCCAAGGTTTCTTCACCAGTAAATACAGATCCAGATGGAATAGTGTGAGGGACACGTGACCTAATGTTTGTAGAAGGCTTTGGAAACTGCAAAGCAAATGTTCTATGCTATGGGCTAAAAGTTTGTGTATCCCCCAAAATCCATATGTTGAAATTTAATCTCCAGTGTGATGGTATTAGGAGGTGGGGCCCTTGGGGGTGATTAGATCATGAGAGTGAAGTTCTCATAAACTGGATTAGTGCCCTAATAAAGGGGCTGAAGGGACCAGAGTTGTTCCCTTCCATCAAGTGAGCACACAGCTAGAAGGTGTCATCTATAAACCAGAAAGCAGGCCCTTGCTAGACACTGAATCCACCAGCCCCTTGATTTTGGACTTCCCAGCCTCTGGAACCATGAGAAATAAACTTCTGTTGTTTAAAAGCTACTCAGTTTCTGGTATTTTTTGTAGCAGCCCAAACAGACTAAGTCTAAAGTGTCACTAGGGTTGCAAAACATCTTCTTTTTTGGCTTAATGTGACATTTATTTTCTTGCTGGCCAAGGAGAGAACATACTTATTTCCCATGAGAAATGTCAGCTCTATATCATGAGATAGGAAAAAACATTGCTTCTCTGAAGGCCTTTGATAAAAAATTAGGAAAGTTAGAAAATAAAAGCAAGTGAGGAAAGAAACTACCTGGGCGTCTACATTTAGTTACCATGTAACACTATAAAAGCTCTTAACCTCATGTTTGATTGTTCAGTTCAGTTTTAATTTCTTTCTATTTTTATTCCCACTTTTTTTTTTCTTTTGCATTCATTGATGTTCTCAGTAGTGGTGATATCTGAAGACAGAGGATGGATTCAGAGATAGAGACAGAGAGGCTAGAGCTCAAACTGTGAAAAGGTATTATTTCAAAGAACTGTGCTGGGTGCAAACTTGTCAGGCATATAAACTGGGGTTCCATGCAGGACCCCAGATTCTACAGGGCCTGCATGGAAGTCAGGGAAACTGAGGCAGAAGAAAGGGAGTCAGAAGGGGATTACCCCGGGGTCACCCAATTCCTAGCTCTTTGCTGATCGGACCACCATTCTCTTCCTAGGAAGATTAGGTTTGAAAAACATGGTAGGGTGGATCCATTGCTGGGGGCCTCTGAGTCTGCGATCCTGTAAGTTTGTGAAGGACCAGAATAGATGCACACACATAACACATATAATATGTTATTGCACACAGAGTTTTCTTTCATCATTCCACTGCAGCCTGGGCCTTCACTCTCCTACAACATCCAAGGGAAGTTTCCCCAGGCAACATCTCAGTCCTCAAAGGGTCATGATCCCACCACAGCCCTGTGCAGTTTATGTTGGCACGTGACTGGTCTGCAGAAAGGCAGCTTTCCATAGATGAAATGCACTCAGAGATCACAGATTTCCCCCTGGAAGTCTTAAGCCCCTTCCTTCCTAATTCGGTGGGATTGTGAGACTTGCTTCTGCCTGCAAAAATGCACGGCCGTCTGTTTTGCGCTGGTGGTTCTAGTCATTAATCCTCAGAATTCAGTGATCACTCACAGAACTGTGGTCCTGTGTGAAATGTCAACTCCGCTAGACACGTCCGGGAGGAAGTGCTTTGTCATTCATAAGACAAAGACTCTTTAATAGCGGGAGGGATATTTTCCAGTCATGCTATGGGTTGTCTGTCTGTTGGAGAATAGACAGGCTGAGGGATTTGACATTCATTGGCCTGTCTTTTCCGGGACTGGAATCCCGAGGAAATGCCCATTAAGAGGAAAGGATTTCAGTTTGGCCAACATGGTGAAACCCCGTCTCTATTAAAAATACAAAAATTATCCGGGAATGGTGGTGGGCGCCTGTAACTCTAGCTACTTGGGAGGCTGAGGCAGGAGAATCACTTGAACCCGGGAGGCAGAGGCTGCAGTGAGCCGAGATCGTGCCACTGCACTCCAGCCTGGGTGACAGAGTGATACTCTGTCTCAAAAAAAAAAAAAAAAAAAAAAAAAAAAAAAAAAAAAAAGAAAAAGAAAAAAAGAGGAAAGGATTTAAAGTATTTTCCTCCTCGTGTGAATGTGTAGATCTCTAGAAACGTGCTCTTCTCCCATTACACCAACTCATGATGATTCTCATGTAAAGTACAGAGGGAGCTGTGGTTCAGGCCCTGAGTTTGCCTGATGGACAATTGCTTACTGACCACCTGTGCTGTCTTTCAGTGACTGACTGTTGACAAGCCTGGGTAGGGCCTCTGAAGAAGGCAAATCTGAGGTCAAATGCCATTTTGCTACTTCACAGCTGAAGGAACTTGGGCAAGTTAGGACAGCTCTTTGACCTTGTTCTTTGTGTGACATGAAACATTTTTACTATTTTCTTTTTTGTTTTTTAAGGCAGGGGCTTTCTCTTGTGGTCCAGGCTATTGTGCGGTGGTGCAGTCATAGCTCACTGTAGCCTCGACCTCTTGGGCTCAAGAGATCCTCCTGCCTCAGCCTCCTGAGTAGCTAGGACTACAGGTGCATGCCACCCTGCCTGGCTAATTAATACAAGTTTTGTTGTTGTTGTTGTTGTTGTTTATTTTTATTTTTATTTTTTTGTAGAGACAGATTTCTTTATGTTGCCGAGGCTGGTTTCAAACTCTTGGCCTCAAGAGATCTTCCTGCCTCAGCCTCGTGAGTAGCTAGGACTACAAGCAAGCACCACCAGACCTGGCTAATTTTTTAAATTTTTTGTAGAGACGGGGTTTGGCTATGTGGACCAGGCTTATCTTGAGCTCCTAGGCTCAAGTGATCTTCCTGCCTTGGCCTCCCAAAGCGTTGAGATTACAGGCATGAGCCACTGCCCCTGGCCTACTATTTTTTTAAAATTCATTTTTCAGCTTGATGATTGGTCCTTAGGACCAAGTCGAATAAGTGGAATTGATGAATGAAGAGTTTACTCATTTTAGGGCTTTGCTATAGCTTTTTTGATGCCCCAGAAAGCTCCTATCAATATGTAGATTTACCAGCAGACATTGACATTCATTTGCGCCTTTGAATTTTTTTTTTTTTTTTTTTTGAGACAGTCTTGCTCAGTCGCCCAGGCTGGAGTGCAGTGGTGCGATCTCGGCTCACTGCAAGCTCTGCCTCCCAGGTTCACGCCATTCTCCTGCCTCAGCCTCCCGAGTAGCTGGGACTACAGGCACCCGCCACCAAGCCTGGCTAATTTTTTGTATTTTTAGTAGAGACGGGGTTTCACTGTGTTAGTCAGGATGGTCTCGATCTCCTGACCTCGTGATCCACCTGCTTTGGCCTCCCGCACCTTTGAATTTTTTAGTGATGCTAAATCTGTTATCACTCATTTGATTATGACATTTGCATTTTTAGGTGGATTGACAGGTTTACTTATGTCCTTTGCCCATTTTTTCTAATGTGTTTTCCTCATATTGATTTATAAGAATTCTTCACATAGTAATATTCCTAGCTCTGCATTTGTTTGGTCTGTTGCAATAGCTTTTCCTCTATGATCATTTTCTTTTTAAAGCTACTTATTTTATAGATTGTTTTTATTTTTATCTGAGTAAACCTATCAATTTTTTCCATATGCTTTCTTTCTTTGTAAAATTGCTTTTAGAAAGGCTTTCGCTGCTGGGCACGGTGGCTCACACCTGTAATCCTAGCACTTTGGGAGGACGAGGAGGGTGGATTGCCTGAGCTCAGGAGTTTGAGACCAGCCTGGGCAACACAGTGAAATCCTGTCTCTACTAAAATACAAAAAATTAGCTGGGCATAGGGGCATGCACAGGCACTGAGGCAGAAGAATTGCTAGAACCTAGGATGTGGTGGTTGCAGTGACCTGAGGATCGTGCCACTACCCTCTAGCCAACTCCATCTCTTAAAGAAAAAAAAAGGTTTTCTCTTCTTGGCAGTCACAGCAGTGGAGCTTTGCATATTTGAGACTTCTCCTTTAGTTTAATGAATCAGATGTCTCATAGACTGGCTTTCTGCATCTACTTGTCTTGTTTTTCATCCTCTCCTGTATTTGTGATGCCCGGTATGTCTAGGCCCAGTCTATTCTTTGAAATCTCTGTAGGTGAAAAAGGACTGTTCTGGGAAGTCCAGCGTCTTAGTTCATTGGGGGCTCTTATAACAAAACACTGTAAACCTTGTGGCTTGTAAACAATGGAAATTTATTTCTCACCGTTCTGGAGGCTGGGAATTCCAAGATCAAGGTGCCAGCAGATCTGGTGTCTGGTGAGAGCCTGCTTCTCACTCTTGCCTCACTCAAGAGGTCTCTCTTGAGCCTCTTTTAGAAGAGTATTGGTCCGATTTATGAGTGCTCTACCCTCGTGACCTCCTCTCCTCCAAAACGCCTCACCTCTTAATACTACCACCTCGGGGAGTTGGATTTCAACATATGAATTTTGGGGGGACACAAATATTCGGTCAGACCATAGCACCCAGCTACTCCTAGACTTTATTTTTTCTCTTGGGAGTAGGAATGGTCTCTTGGCCTTGTGATGATACAAGGACTTCCCAGTTGTGACAACCAGAAATGTGTGCAGATATTGCCAAGTGTCCCTTTGTGGGAAAGCAAGGTTGCCCTCTGCTGAGGACCACTGGGTTAAGGAGAACTCTTCAGGTCCCTGATAGTGTGCTTTTTTCTTCAGCACTTGTTCCTTCATATTTGGAGGGTGGGTGGGGGAAGAAGCTGAGGTGTGTGTTCCCCCAGGATTACTTTTTTTTTTTGTTCTTTTGAGACAGGGTCTTTCTCTGTCACCCAGGCTGGAGTGCAGTGGTGCGATCTCAGCTCACTGCAACCTCCACCTCCCAGGTTCAAGTGGTTCTCCTGCCTCAGCCTCCCAAGTAGCTGGGACTACAGGCGTGCACCACCACCCCTGACTAATTTTTATATTTTTAGTAGAGAAAGGATTTCCCTATGTTGGTCAGGCTGGTCTTGAACTCCTGGCCTCAAGTGATCTGCCCTCCTTTGCCTCCTAAAGGGCTGGGATTACAGGCGTGAACCACTGCACCCAGCCCACAGGATTACTTTTAATAACAGCATCGTGTTTTCTTAGAAAGGGACCTGCAATTCAAGCCCCAGCTTCTTCTTTACACTTAGTTTTGCACCTGCTATGTTTAGGAAAGATTCCCAGAAATATGTGCCAAGTGGCCATAATTGTGCATTCCAGAAAAGGGGATTTCTTTAGCCCAGGGAACTCTTTCTATTCAGGGATGCTCTTACACGTTGTGTTTTCTGCTTCTTGATTTCCCTCAGGACTTAGGTTTGTGAAACACAGAGATCTAAACTTCTCAAAGACAAAAGCAAGAGAAAGACTTGTTTCTCTCTGTTTCTGCAACTCCTTTCCTACGATAATGACTGCTTATTTGTCCAAAAGGAGGAAGCACCCCCAGGTAAAAGGAATTGCAGGGATGAGGTATGTAGTTCATTATACAACTCCTCCCCACCTTAATTTTCCTTTCATCATTTAGGATGATTTATTATTTATTGGAATTATAAGATTTTCAGGAAGTCTTCTCCAAGGCCACTTTTTAATTTAATTTAATTTTTTATTTTTTGAGATGAAGTCTTGCTCTGTTGCCCAGACTGGAGTGCAGTGGGATGATCTTGGCTCACTGCAACCTCCACCTCCCAGGTTCAAGCGATTCTCGTGCCTCAGCCTCCTGAATACCTGGGATTACAGGCATGCACCATGATGCCCAGCTAAGTTATTTTGTATTTTTAGTAGAGATGGGGTTTCACCATGTTGGCCAGGCTGGTCTTAAACTCCTGACCTCAGGTGATCTGCCTGCCTTGGTCTCTCAAAGTCATGAGATTACAGGCTTAAGCCACTGCGCCTGGCCTAAGGCCACTGTTTTTTTATATATTCTCTTATTTTTTGCCTTATTTTGACTTAAATCAGAAAGTAATAAAATTTGCTAACAGCCTAAAAAGCAGTAGAGAACTTGAATAAAGTGATGTGAAGTCTGTTTGGAGAGGGAAACAAGAGTGAACTGAGCTGAGGAAGCACTGTGCCTGGCAACAGTGTGAGTCATTCGTCTTGGCAGCCCTGGGAGAAACAGGGCTAAGTGTGGAGTGCAGTTCACTGAGCTTGGGCTGAGAGGGCCCTGGCTGAGTCAGGTGCCCCTGAAGGGAAGACACAGAAACAGGGAGGTCTGCTGATAGGGAGGCCTGGCTCAGACAGACTCAGGATACCTCCAGGGAGAACCAAGACCTGGCCTGAATACTCAATGAGCAAATCCGATCCTTCCACATACTGTTTATGGCCAGATATGGGACATTGCCAGCACAGCACTCTCCCAGTTGCCATGTGTATTGGTCTGTTCTCACCCTGCTAATAAAGACATACCCGAGACTGGGTAATTTATAAAGGAAAGAGGCTTAATGGACTCACAGTTCCACATGGCTTTGGAGGCCTCACAGTCATGGCGGAAGGCAAAGGAGGAGAAAAGTCATGTCTTACATGGCAGCAGGCAAGAGAGCTTGTGCGGGGGAGCTCCTCTTATAAAATCATCAGATCTTATGTGACGTATTCACTATCAAGAGAACAGCATGGGGAAGACCTGCCCCCATAATTCAATTACCTCCCACCAGGTCCCTCCCATGATACGTGAGAATTATGGGAGCTACAGTTCAAGGTGAGATTTGGGTGGGGACACAGCCAAACCATATCAGCATACGAGGGTCTTGTGTGCAGATCTGGCTGTTCCTGTTCCAGGTCCCAGGGGCAGAGGTGCCACATATAGAAGTCTTTGGTCTGTTCTGGAATGGAGATGACTATCAAGTCATATATAGTGCCCTACTGGCTATCAGTTCTGCACCTTCTCCTTGTGTTTGATGATTCACATGTGGATGAGTGTTATGGGCAGAATTATGCCTTTCTCAAAATATGTTGAAGTCCTAACACCCAGAACCAGTGAATGTAGCCTCATTTGGAAATAGAGTCTCTACAGATGTGATCAAGTTAAGATGAAGTCATATTGGATAGGATGAGCCCTAATCCAATGATCGTTGTCATTACAAGAAGAGGGAAATTTGGACACAGACACACTGAGAGAAGAATTCTTTGTGAAGACATCAAGACAAAAGAGACAAACGGATTGAATCCCATGTGACAACAGAAGCCGAGATTGCACTGATGCATCTACAAGTCAAAGAATGTCAAGGATTTCAGCAACCACCGGAAGTTAGGAAGAGGCAAGTAAGGATCCTCTCGTGAAACCTTCAGAGTATGACTCTGCTTACGCCTTGATTTTGTACTTCTCAGCTCCAGAACTGTGAGAGAATTAATTGCTGTTGTTATCAGTCAGCAGATTGTGGTACTTTGCTATGGCAAACTTAGGAAGCTAACATACTGGGGTTCCCCTAGTTGCATAGATGGTGCAATGGTTTGTGATGGTGATGGTGTAGATCTTGCAGCTGGACGTCTGCAGGACATGCAAGCAGTTGAGGGTCTGGGTGTTTCAGATCTTGATGGTCTTGTAGGAGCCACTGTTCATGCTGCTGTGGGGCACCACTGGGTCCTGAGCTTACTGCTGGAGGCTGTTCAACTCCTTTAGCTCCACATTGGTATTCATAATATTCCAGAATTTTTGGTCTTTTGGAACCCACTCAACAGCATTGTGTGCAGAGACCTGTGTGAACGTAAGACTGCCATATGTGCTAACTGTGTTCACCTTATTCAGGCTCTGGATGTCCCAGATAATGATGATATCATCTGCAGAGCCACTCTAGGATTTGGTCTCTGGATGCAAAGCTTCATCATCATACTAGCATTTCTTCTAGTGTATTCTGTCACTGGAGTTGGTAAATGAGGCCCATACTTTGATGTTTTAGATGAACCGCTGAAGAGTAGATCACTCATGGAATAGTTGTGACAGGTGGTGTCCTGGTGTCCCACCAGAAATTCTTTGCCCTTTAAAGTCTCTAGGGTCTTAGAATCTTAGGATCCCCCTGTGTAGGTATGTGTTTTCCTGGGATATTTCATCATTCAGCTTGGGCACATCCCACAAGAGCTCTATAGTGTCTTTGCTGAGTCTTAGGATCTCATCCAATATGACAAACTTGAGGTGAACTTATTCTCCAGATGGCTTGTTTTTTCCTAGAACTTGCTCATTATGGAGCTCAGAAAGATGATCTCCTGCCCCTGCTGGCCACGTGCATCTTGTAGAAATGGCCTTTTTTCTGCTACAGAATTTCCTTCTGGACCTCAAGAACTCCTTCAGGCTTCAGAGCAGCATAGCTTCAAGTATGGGTGCAGGTGCCTCTTGTAGGTGTCTGTTCCTCATAAACTTGCACCCATATTTGGAGTGTCTCCAACTACAGTCACGTTCTGAGGTACTGGAGGTTAACTTAAACACATAATTTTTCTTTTTGGTGGAGAGACACAATTCAGTCCATTGCATGCAGATAAAGGGAGGACATGGCTCATAGAGGCCTGGAATTTCCCCCTGGTGGGTCTAGTGAAATGGGGAAGGGGTTGGGTGGCAAGGATATTATTGAGGAAATCAAGGATATCAAGGAAATCAAGGATATTATCAAGGAAATTGCAAAAATAAGAACCATGGACCAAATGCACCTAGCAAGGGAAATGAACATGTGAGGAGTGGGGTGGGGCTAGGGCACTATAAAAAAAAGGAAGATAGTCTAGGAACCAGTGACAAAATGTCTTGGTGAGGTCAACAAAGGAAGCAGTTGAATCGTCAAGTTGGAGGGATAGGAGCCTGTGGCTGAAGGGAGGCATGATTATTTTAGTAATTTCCCGGGTGATTTTAATAGCTTTCATGGTATATAATTTCCATGAGTGGGTTTATCTCTTTATAAATCAGACATGCTTGCCCTTTTCAAGTCTTCCAGAATGTGCCATTTTCAAGACAGTGATGATCCTCAGTATTACCTCCAACCTCAGTGAAAAGCTGCAGTCCTCGGTGTGCCTTTGTTTGCAAGTAACAGAGGATCATTCAAACTAGGCTACAGAAAAAAATAAAAAAGAAAAGGAAGGGCACTTTATTATATGGACTCAAAGATAGAAAATGGAAGTTAATAAGAAATAGAGCCAGACTTCTCAAGAGGCTAGAACCAGAAATTGAAAACCCAGCAGGGACGAGACACTAGGACCAATAATCAGAAAGCCATTGAGATCCAACGTAGCTGCTCTCAGACTCTTTCTTGGAGCCATTTGGTCTTTCTGTGTGTCAGTTGCATAGAAAGCCACACGGTCCTACAAACTGGCTTTCTCCTTGTCCGAGCCAGTAAGGGATCAGCTCCATAATAGTGTCAGAGTTTGCAATTCCTTCGTTCAAGCAATAAGCAGAGAGTGACTGCCATCCATACCCTGATCGACACCTGCAGGTGTCTATGACCCAGGCAGATGTCATTTAGGTGGGACAGGGAAGGCCACAGCATTCACTGACAAGTCAGAATACAGTTCCCCAAATTCCTTTGAAGACTTTCCTGTCTTTCAAAACTTACTGTTAATTGTCAATGTAATAAACAGAATAATGCTGTCTTCACAAAAAAAAAAAAAACAACAACAAGCTTTTGGTTTCTATCTTAGCGGAAATCAGTTATTTACTGAAGTAATCATTTGGACATAAAGTCCCAAAAAGAGGTTCTTAGAATAAAAACCACCAAGGATGCTACATTTAGCATATTCTCGTTTCTCCCTTACATTAGATAATTTTAAAGTTTAAACTTTAAAATGGTAAAGTTTTAAAGTTTCCTAATTTGTAGAAATTTCTTTCAAGAGTCAATCTGGCCTACTATGTGCCAGATTGATTTGTGAATTTTAGCTCATTTAATATTCACAAGATGCTTCTGTGAAATTATCCTCCATGTTAACAGATGAGGAAGCTTGTCACAAGCTACGGAGCTAGCAATCAGCAGAGCTCGTGTTGAAACCAAGTTTCAGATTCAGAAGATACTAAGTGAGGAAAGCTTCTTTATGAGGAGAGGAGGTTTCTTTTTTTTTAACTTCTATTTTAGGGTCAGGGGCACATGAGTAGATTTCTGATAGAGGTAAATTGTGTGCTGCAGGATGTACAGATTTGGTGTACAAATTATTTTTTCACCTAGATAAAAAGCATAGTACCTCATAAGCAGCCCTTCCCTCCCTCCCTCCCTCCCTTCTTCCTTTCCTTTCCTTCCTTTCTCTCTCTCTTTCTCTTTCTTTCTTTTCTTTCTTTCTTGCTTGCTTTCTTTCCTTTCTTTCTTTCTTTCTTTCTCTTTCTTTCTTTCTTTCTTTCTTTCTTTCTTTCTTTCTTTCTTTCTTTCTTTCTTTCCCTCTCTCTCTCTCTCTCTCTCTCTCTCTCTCTCTCTCTTTCTCCCTTTCTCTCTCTCTTTCCAGCGTCTTGCTCTGTCATTCAGCCTGGAGTGCAGTGTCATGATCTCAGCTCACTGCAACCTCCGCCTCCTGGGTTCAAGCAATTCTCCTGCCTCAGCCTGCCAAGTGGCTGGGACTACAGGCACCCGCCACCACAGTCAGCTAGTTTTTGTATTTTTAGTAGAGATGGGGTTTCATCTTGTTGGCCAGGCCAGACTCGATCTCCTGGGCTCAAGCAATCCACCCACCTCAGGCTCCCAAAGTGCTGGGATTATCGGTGTCAGCTACTGTGCCTGGCCCCCGATAAGTAGTTTTTTGATGCTTACCCTCTTCCTACCCTCTGCCCTCCAGTAGGCCCAGGTGTCCATGTGCAAACATACTTGAGGTTCAGCTCCTACTTATAAGTGAGAACATGTGCTATTTGCATTTCTGTTCTTGTGTTAGTTTGCTTAGGGTAATGGCCTCTAGCTAGAGAAGCTTTTTTACTAGTCAGTTTTGTGAACTTGGACAAGTGATTAAACTTACTTGAGCATTAGTTTTCCCATCTTTATGGTGGATCATATGAAGAACACTATAAGGTTCATGTGAGAATTTAATGCACGTGAAAGTGCCTGTTGGGGTCTTCAAGGCAGCTTGGGTTGAGCAATAAATAGCATTCCTCTCTTCTGCCTGAGTTCTAAATAAAGACCAAGAAGTGACAGACAGAGGCAATCACGTTATCTTTATTACTGACCAAGGGCAAATGGGGAATACGGCTTAGTGTGCAACAAGTGTGTCTCTTGGCTGAATTCCCACATGAACATTAAGGTTGTTACCTACTTAGGCACAGACAGATAACACTTGATTGGGAGAAGCCTCCCTTCATGGAGACTTGCCTAGAATAAGAATTTACTGTATGAAGGAGCAGAGGAGAAACCCTACATCCTTTGGGCAGCTTGCTGCCTAGAGGAGAAAAGACATTTTGCCCTAAATGTGACAATCAGGAAAATCACTTCATTTCTATCAGGGCAGAGTAGGCACATGGGTAGAGAGAAGCCAAGAGTATTTAAAATACACTATTTCATTTTTATTTTTTAATTTTACTTTAAGTTCCAGCATACATGTGCAGAATGTGCAGGTTTGTTACGTAGGTATACATGTACCGTGGTGGTTTGCTGCACCCATCAACCCATCATCTAGGTTTTGAACACTGAATGCATTAGTTATTTGTCCTAATGCTCTCCCTCCCCTTGCCCCGACCCTGCAACAGGCCCCGGTGTGTGATGTTCCCTTCCCTGTGTCTGTGTGTTCTCATTGTTCAACTCCCACTTACACGTGAGAACATGCAGTGTTTGGTTTTCTGCTCCTGTGTTAGTTTGCTGAGGATGATGGCTTCCAGTTTCATCCATGTCCCTGCAAAGGACATGAGCTCATTCTTTTTTATGACTGCATAATATTACATGGTGTAAAATACACTATTTTAAAAAATTATTTATTTATTTTTATTTTTAATTTGTTTTTGAGTTGGAGTCTTGCTCTGTCGCCCAGGTGGGAGTGCAGTGGTGCAATCTCAGCTTAATGGAACCTCTGCCTCTGGGGTCCAAGCGAGTCTCCCACCTCAGCCTCCCAAGTAGCTGGGGCTACAGGCACACACCACCACGCCTGGCTAATTTTTTGGATTTTAAGTAGAGACGTGGTTTCGGCATGTTGCCCAGGCTGGTGTCGAGCTCCTGAGTTCAGGCAATCCACCCCCTTCAGCCTCCCAAAATACTGAGATTACAGGCATGAACCACCACACCCAGCCTAAAATACATTAAATGGGCTCTTCCACATGGAAAAAAGCCTTAGTTGAAGAGATAAACTGTTACTTTTTTATAGTGCCTGGAAGATAGTAGACAATAAAAGTTAGCTAAAAACAGAACCAAAGTGGTTATCAATGTAAGATCAGTGCACGTTTCACGATGCCACATTTACATTGCTTTTCTTTTCTTTCTTTATCCTCTTTCACCATCTTGGCTTTTGTAAATTTTATCACCCCAATGGAGATTTCTTGTTTGAAGAATCATACGATGTGTCCTGAGCCTCTGTCTTGCCCACATCTTCTGCTTACAGGTTCTCTCCTCTGCAGGGGGAGGCATCACCTGTTCTTCTCAGAACCCCAGATTTAGAGCTCTGACCCCTCTGACTACTTCTCTGAGTTTGTCCTTCTATATCCAATGACTAAGTTGACTTAAAGATGTCGCCAGTGTCCCCAGTGTCCTGAAATGGATGTCTTGATTTCCCCCAAATCTGCTTTCCCTTAATCAGTGGGACTTCATTCTCTGACCAGCTGACATCAAAAACTGAGGAGTTAGTCTTGATTCTTTCTTTCCATTCATTCCCCACCTTCAATCCATGTCTTTTTTTTTTTTTAGCTGTCAGCTCTATCCCCAATTGGTCTACATCTATACGATCACAGCTCAGTCACTGTTCCAACCCACCTCTATCTCTTATCCTGAGTATAGTGACGACCTTCCAGCTGGACTCCCCTTTCTCATTTTTAATCCGTTCACACAGGGACATTTCAGAATGTGCCAATGCCTTGTGTAAGCACCCAGTGGCTTCCCACACTTCTCAGGATCAACTCTAAACTCCATATTGTGGCCTCCAGGACTCTAGCCAACCTGGCCTCACATTCTGCTGCTCTTCCTCTTCCTCCCTGCACTTCAGCCACCTGACTTTAGTCTTCTTTCCTTCTTCAGGCCTTTGCCTCTGCTGTGGCTTGAATGCCTTCCCCTCATCTTGCCATGCTTGGCTGTGTCTCCTCATTTAAGTTTTGCCTCAAATGTCATCTCTTCAGAGAAGTGTTCCCTCACCACCCCATCAAGGGTGCTCTCTCCACATGCTCCCCACTGGTTCACTCATCAGAAGCATGTCACTCACCAGTATCTGAAATAATCACCCTCACTTACTTGCATACTGACCGGGCATGGTAGATCACACCTGTAATCCTAGCACCTTGGCAGGCCAAGTTGGGAGGATGACTGGAAGCCAGGGTTTGAGACCAGCCTGGGCAACATAATGAGACCCCGTCTCTACACACACACACACACACACACACACACACACACACACACACACACAAACCTGACGTGGTCACATTCACATGTAGTCCCAGCTACTCGGGAGACTGAGGTGGGAGGATTGCTTTAGCCCTGGAGATTGAGGCTGCAATGAACTATGACCATGCCACTGTATTCCAGCCTAGGCGACAGAGTGAGACCCTGTCCAAAAAAATAAAAATAAAAATAAAGATAAAAATTTTGCATATTGACCCAAGCTCTATATTCACCTCCTATAAATTCCACAAGAACATGGGCCCTGTCTGTTATGCCCATTGTTCTAATGATGAAATCATTCCTGGCACATAGTAGGTGCTTGGTAAAAATTTGTTGAATGAATGAGTGCACAAATACATGAGTGAAGATTTGGTTAGGATATGAATAAATATTTATAATCACATAGGCTGGGCACAGTCACTCACACCTATAATCCCGGCCCTTTGAGAGGTCAAGGCAGGAGGATTGCTGGGGTCCAGGAGTTTGAGACCAGCCTGGGCAACATAGGGAGACTATGACTCTACAATAAATTTAAAAATTAGCTGTGTGTGGTGGTGCATGTCTGTGGTTCCAGCTGCTCGGGAGGCTGAGATAGGAGGATCACTTGGACCCAGGATTGTTGAGGCTGCAGTGAACCATGATGATACCATTGCACTTCAGCCTGGGTGACAGAGTGAGACCCTGTTGCAAACATACATAAAAATAAAAATATAGTCCCATATATCCTCTTTTTCACTCAACATCTTCTTACTGATCCTTTTAAGAGGATCAGGGTCTCCATCAGGGTCTTGTTCCTTAGTCAACCGGGGCTGATTCTCATCTAAAAACAAGGAAAAATTTATGGCTGCCAGTCCTCATTATTAATCCATAATAAAGAAAGTTTGTTCTCAAATGCAGAAACAAGACTTGATGCCATGAACACAGAGAGCCCCTGGGCTGGCGGAGAGGCTAGGGCCCCACTGGCTCAGAGCATCCCAGTGAATGCCACCAGGGAGGTGTCAGCTCACTTTGATGTAATTGAAAAGCACACAATGGTTCGGACTTAATTTTTCCCTGTAGTTTTGCTGACTTTGCCATTTTAGCAAAAAATAATTTATTCTAATGTGATTTGCATTGCATAAAATCATAATAAATGTTTTTAAGAACAAGGTGCTGTATATTTATGAAATCGTTGTGTTTATATGAGGAAGAGGTTTAAAATGTATTGGCATGTATTTTCTACAAACACTTATATGCAAAGCTATATACTATGCAGCCTCGACATTAGCATACATTATTTGCATAAACCATAAACAGTGGGCAATTTCTTTGTCAAACAAAAAGTACTGATTACCTTAGAAAGGATATTAATATCTTTCCTTTATCCATATTTTAAAATTTTGCTGACTGTATTTTGATGATCATTTATCTTGTCTGATAGCACAATTTGCAGCAAAGACTCTCTCAATATTTCCCCAAACAAAAAATAAGGTACAGAAAAAGCAATGGCTTCTGAATGTGAATGGTCTGGGTCTGGCTGGTTGTAGAAAAGCCCCTCTTTGGCTAAGTTCGCATCCTTTATACTGGGGCATACGCCAGCTGGGCATCTGATTCACAGAGAGGTATCAGTAAATATATTTTTAAATTAAATTTCATGTTTATTTTCAGCTTCAGTTGGAGATTTGGTCCACTAAACCTAGCTAATTTCCCCTGGAAAAAAAAATAGACTGTTCAAATAATTTTCTGTGTGTTTTGCCTTAATAGCTTGAGACCTTTGGACCGATTTCAGCTGAATTGATAGAAACCACATTGAAGTTGCATGCCCCTAAAGTTAGGATTCCGTTTTTTTATGGGAAGAAGGGAAATGACTGATATTGATCAATTGGAAAAAGAAAGAAATCTTGGATTCTTGATCCAAGATTGATCTTGGAGTCAATCTTGATCTTGGAGTCAACCAAATCTGGATTTCATGGACTGACAAGGTGACTGGGATTATGTTATTGAACGGCTCTAAACCTTTACTTTATCCATTAAGTGGCAAGAATTGTAGTATTCATACCATGGTTTGTAGTGAGGATTAAGTGAGTCAACCCATGTAAGGAACTTAGAACAGTACCTGATATATCATAAGCACTTAATAACTTTGGCTGTTGTTATCATTAGTACTGATGTTATTATTACTATTGCTCTATGAATTGGAGCCAGTAATGCTTGCAACATATACTTCTGTGAACATGAAGTGAGATTAAGTGCCCCACATGTGGTAGAAACTGATAGATGTACATTTTCTGCTTCTTCTCTGATGCCGTGGACAGGGGAGACTCAGTCTGCATGAGCTCCATTTTGGATATGCACCAAGGATTACTGGAAAAACAAGAATAATTTGAAATCCAAGGAAATCAATAAGTAAAGTCACAAAGCATGTCCCAATCACAGAAAGAGTTTTAGTTCTTGCCTCAGAGACCTGAATCGTTTCCATCCCCAGGATAAGAATGTTGTAGGAGAATCCAGATAACTGGCTAGCACTTCACCCATTCATAACAAACTTGGCAATGTGTGCTGTGTGCTAGGTCTGATGAAACTAATAAGTGATGCTTGGTGGGGAAGATTAATTGGCAAATTTGAAAAAAAAATGGCCAAGATTGGTTTTCGGGGTGCATGCGAAAATCAAAATGGGAACACATAACATTGTCAGTTCAACTGCTTTAGGAAGTAATTTACTGATCTTTAGCAAAGCTGAAGGTGTTATTTATTTTATGACCTACCACTTCTCTTAAATATAGCTTACAGCAATGGTTGTCAAAGGGTGGCCCCTAAACTAGCAACATCAACATCACTTGGAAATGTGTAAACATTCTTGGGTCTTATCTCACACTTCCTAAATAAAAACTCCAGGAGGGGGCTCAGCAATCTTTGTTTTAAGAAGTCCTCTAGGTGATGTAAATTGAGTTTCAAGTTTCAGAATTACTGGCCTAGAGAAATTCTGGCATTGAGGTGCAAAAAGAATGATGAAAGAATGTTGGATGGGAAGTAATCTAAAGGCCCTTCACCAATGAATTGTGATATATTCTTACAATGAACAGGACTACACGCTGCCATGGTGGTATGACAAAATCAATGTTGAGAGATGAAAAGCAAGTTGCACAAGTATCTATGTAATGTGTAGCCATTTATAGTATAATTTAAAAATATACAAAACATGCTATATATATGTATATAGTTGCATATTGTGTAGGGATGAATATTTATAAGAAATTAGAGGAGAAGGCCAGGCGTGGTGGCTCACGCCTGTAATCCCAGAACTTTAAGAGGCCGAGGCAGGTGGATCACTTGAGGTCAGGAGTTCGAGACCAGCCTGCCCAACATGGCGAAACTCTGTCTCTACCAAAAAATACAAAAATTAGCTGGGTGTGGGGGCACGTGCCTGTAATCACAGCTACTTGGGAGGCTGAGGCACAAGAATCGCTTGAACCTGGGAGGCAGAGGTTGCAGTGAGCTGAGATCGCACCACTGCACTCCAGCCTGGGCGACAGAGTGAGACCCTGTCTCAAAAAAACCACAAAACACAAAAAACAATAAACCAACCATCCCTCCAACCAACCAAAGAAAAAAACCCAAAAGAAATTAGAGAAAGGAAGGAATGTGGTAGAAACTACACAAGGGGTTTCATCACCATGAGTTAGGTTTTATTTCTTTAGCTAAGTGATAGGTGTGTTGGTTTTCATTCTAAGATTCTTTATGCCTATTTAATGTCTAAAATGTATCATCATTAATTAATTTTAAAAAGAGAGGCTTTCCTAAAATATGCCTCTTAAGTCTCCAGGGCAGCTTTCCTTCCCCCGTTGTTGTTTGAACATCAAAACTCCTGACTACTTGCTAAACATCCCCTGCTAGAGGAATTGCTGAACAAACACTGCCTTGCCATATGAGTCAGTTCAATTCTGTGCATGAGCCAGAGGGCAGCTTCTCTATTTTTTCCTGCTTTCCTACTTGTAGGCTCTTTTTATATTTCAAAGTATTGTCTCACACATTTCATCCTGAAAATAACTCTGTGAGTGAGTGGGGATATTATTATTCCTCAGTTGACAGATGATGAAAAAAAAAATCAAGTTGGCTAACGTTGATTGAGCATTGTACCTACCATGTGCCATCAATAGAGAAAAATGCTTTACATGCACTTCCCAGGAATCTGCTTACAGTAATCCCATTTGACAGATGAGGAAACGGAGGCATAGAGAGGTTGAGGAACTTGCTCAGGTCCAGTAAGTGGAGAAGTCAGAAGTCAAAATCAGGTCTGCATAAGGGCAATTCTGTGCTGTTTCTTTTCACTGAAGAAAAATGTGTTGTGACTTGCCGGGGGCTGATTGGGTTTGGAAACAGATCTGCATTTTCTCTCTTATACCAAAGGGTGAGCCACACTGTTTTGTTTTTGTTTTAACCATCTCTATAAAAAGTCAGACTTCTTGCTTGCGAGCAACAGAAATTGACGCTGGCTCACTGAAGCAGAAGAGAACTTAGTGGGAAAATAAGGGGACTGAGGAAAGGGAAATAGGAGACCATACTTGGAAATGGACAGAAACCAAGGGCATTCCGGAGGGCTGGGTGGCGGAAATCATAGTCATGTCCAGACCAGAAGAGGAACAAGCTGGTCTCTTCTGAGTTGGGAGGTGATCATCCTGAATTATTTTCCTACCAAGCCTACAAAACGGAAGGGCATGATGTTCCCAGGTGGCCTCCCCTCGCCAAATCAGGATATCACTAGGAAGGGGTGAAGGAGTGCTAAGGAGCCAAAATTACAAAAAAATAAATTTCTGCTGTGCCTTCTGTCTTCTTTTGGACCCCTACCCATGCATAGGGGTTCAAATGGATGACTGCACCACATGAAGATGGACTGGGGGCCAGGCAGTCTGTGTCGTAGACATGTAGACAGGAAGTTCATATCCCTAAGCAGGCAGTCCTGTTAACCAAGGAAGGAAAGAAAGAAATACATCTTTGCTGCCTGACATCTCCCAATGGGTAATTAAAATGATGCCACTGCTGATTTTACTACATTCAAAAGTGTTTTAATTTGTATTTAGCCAGAGGCTTTTTAGCAACAGGAACATTTTTACAAATCTAACAAATAATTATAAATAAATAAAGTCTCCACTTCTGCTATTTAGGGGAATGTTTCCTTCAGGTAACACATTTATAAATCCACCCGTTTGACAATATGGAGCTAAAATAACAGTAGAGCTTGAACTGGCTGCTTAAGTGACAGTTGAAATGGCGTGTTTGTCAGCGTAGAAATGAAAAACAATATCATGCAGGGAGGTAATCTAGTCCCAGAGGCACTATGGACTATAAATGTTAAATTACAATAGACCCAGAATATAACCTTGCATAATTCTTGAATAAAGGATATAAGGAACAGAAAACCCAAGGTAGCAAGAATTCATATTAAAGGAAGCCTACACAATTTATAGTTAAGGTGACTTCAGGACTATGGATATGGTACCTCCCAAAATGTACTCGACAACTGGTTCATCAGTAACACTGGCCATCGTAATGAGAAAGGACATTCAGAGAGGCATTGTTATGTGGTTTTGTGCTCACCTCTTCTCTTGGGACTCATTTTGTCCCCAGATCTTTCCAGGTCAGTATGGGTTGAGACCAGTCATGGTTGATTTTCCAATCCGCAGTTCATGGATGATTTCCAATGGAGTTAGGCGATGGCAGATCCCCTTCTCCAGTATAACAGCTGACCTTACCTTGGGGACTAGGGTCAGCCATGAGATTTCTGCTGCAGACGATCATTGTGTCAAAAAACTCATTGGATGCCATTCAGCTCATTCACGTTCAGAGGAATCACATGAGGATCCTGGGTGTGAACCCACACCCACATCTTGCTTTCCTCTCATTTTGGATGAACAAGGCCCTAGGTAGGCAAACCGGGATTATGTACAGACTCAGGGGGAAGTGTTTTTTGCTGGATAAGGAATATGTGAAAAAAATGATGAGGATTATTTTCCAGAAATTTTCCAGGAACTCTTAAGGAATGAAAGAATCTTGTTTTTAAAAAGACTAGGGCATGGGGAGAGAGCAGAGAATAAGAACGCTTTCTCATGTCAGATATGCTGACATTATAGTAGCCAAATGTCTTTAAGATGGGGAGAGCTCAGTGCCTACCTATGGCTATCTATTTGATGGGATATGTGAATATTCCAACCAGGATAGTCCTTTGTAAGGCGCATGTTAGGGTACAGGTCCTATATAACAGATTCACTGAAGAAATATGTGTAAATCATATTTTAAATGCACTGACAGGTCTCACTCTTTAAAAAAAAAATCCTGTTGCATATTAAATACTTCTCTTGGGACTTAAATCGTCACTTTATTTATTTATTTTTTTACTTTTATTTTAGGTTCAGGGGCTACATGTGCAGCTTTGTTTTATGGGTAAATCGCATGTCACTGAGGTTGGGTGTAGGAATGGTCCCATCACCCAGATAGTGAGCATAGTACCCGAAAGGTAGTTTTTGAACCCACCTCCCTCTCCCCCACTTCCCCCTCTTGTAGTCCGCAGTGTCTACTGTTGCCATCTTGATGTCCATGTTTTCCCAGTGAATAACCACTTTAATTGAAAGGAGGCAGCCCAGCATGAAGGTGCAGAGAACGGACCCTGGAACCAGATTGCCTGGGTTAGAACCCCAACTCTGCAGCTTCTCAGCTATGTAAATGTGCTTTGGTTTCCCAGATGCTAAACAGGAATACTAATAGAGAAATATGCTGGAATCGTGTATCCTACTTATTCAGTCGATATTAACGACTACCGCTGCTATTTAACTACATCAAGTTTGCTAAAAGCTATCTTAGCTTTAGTGGGACTACAGTGCAGGCTTCTTCTTATCTTAGTTAGTTTTCCCAGAAGTACTTATCTGACCCGATTCATTCTCTTTATTGCATGCTCTCTCTCTCTTTCATTCAGCATTTACTTATGCACCTGCCATTTGTCAGACATATGTGGCTGGTTCTAACAAAAGGCAAAGATAATAGTTTCAGCTCTCAAGGAGCTCAGTCTAATGGCAGAAAACCAACAAATATAGGATCGTGATTCATATTTGCAGTTCATTCTTCCATCTCTCTGTTACTGGTAAAATTTCCTCAGCATGCTATTTACCCTGGAGTCTTTGGATAATTCCACAGTGTCCTTAGTTGGCTATTTAGGATCTGGGGTGGGTTTATTTCTCACGCTCTGTCTTTAGAACACCAGTCCCTTCTAAGTCTTTTCCTAGACCCGCCCACTCTTGAGATCTATAACTGGGTTTGCGTCCTTCCAGAGAAGCTAGAATAGGTCCAGCCCACTGAGATGGCTCTTAACCACGAATCACTGCAGACTTTCAAAATAAGGCCAACACTCAGCCGAGAAAAGAGCGAAGCCCTTTTTGGGTCACTTTTTTCACTAATCCCGATGAGATGGGGGAGGTGCCACCAGAGAATTCTCTTTTGTGATTTGCCTTCCCTGCCACTAGGTGTCACTGTTCTACATAAATAAAATGAAATCAAATCGGTCTTGGCACTGTGGAATTTGGCCTTTGGTTAAGGGGATCTGGCAGGTTTAGGGACCTCTTCATTTTGAAGTTGTCAGATAACCATCACTGCCACCTAAAGACTGGCTACAGTACAGGAACCGACCCTGAGTAAAAAGTCTTGAAATTAAAGTATCTGACATGTGTAAATCCAGGACTCTGTATATATCCTCCTTGGTATTGATCCTTTAAAAACAGATCTCTAAAGATTAACTTCTTGGAACAAAGATAATATATTTATGGAATGTAGGGAGTGTATCACTTTATTATTTATGTAGCTGTTTGGGAAGATGTATCTGATTTTATGAAGACATCATGAAGAAAGCAAAGGAAATCTCACAAAGGAAGACTTGGCTGTCTTGCTGGTGACCTTCCCTTTGAAAGACAAAAGGAAGCAGAAACTCACAGAGATAACATGTGAAATCACCCATTGGATCTTCCCTTCCTCCATTTTTGTTTTAGAATATTCCCATAATTTTCTACCTTTAAGACAGTTAGTAGTGGTTTCTCAGCCATTATGCATGTTTATCAGGAAAATAAAAACATCCTCTCCACCCTCCGGACTAGCATTCTCATTGAGTGATCTCCAATTTCTGATACACAGGAGACTTCTCTTTCAGTTATTTACATGGTCTTTTTCTTTTCCTGACAATAGGGCTTTGTGTTATATTCTAGTGTTTATAAAAATGCCAGGGTCTCACAACAGTGATCAGTGAATATCGCTCTTCACTGTTTTGTCTATGATAAATTTTTAGCATGAGAGTCTAGGTCAGTCATAAGAGGCTCTAGGATGGATTTTTCTGCCTTGACATGCCCCACTCTTGGAAGAACATCTAATTTTATTGTTGAAGTGATGATCACAAAAGCCAATCAGCACTGCGAACTTTATGTGGCATTGAACTTGAGCTCCATTTTAAGGCAGGTCCAATCCCTTTGCTGAAAAAAGGTTAACACTCCTGGTCAAAAGGAAGAAAGTATAGGCCGAGAAGAAACCATATGTGGAATACTTTTATCATGAAATATTTGTATTAGAAGACAGTGGTTAAGTCCAGAATGATATGGTTGAGTTATACCTTCCATGGCCTGTCAATCAGTGGAAACTAAAATGTTCTTTCTGGTCGATCTCTTCTTACAACACCATAAGGCACCCTTGATCAACAGTATATCACTTTCATACTGATACTCACTGGTGCATGATTGGAGAGTGATAGAGACAGTTCAGATAAGGTTCCTGTCGACAATTTTCCTTAAATCTCTTTGACATAAATGTCCCAAAAATTATTTCTGGGAAGCCTTTTGTTGCAAACAGCTGACAGAGAGTTTCAGTTATGGCAGTAGGAATTTAAAATAGGTTTAGGATTCCTTTGAGCATTTTGAGACGCAACTACTACAATCCAGAAACCCACATGGCATATGGATTCTGTGAAGTCTTTTGGTATCTTGACTGTTCCACCAAAGGGTGTTTCAATAGGTTAAGTTAAATAACTCTCATATTTTATTTTACTCCTAATATCAAATAAGTTGTTGGTCATCACGTAGCTTCCAGCCTAGCTAGTGTTTCTATGCAAATAGTTCTTAGATACTATCATATTATGATGGTAAAGATAATGTAATATCAGTTTCCTGGAATATAAAAGTGATTTTTTTCCATAAAGGGCATTTTACAATGGATCATTAATTCATTTTATGAGGACCTTAATGTTTTGAGCACTGTAAAGAAATAAAGTATCAACCTACTGGGGCCAAAACTGATTCAGCAAAGAATTTAATCACCTACAGAACATCCTCTTATAAGGTATTACACATCCTTACAGCTTGGATCAAATAAACACTGTGGAGTTTTTATTGGTAGAAGCAGCACCCAAATATTACACATGAAAGAGCCTGGGATGCCAAACCCAATCCATGGGCCATCTGTGGTCAAGTAAGCTTATTGGTCTAAGACAGAAGACTCTCATAGTTGGCCAAATGAGATTTGTATTTACTTTACTTTAATTTATATTTGTTTGTTTATTTATTTATTTATTTATTTATTTATTTATTTATTTATTTATGTTGAGACAGAGTCTTGCTCTGTCACCTACGCTGGAGTGCAGTGGTGCGATCTCTGCTCACTGCAGGCTCCGCCCCCCGGGGTTCATGCCATTCTCCTGCCTCAGCCTCCCAAGTAGCTGGGACTACAGGTGCCCGCCACCTCACCTGGCTAATTTTTTGTATTTTTAGTAGAGACGGGGTTTCACTGTGTTAGCCAGGATGGTCTCGATCTCCTGACCTCGTGATCCACCCTCCTCGGCCTCCCAAAGCGCTGGGATTACAGGCGTGAGCCACCACGCCCGGCCACTTTATTTTTTTGAAACAGAGTTTTGCTCTGTCACCCAGGCTGGAGTGCAGTGGCGTGATCATGGCTCATTGCAGCCTCAACCTCCCCAGGCTCAGGGGATCCTCCCACTTCAGCCTCTGGAATAACCGGGACTATAGGCAGCTAATTTTTGTATTTTTTGTATAGATGTGGTTTCACCATGTTGCCCTAGCTGGTCTAGAACTCCTGGGCCCAAAATATCTGCCTACCTTGGCCTCTGAAAGTGCTGGGATTATAGGTGTAAGCCACTGTGCCTGGCCTGTATTTAATTTTCATATTTATTTAATATTAAATAATCTTCTAATATTTTATTCCTTCAGATTTTATTCAAAACCAGAGACAATCTCATGGAGCTCCTTGTGTCATTAGATTCACCTTCCCGAGTAGGTCTCAATTGTCTTCCAGTCTATGAGTTTCCAATGAATATGGCATAATGGGAACTAGAACCTGCGTCTGTGGGTGGTGTGGAGACTATTGCTTCAATATGTTTTCCCATTCTTGTAACTGTCATTATGGTCTTAAACCCAGAGCTGTAATGAACAGTATGGGATTATCCATAGATAAGAGTCCTAAAGACATTCTGATAGAGGCTTATAATCAGTACAAATTGTAATGGCCGTAGAAGGAGTTGTTCTGCAGATGGCTTTATTCTTGAGTACTCAGCACCATCTGGCACTTTGGGGCTGAGCCCAGCCCTACCACTACAAAAAACCATATTTGCAATATATTGGCACAAACATGCAAGTCAATGGCTCCTTGACATTTTGGACTTTTTATCGTATGGCAAGTCCAGCTGCAGAGCATGCCCTTTTCCAGTGGGCAGAGAAGTGGCTCAGTTGAGGTTGCCTTTTGTTGAAGAAAAGGTCACCTTAAGGAGTCTTAAAGCTTTAGCTTAAATTTTTGGAATTACACATGGCACTATGAACCACTTCTTCCAGGTCGAGAGAAATACTTGTAGTCCTGATATTAACATCTAAGAATTTCACATGGAAAGATCTGCATTTATGTTAACACACACTGAGATAACTGACACAGTCAAACAACATGGACTTCTTCCAATCTGCTCTTAAAAACTTCCCACAGATTTCAGTGATCGTATATGCCCCACTGTACTGTGATTTTTTATTTTTCTTGCTTCTCTTTAGCCCACGGACTGTGATGTTTTGGAAGGAAGAAGCTGCCTTTTTCATCTTTTTCTTCCCAGTATCTTGGACCTGGACTGGCATGTTTTAGATACCCAGTAAATTAACTGAATTAACCCTGAAATCTTTCTTTGTTTTTGTGTTTTATTAATCCCATTATTAGGAAGTAATTAGGAAGTATGGGTCCACCACTAGAATCCTAGAAATTAGGAACTTCAGGGACCAATAGCTATTTTGAACTCAAGAGGCTTAGTACCCCTTTATAGGTATCTGATCCTATAGACACTCTGTCTGATCATATAATCAGTCTATTCCTGGGTGAGTGAGTGTGCAGATGTACTGGCTCCACTGTTTGCTAGCTGTGTGATATTAAACAAGTTATTTTGACTCTCAAAAACCTTACTTTTTGCACCTATAAAATGAGGGCAATAATACTGGCTAACTCTGAGATGGTGGATTTTATTAAATGAAGCATTTAAAAATATGAGCAATACAACCAATAAACATAAGTTATTTACTAAGTTTGGGCAAAAAGCACGGAGTCTTCCCTGTACTTCTACAGCATACATTTTATTCCCATAGGAATATTTTCTTCTTGGAAAATGGATAACTGTCCTGATTATCTATTGCTGCATATGAACCACCCCCAAATTTAGTGAGTTAAAATAACAATTTATTCTTCTTTGTATAATAGTTATTATTTTTCACAGTTGTGTGGGTTACTTTGGCTCAGTTGGGTAGTTCTCATGTGTAGTCTCTGAAGCGGTTCTGCCTGGGTTTACTCTGCAGACAGACGATGCTATCAACTGGGAGCTGACCACTGGAGCTGTCACATGTGGCCACTCCATATGGCTTGGGATTCTTACAGCATGATGGTCTCAGGGACGCTGCCCCTTTACAAGCCAGCTGATTTCCTAGAGGAAGCATTCCAAAAGACCCCGTGGAAACTGTAAGCCTTCCTGACCTAGTCTTGGAGGCTGTTCATGACCTAGCCTCAGACCTGCATCACTTCCACAGTATTCTATCAACCAAATATAAATCCCATGGCCAGTCCAGATTTGAAAGGAGGAAGCTATATTTGGGCATGAATACCAGGAGGCATGGTTCATTGCAGGGAAAAAGGAATGGAAAGAAGGCTGTCTTTGGAGACCAACTACCAAGGGAACTCAGCTCTTTTGGCAAAGAGACTTTGGAAATGAATGTGGTGGGGTATCTGTCTAATGATCGTCTACATTTAACAACTGTAATCAGCTCTAATCTTTCAATCATGGCTATTAATGGGTGCTGTTACATATACGGCAGCAGCCTGTGACATTGCATGCAGGATTCTCTTACTATCATGCAAGTCTTAGACTGCATTATCATTTGAAGAGCTGGGATCGCTTGATGCAAGGTGATCAGCTTTGACACTGCTTGAACTTCATTTTAACGGGTTTTGAATGGCCTCTCTCATGTTGCCCCAGTCTCCTAAAGTTTGTACCCTGGATTCAACCTGAGACAGTAGACAATATTTTGCTCCAGTGTAAACTTTATGTTGTAATTCTTGAGCATATTTGCAAATGAGTTAAAGTACTAATTTCTAACTGCTGAACAGGTAAGGCAGATTTTTCACATGTTTGTTTTTTAAATCTCCCAAATAAATATATGTTTATTAAACAATAAAATAAAATAGAAGTATAAAAACAGAAAACCGTGTTGTCCCCTCCCTGGTTCACTATCATTCTCCCTAGATGTATCCATTTTTTAATGCCTTAGTATCTGTCCTCTAAGATCGTTGTTTATGCTTTTGCAAAGACACATTTATCGTTTTGTTGCTTATTAAACAAAATTGGGATCATGCATTCATTCAACTAGAAATTTATTTTTATTCATCCAGGGATTCTTTACTGAGTGCTAGTTTATCTGAAATTTTATTTTATTTTAAAACAACATATCTTGGCCAGTTTTCTATATTAGTCCTTGTAGTTGCTCTTATTCCTTTTAATTTCTGCTAGTGGTTATTCATGTAGCCATTTCTTTAATGATGTTCATGAAAAGCATTTCCATTTTTATATCTTACAGAGTCTGGTAGTGATCATTTGTGAACATGAATCTTTGAGCACACACACACAATAGGAACGCTTTTACACTATTGGTAGAAATGTTAATTAGTTCAACCATTGTGGAAGACGGTGTGGCGATTCCTCAAAGATCTAGAACCAGAAATACCATTTGACCCAGCAATCCCATTACTGGGTATACATCCAAAGGAATATAAATCATTCTATTACAAAGATGCATGCATGTGTATGTTCATTGCAGCACTATTCACAATAGCAAAGAGATGGAATCAACCCAAATGCCATCAATGATAAACTGGATAAAGAAAATGTACATATACACCAGGGAGTACTATGCAGCCATAAAAAGGAACAAGATCATGTTCTTTGCAGGACATGGATGAAGGTGAAAGCCATTATCCTCAGCAAACTAATGTGAGAACAGAAACCCAAACACTGCATGTTCTCACTTATAACTGGGAGCTGAACAATGAGAACACATGGACACAGGGAGGGGAACATCATACACTGAGGCCTGTTGGGGGGTGGGGTTGGGGAGGAAGAGCATTAGTAAAAATAGCTAATGGATGCTGGGCTTAATATCTAGGTGATGGGTTGATAGGTGCAGCAAACCACCATGGCACACCTTTGTTACCTATGTAACAAACCTGCACATGTACCCTGGAACTTAACATAAAAATAAAAATTAAAAATAAATGTAGGCCGGGCACGGGGATTCATGCCTGTAATCTCAGCACTTTGGGAGGCTGAGTCTGGCAGATCGCCTGAGGTCAGGAGTTTAAGACCAGCCTGGCCCACATGGTGAAACCCTGTATCTACTAAAAATACAAAAATTATCTGGGCATGGTGATGAGCACCTGTAATCCCAGCTATTCTGGAGGCCGAGGCAGGAGAATCGCTTGAACCTGGGAGGTGGAGGTTGCAGTGAGCTGAGATCGTGCCACTGCACTTCAGCCTGGGCGACAGAGCGAGACTTCATTTCAAAACAACAACAACAAATGTAAGAATCTAAGAAGAGGAAATGCTGGGTCAAAGAGAAGACCCATTTAAAATTTTGATTAATTGGTGCCGAAAAATTGACTTTCAAAATGATTGTGCCAAGGAATCCAAGGAATAGCATGTAATAATAATAATAATAATAATAATAATAATAATAATAGAATTCCCTACTCTCTCAAAGCCTGGATATTGTATTTCTTTCTTTCATTCTCTTTGTCTTTCTCATTCTCTCTCTTCATTTTTGCCAATCTGGAGGCTGAAAAATGCTATCTCACTGTTTTATTTGTCCTTTCGAATAAGTTTATTCTTATAAATTTAATGCACATTTATTTGTTCCTCTTTTTCTCTGCATTATCTATTCGGACCTTTACTCATTTTTCTATTGGGTTGTTTGTCTTTGTGTTAGGGTCCCTGTTTTGCTCTTATTATGTTACTGTTCGTATTTGGAGTTGTCCCCTGCAAGGAACAAAGAGCTGGATTAACAGTGACTTAAACAAATAAGGATTTATTTTTCTTCCACAATGAGAAGCCTAGAGGTAGGAGGCTGTTGGCATTTGCTCTGTAGCTCAGGCTTGTCAGCAGTGCGGTCTCTTTCTTGGCTTTTTCCTCTTGATCGTAAAGTAGCAGTGCCAGTGGCATCTGTCCTTTTTATCAGAAAGCTAAAGCATTCCCAGAAGCTGCAAGGAAGTTTATGCCTAGAATGGAGGTAGGAAAAGTCAAAATAAATTGGTGAGGAGTTTTGAGTTGACTAACCAGCAGTTCCTGCAATTTTGGTATTAATACCTTGTGTTATTTGTTAAATTGTGTTTTGTAACCTGGGCGACACAGTAAGACCCTGTCTCTACAAAAAATAAAAAATGTAGCTGGGTGCAGGGACAGGTACCTATAGTTCCAGCTACGCAGGAGGCTAAGGTGGGAGGATCTCTTGAGCCCAGGAGTTCGAGGCTGCAGTGAGCCATGATCACACCACTACACTCCAGCCTGGGCAACAATGTGAGACCCCATCTCTTAAAAAAAAAAAAAGTTGTATTTTTTTTTCCCCAGTTTGCCATCAATATCTTAAGTTTGTAGTATCTTTCAGCCCACAGATATTTACATCTTGAAGGCAGTGAATTCTGTTATATTTGTTTATAATTTGAGTGTTCATTCTTTCTATAACAGAAAATTAAAAAAATTTTCTAATATAGCCATAGTTTTGATTATATATATCTATATTTTTAATCAATCTATAATTTATTTTTATATGCAGTCTGATGTGGGAAAATACTTCTCATTCCCCCAACAGTGGAGATGAAGTTTTCTCAATACCGTCGTCAAGTTTTCCGCATGTGCACTGCATGATCTGTTTTGGTACTATCTGTTGTGTTCCACTCATTCATCTCTGTACTGGAATCCTATTCTTTTAATTACTACAGCTTCTTATATAGTCTAATGCTAATGTCTAAAACAGCACATACACTTCCTATTTTGCTCTCCCATCAACACGAGTTTTTTTTTTTTTTTGACTCTTTTTTTCACATTTACAGGTAAATTTTACAGGCAGTTTATTAGCTTTCTTTAAAACATCATATTGGAATTCTTAGCAGGATTACATTGAGACAGTAGATTAATGTATGATGTTTCAGTCAAGGAACATGGCATGTCTTTTAACTTATTTATTGTTAAATGTACTTTAGTAAGTGTGTGTAGTTTTTCTTCCATCCTATACATTTTTGTTAGGTTTATAACTAGATATTTTATATTGTACCTGGTTCATAATTGGGATCCCCCCCATATAAATTGTTATTAATGCTTAGGAGAACTATTGATTTTTGTCTGCAGTCAGCCACCTTAAATTATTTTGCTATTAATTTCAAAAATTAAGTTGAGTTTAGTAGTTTTTGTTGGGTCAAGAATGATAACACATGCAAATAGTGACAGTTTGTGACTTTCTTTACAATTTAACTCCCTTCAGTTTTGTTTGTTTTTGACTTGGTGCAATGTCTAGAATATCTAAGACAATGTTGAATGTTAACCGTGATAATCAACTTTTTAATCTAATTCTTTATTTTAATTGAAATGCTTATAGTGTGTCACTCCTGAATATATAGTTGTAGTAGATTTTTGCTAATACTCTTTATCAGTTAAAATAAAATCTGTTTCTAGATTGCTGTGAACTCTTCCTGGGAATTCAGGTAGCTCTTTGTCAAGATTTTAAACATTTATTAAGGTGAACATATAGGGTTTGTCCTCTTTTAAAAAAGAAGGTGGCTAATTTCAGAAATCCTAATGATGGATCATTATATCATTCCTGAGAAAATCCTATTTGGTTCTGTCGTTTCATTTGGTTAAGACATTGCTAAATTAAAATTACTTATCTATTTGTTACAATTTTTGGTATTTATATTTATGTATTTAAATTATTCTTTTGAGGGTCTTTACTGCTGGTAAAATACAATTTGGTTTTTGTATCAGTTTTATGTTTGTCTTTGAGAATGATTTCAACAACTTTCTTTTTCAGTGTTCTAAAATAATCACAGTGAAGTACAGATTACATATTGTGAGAATGTCAGTAGAACTCATCCATAAAACTATATGGGTCTGGTGATTTGGGAGGGTTAGGTATTTGCTAACTTTTTTTTTTTATTTTTTGAGACAGAGTCTTGCTCTGCTGCCTAGGCTGGAGTGCAGTGGCACGATCAAGGCTCACTGCAACCTCTGCCTCCCGAGTTCAAGCAATTCTCCTGCCTCAGCCTCCTGAGTAGCTGGGATTACAGGCGTGTGCCACCACGTCCGGCTAATTTTTTGTATCTTTAGTAGAGATGGGGTTTCACCATGTTGGCCAGGCTGGTCTCAAACTCCTGACATCAAATGATCCGTCCGCCTCAGCCTCCCAAAGTGCTGGGATTATAGGAGTGAACCGCTGTGCCCAGCCTAATTTTAAACGAAAAAATAATTTTTTTTTTTTGCTTTTTCTAAGCCCTTTTTGAGTTTACTTTGGTAATTTAAAAATCCTTAATAATGATCCATTTAATCTAGATGTTCAGATTTATTGATGTAAATTTATATCTAGTATAAACCTCTCCCACATTTGTAGTTATGCCCTCTTCATCATTCTGAAGATTGTTATTTGTGCTCTCTTTATTTCTTGCCAGGTCTTACAGAAGTTTGTTTATTTTATTGCTCTTTTTACAGAGCTAGCTTTTAGTTTCATTGCTGCAAATTCCTATTTTTCTTTTGTTTTCTGTTTCATTTATTTCTGCTTTTATCTTTATTCCTTCTCTTTTTTTTGTTTTACTTTCTTCAGTTTTTTTATTATGGTTTTCATGGTTCCTTTTCCAGCTTCCTGAGTTGAATGTTTAGTTCATTTATTTTCAGTCTTCCTTGTTTTCTAATACATTTAAAGTTGTAAATTTTCATCCAAGTACTGCTACATTCCATAATTTAGATATGTAGGGTTCCAGTTGTTCGTTTCTAAACAGGTTGTAATTTCGGTTTTGAATTTCTATTTAATCCATGAGTTATTTAAAAAACTGTTTTAAATTTCCAAATAGATGGTTTTGTGGTGGTGTTACTTATTTTTGGTTCTTGGCCATCTGTTTGTTAATAATGTCTACATTTACTGTGTTAATTCTTCTATGTAGCTTTAACATTTTTGACTTCTTTTTGAAATTTATTGAGATTCTGTTTATGGCCTAATAAAGACTGAAATTGTTGATAAATATATTTTTAAAGGATGTATATTTTCTGGGTACAAATATACATATACATGCAGACGTATTTATGTATATACATGTACGTGTATACATGAACATATCTGTGTCTAATCAGACTTGTTAACTGTCATCATTAAAATCCTTCTTTTGATTGGTGAATCTCTGAGCAAGAAATGTGTCACTTTTTCTTTGAAATTCTGAATCGTTTTGGTATATTTATTTTGAAGTCCTGTTATTTGATGAATAACTTTTCATAACTTTCTTTAGCGCTTCTTTTTCTTACTTATTTTTATTTTTCAGACAGGGGCTCGGTCTATCACCTAGGCTAGTCACCTAGGCAGTCATGGCTCACTGCAGCCTCCACCTCCCAGGCTCAAGCCATCCTCCCGTCTTTGCACCTCAGCCTCTAGGGTAGCTGGCATTACAGGTGTGTGCTGCCACATCCAGCTAATATTACGTATGTTTTTGTAGAGACGGGGTCTCACCATGTTGCCCAGGCTGGTCTTGAACTCCTGGGCTCAAGCAATTTGCCTGCCTTGGCCTCCCAATGTGCTGGAACTACAGGTGTGAGCCACCGTGCCTCACTTAGAGCTCCTTAATCTATCACATGTTTTATTAATAAAATATTCTCCTCTGTCTCTTATGACATCTGTCACCTTAATTCTATTTTTTTCTGATACTTATGTTGCTAATTTAATTTAATTTTATTCTCTTTTCAATCTTTTTGGATTACTTTGTTTTGTTTTATGTCGTATAATGAAAATATAGATGCCTAGATGCCTTTTTTTTTTTTTTTGAGACGGAGTTTTGCTTTTGTTGCCCAGGCTGGAGTGCAATGGTGTGATCTTGGCTCACTGCAACCTCCGCCTCCCTGGTTCAGGCAATTCTCCTGCCTCAGTCTCTCGAGTAGCTGGGATTACAGGCATGCACCACCATGCCTGGCTAATTTTGTATTTTTAGTAGAGATGGAGTTTCTCCATGTTGGTTAGGCTGGTCTTGAACCCTGATCCACCTGCCTCGGCCTCCCAAAGTGTTGGGATTACAGGCGTGAGCCACTGTGCCCGGCCCCTATTTTTTTAAACACTCACTTGTAGCATCAAATGTTTGAAAATTCTGTATGGGCTGGGAAAAAACCCCACATCCATCTCGACTGCCTTCAAAAACTCTACCCAGTCTTTAAGATGAAGTTGAAATAGCTAACCTCTTATGTGAAACTTTTCTAGAAATGCCTAGCCCCCCAAATAAGCATATTCTTCCCCTCTATGTCTAAGTTACTTCATTACTTCTAAATTCTGGCTCTTAGCACATTGTATTGGAAGTATCTACTTAACTAATTTTTTCCTGGATTCATGGAAAAGAAAACAAAATTCAAATTTCTTTGCCTCCTATTCTCCAAGCTCCCACAGCTCTCCCCAAAACAATTGCTGCAGCTATTCTTGGTTCTGCAACTCCTTACAGAGACTCCGGGGTCTCCAAGGTTATTCCTGCTGCATCTGGAAGGATTTCAAAGTTAAGAAAGAAAAGAGTGCTTCATACAAAGGCACAAAGACAGAAAAGCACTGCCCTTTTGCGGGGCTTTACTAGGTCGTTGTGTCTGGAAACTATTCTGTGTTAAGGAGGGAACAGGGAGTATGGTGGGAGAGGATGAAAAAGGAACAGATTTTCATTTGGAAACATTATTTTCATGCATAAGGCGATACTGTGTCTGTTGGCCCATTACAAAGTCTTTGAGACTCAACTTGGACCTTTTACCCAGTAATTTCCTATTTTACTTCCAGAGTTTAGTGGCTGGCAATTCTAAGCGGTTGGAGTCTTAAAGAGTGAAGCTTAATTTGGAGAAATCACTCAAGGAAAAGTTTTCCAATGAAACTGAGACATGGCCAAGCACTGTGGCACTGATAAATAAATAGTGCTGGACGTTCCCATGTTTCTGTCCCATCCTGTACTAGCACTGGGATTGACTGGACGTTTAGATTATATGTTTGTTTTTCCATGCAGATGGATGCCTGGCGGGTTGGTCACCATGCCCAAGCTGTTTCATTTTGTGTTTATTATTTGCTCACCATTTCTGATTCCAGGGAGGACGGCATGTTGCAAGTGGCTGTCATCACTGTTTCCAGTCGTTCCCATCTCTATGAGCATTCCTTCTTATGTGATATTACAGAGCGGGCTCTTTGAGTAGAGCCTTCCATTTGCCCTCTGTCCATAGAGCCATCTTCCCAAGTCTTCATTGCATGCCCACTCCTGCCATTGCCTGATTTTCTTCCTAAATGATTTCCACTGCCATTACCTTTTTTGGTTACTCGAGACCACCCTTCAGCTCCACACACTGTCTGTCCCTGCACATTTTAGTGACCAGAGGTAGTTGAAACTCAGCATTCTTTGGAAAGAAAGCTTTGGCAAAGCTGGTGCAGCACAGCTAGAGAACTTGGATATACAATCTTTGTTGCCTCAATAGAGGGAAGTGGAGTCAGGTGGGTGAACTGTGGGGCAGGCGGGGGCATGTCAGGAACTAATAGCCTTGAAATACACTAGACATAGCAAACAACCGAGAATTCATCCTAGGTTGACACTACTTCCAAAAGGCATCATTCTATTGTTCAATTTTGACGGTGTTACGGAATCTTTTCATGAGAAACGCCTAACGACACTTTCGAAGTTATTAATGGATCCTGCCATGCTATGATAACAATGGCAGGTAGTTAAGGACTATGTGCTTCAGGTCCTGCCCTGTGCAATTTTATACACTTGCTCAGTAACAGAGGTATCATATGGGTTCTATACCATCTGATTTTATAGATGAGAAAGGTGACATATAGAGGAAGTAAAGGACCCATCCAAAACTGGGTGAGTAGGTAGTGGAGTTGAGATTTGAATCATGTCTCATTCCAATGCACTAAGGCTAGATGTCTCCAAATGAGAAAGTCAGCAGGGTCTCTCATGACAAATAGAGTCCTACTCTCTCTTAGTTTTACTTGTTTCTCTTGGAATAGCCTGTCCATCTCTTCTTTAATCCCCTTTCCAATCAAACTCCTTAAGTGCTTCTGAAAGTCTGGTTTTTATTTCTTTTTTAAAAAATTAATTTTAATTATTTTTAAGTTCTGGGGTACATGTGCAGGATGTGCAGGTTTGTTACATAGGTCAACGTGTGCCATGGTGGTTTGCTGTATCTGTTAACCCATCACCTAGGTATTAAGTCCAGCATGTACCTGGCCATGCTTTGAGATTTAAATCCATTTCCCTAATTACTAGTAAACTTGACGTTCTTTTCAAATATTAGCTATTTATATTTCTTTATTCTGAATTTCATATGCACATTATTTCCCATTTTTTTTTAAATGGGCAATCTTTTTTTTTTTCTTTTAAAAGCTCTTTATAAGAGCTCTCGATACATTCTGGATTTCAATCCTATTTCTGTCATATAGGATGGAAAAAATTTCTCCTAGATTGTTACTTGTCTCTAGCTTCCTTTGCAGAATCTTTTGTCAAACAGAAGTTTTAAATTAATTACATGAAATCAAGCAGTATTTCCCTTGATTATTTTGTTTCATGCTTCATATTTCATCATTCTAAGATTATAAAGGTATTATCCTATATTCTTCTTTAATCATTTTGAATTTTTAACGTTGAAGTTTTTAATTCATCTCCAGTTTAATTTTGTGTGTGCAATGTGAAGGATGAATCTTGTACTATTTAAAAATTTCCAAATGTATACTCAGTTGTGTCAGCCCCAGTTTTTAAAGTTAGTTCCACCAGTCTTCTCTGATTTTCTGTTTCTTAACAATTCCCTCCTGTCCTGCTCTTGCCTCAACACTTGTAAAATTACTTTAGCTGATTAACCTGTTTTCCCCAGCGTTATTATCAATGTATAGATCTTTCACCTCCTTGGTTAAATTCTACCTTAGTATTTTACCTTATAAAATGCTTTTGTAAATGAAATTGTTTTCTTAATTTCTTTTTAAGAGAGTTGTTCATGTAAAGAAATGCAACTGATTTTCGTATGTTTATTTCATATCCCGCAACTTTACTGTATTTTTTCATTAGTTCTGACAGATTTTTGGTGAAATCTTTGTGAGTGTGTGTGTGTGTGTGTATATATATATATATATATTCCTCTGCAAACAGAGACAATTTAACTTCTTTTTTTTCCAATTTGGATGCGTTTAATTTCTTTCTTTCTCTGGCATAATTTCTCTTGCTGGGATTTCTAGTATTATGCTGAATAAAAGTAGCAAGAGTGGCATCCTTATTTTGTTCCTGATTTTGGAGGGAAGGCTTTAAGCTTTTCACTGTTGAGTTTGAGGTTAGTTGTGTACTTGTCATATATGACCTTTAGTATGTGAAGGTACATTTCTTCTATACCTATATTGTTGAAAGTTTTTATCATGAAAGGATGTAGAGTTTTATGCAATGCTTTTTTCTGCCCTTGCATTTTGTTAATATGATGTATCACATTTATTGATTTGCATACATTGAACCATCCCAGGGGTAAATCCCACTTCATCATGGTTTATAATTCTTTTAATTTGCTGCAGGAATTGGTTTGCTAGGATTTTTGCATTGATGTTCATTAGAAATATTGGCCTGTAATTTTCTTTTCTTGCAGTATTCTTGTCTGGCTTTTGTATCAGGGTGGTGCTAGTCTTGTAAAAATGAGTTTAGAAGTGTTCCCTCCTCTTCAAGTTCTTGAAAAAGTGTGAGAAGGATTTATGTTAATTCTTCTTGAAATGTTAGTAGAATTCACCAGTGTAGCTAACTTATCATTGTTGAGAGGTATTTGATTACTGATTTGATCTCCCTATTTGATATTGGTCTATTGAGATTTTCTATTTCTTTATGATTCAGGCTTTGTAGGTTGTATGGATTTCTTTTTTGTCCATCTGTTTAGCCACTCCATGTCTTTTTTTTTTGAGACAGGGTCTTTGTTGCCAAGGTTGGAGTGCAGTGGCACAATGATAGCTCACTGCAGTGGCATAATGATAGCTCACTGACTGAGCCTCCCGAGTAGCTGGGACGACAGGCACTTACCAACAAGCGTGGCTACTTCCTGGAACTGAGGGTTCCTTTCCTTTTTAGACCATATAGAGTAACTTCCTGACATTGTCATGGCATTTGTAAACTGTCATCGTGCCAGTGGGAGTGACTTTAAGCATGCTAATGAATTGTAATTAGCATATAATGAGCAGTGAGGATGACCCGAGGTCACTTTCATCACCATCTTGGTTTTGGTGAGTTTTGGTTGCCTTCTGTATTGCCATCTGTTTTATCAGCAAGGTCTTTGTGACCTGTATCCTGTGCCGACCTCCTATCTCATCCTGTGACTTAGAATGCCTAACCTCCTGGGAATGCAGCCCAGTAGGTCTCAGCCTTATGTAACCAGCCCATCTACAAGACAGAGTTGCTCTGGTTCAAACGCCTCTGACATTTTTGCCTCTCCTGTTGACTTTAAATTTCCTTAAATACTCTTTCTCAGAAAGAGACTACTTCTTGTGGCTCTTTCCGTTATAATCCACTGTTATTTTACTGGAGCCCTTGGTGTGGTGGTAAGGGAGGCGAGGTGTTTGTTGACAAAAAAAAAAAAAGAAAATGCAAACTGTAAAATATTTAAAGAGGTTTATTCTGAGCCAATATGAGTGAAAGTTTACAAATTTGTGTTGGGCCACATTCAAAGCCATCCTGGGCTGTCAGTTGGCCTGGGGAACAATCTCAGGAGGTCCTCAGAAAATGTGTCCGAGGTGGTTGAGTTACAGCTTGGCTTTATATATTTTGGGGAGATAGAAATACAGGTAAAGACATAAATCAATACATGTAAGGTACACATTTGCTCAGTCTGGGAAGGTGGGATCTCTCAAATGGGTCAAAAGGGTGGTGGGGAACCAATAGGTCATAGGAGGATTTCAAACGTTTTTTGATTGATGGGTGGATTGAAAGATTTTCTGATTGGCAGTTGGTTGAAAGAGTTAAGCTAGGACTTGAAGATGGTAGAAAAAAATTCTTGAGTTCAGAAAAGGGGGATGGGTGTGGAAGTCAAAGTTCTTGTTATGTAGATGAAGCCCCCACATAGCAGACTTCAGAGAGAATAGGTGGTAAATGTCTCCTTTTGGACTTTAAAGGTGTCAGACTCTTAGGTAATTTCTCCTAGATTTAGGAAAGGCCTGGCTGCATTAATAGAGATTCTCTACAAATGCAAATTTTCTCCCATAAAGATGGCTTTGCAGGGCCATTTCAAAATATGTCAAAGAAATATGTTTTAGAGTAAAATATTTTGATTTCCTTCAGAGTTTGCTATCTGTTATGTGATGCTATACCAGAGTCAGATTGGAATTTGGTATCTTATTGGCAAGGAGTCTGTTTTGTCAGTCTTATAATCACTATTTTAATGTTAGTGCTGGTCAGTTGTGACTAAACTCCGAAAGGCAAGAGGAGTGTAACAAGTTATGTCTGACCTCCCTTCCCATAATGTCTTGGAATTTAGTTTTTCAGGTTACTCTGGGCTGCTCTTCACCAAGGGGCTGTGTGTGTTTGTGTGTGTATGTTTAGTCGTTTGTGGGGGCTTAGTATTTTATTTTTGGTTTTCACTTTCTTTAATCTTATAGTTAAGTTTCAGTCCTTTAGTGGGCTTGACTGCCTGGGCTGAGAGCTTAGTAGTGTTTTTTTAAACTTTCTTCCCTCCCTTAGGTGGGACAGAAAGGATAGAGGGGCCTGGAATGAGAGAATGCCCTTTCCCCAGCTGGATAAGGCTCTGGTAAAGTCTTATTCCCTGGAGAGTAGCCCTTTGTTATGGAGAATGCTCTGGGCATACCTGGGTGTTTTCCACCCTGGATAGGTCTGTTCTCTCCAATTCCCCACCAGAGCCACAAGGGACCTTCCTCTGCTTTTCACGGGGAAAAGCTAGTAGAGTTTCTGGACGTAAAGCTGACTAAATTGTGGTGGATGCCCTGTGGTATAATAAAAATATAAATATTTGGTCTGTGTTTTGGCACAGAACTCCTAAAACCTTTGGAATTTACTGTCTTTTGTATGCTAATGAGATTACTCCAGGCAGGGGGCTCCTAGATAGCTTCAAGACTGGGGTCACCAGAAAGATTAAGCTATGATTAGGAGGCTGAACTTTCATCCCCACCCTCCAACCTTCAGGGAGGGGAAAGGGGCTGGGAGACTGAGTTCAGTCACTAGTGGACAATGATTTCATCAGTTATGCCTGCATTAAGAAACCTGCATAACAAAATCCCTAAATGATAGTGGGGTTTGGGGAGCTTTTGGGTTGGTGACATATTAATGTGCCAGGAGAATGCTATGTCCAGAGAGGACATGGAAGCTTTACACCAGCGGTGTCCAATCTTTTGACTTCCTGGGCCACAATGGAAGAAGAAGAATTGTCTTGGGCCATACATAAAATACACTAACACTAACAACAGATAATGAGCTAAAAAAAATCACACAAAGAAATCTCAAAATGTTTTAAGAATGTTTATGAATTTGTGTTGGGCTGCATTCAAAGCAGTCCTGAACCATGGGTTGGACAAGCTTGCTCTATGCCATCTTTCAACCCCCATGCCTTACCTAATGCTACTCTTCCATTTGGCTATTCCTGAGTCGTATTCTTTAAAATAAACTAGTAATATTAAGTAAAGTGCCTTCCTGAGTTCTGTGAGCCATTCTAGCTAGCAAATGATCAAGCCTGAGGGGTGGTCATGGGAACTCCTGAATTCATAGTTGGGTGGGCAGGAATGTGGGTAAACTTGACACCACATTTGCAGCCAGCATCCGAAGTAGGACACAGTTTTGTTGGACTTGACCTGTTGGGTCTGTGCTTTGAGTAGTTGGTGTCAGAATTGAATTGTGTTGTTAAACACCCAGTTGATGTCAGAGAATCAGAGACTCCCTAAGTCTGGGGGCCTTAGGAGTTGCTCACTCTCATGTTAGTCCACAGTAGTTCTTCTTTTAAATGATAATTTGTCAGAATTACCATTTAAGTGTTCCTATCAGTGTATGCCTCCAGGAGCTTCTTCTCCAGGTGGGTAGATCTTGACTCTTAACTCTCTGGATTCATCAACTGTCTCTCCTAATTATAAGGTGGCAGTTTGCCTTGTGGCTTCAGCTCTCTGAAGGATCTAAGAAAAGACATTGATTATCAGTTTGTTCAACTTTTCTGTTGTTGGAAGGATGGGAGTGATGGGTTGTCTAAGGTCTTTACATGCTGTAACTGAAACCTTACATTGTTTGAATGAGCCCTATGTGGTCATGATATATTTTTCTTTTATACACTTCTGCGTATGATTGGCTTATAGTTTGCTTCTGTGTCCCTAAGTGAGACGAGGCTGTAGTTTTTTACTGGGGTGTTTATCGTGTTTGTACAGGGATTCACAGAAAGAACTGAGACGCTTTCTAGCTTTTTAGTTTTAGGGCTTTCTATTGTGTCTTAAAGGTTTGACAGGACTATCTGTCAAATGCCTGGGTTGGTATCATTTTTTTAATTTACGCCTTGTTGGTATTTTTACTTTTTACACTTATGAATACATATAACACACACATATACGTGCATACTCAAACATACACATATATAATTCTACATAGAAGTACTCATAGCGTGAAAGCATTTTGTCCTGGAATCCTTAATTTGTCATAGATTCCTTAATTTACATGAATTTCTTTCTCTTTCTTTCTTTCTTTTTCTTTCTTCCTTCCTTCCTTCCTTCCTTTCTTTCTTTCTTTCTTTCTTTCTTTCTTTCTTTCTTTCTTTCTTTCTTTCTCTTTTCTGTCTTTCTTTTTCTTCCTTCTTTTCTTTCTGTCTTTTTCTTTCTTTCCTCTTTCTCTTTCTTCTTTCTCTTTCTTTCTTTCGTTCTTTTTCTCTCTCTCGCTTTTTTCTTTCTCTGTTTCATTCCTTCTTTCTTTTTTGCTAAACTCTTTCCTTCATGTTCCCTTCCAACTCATTCCCCAAACTCCACTTTATAATCAATGCTTACAGGTCAGTGTTACTTTCTGCAGCCTTCTCTACACTTATAAAATTATACAAACTTGCATGCACATATATAATTTCACACACACATCTTTCACTCGTTCATAGAAATATTTATTCTGATTATTATTTTGTAAAAATCAGAATACACATGCATGTACTCTGCTGTGTCCTGCTTTTCTTATTATCAATACATTCTGTAAATTGTTTCAAATTAGCTGATAAAGATCTAGCTCACTTTTCAAAGGTGTAATTTTCTGTGGTAGGGCATTCACTTTGTCTCCTCCTTAATTTTTCTTTTACAAATGATTCTGCATTAACAAAGTTAACACATATCCTATGGTACTGGTCCTTTTATTTCTATTTGATAAACTCCGAAGAGTGGGATTTCTGAGTTGCAATGTATGCTTTTTTTTAATTTTAGTAGCTATTTCCAAATTGCTTTCACTGATACTTCATTTTGAGTAGGTTTTTGACAGCATTTCCAATATTTTCAATGGTTATTTGTCTACTCATGCTTTCTACCTCTTCTTGAGTCAATTTCAGTAAGTTATATTTTCTCAGGAAGTCATTCACTTGGAATGGATTTTCAAAATTAGTGGTATAAATTTTACATAGAGTTCTTTTATAATTTTAAAAATTTTCCCCCATCTCTGTGGAGCTCTGAACACTTTGTATGTGTCCTTCCTTTTTTTATCTGGTTTCTCTGAGTGTAATTTCCCAATTCTTTAACTCGAGAATACACCAGAAACCTGCAACTTTTTGTCTTTCTTTAGTTTGGGTTTGGAACTCAAACCTACTCTTTCCTCTGCAGCAGTCATTTCCTGTAATGTGGGGGTTACTCCAACATCCCTCCCACCCCACACGTCCTTGGGTTTTTATGAATTTATTATTTAAAAGTGCTTTTTTGGTAATTTCTTGGAATTTTGGAGGGAGAAAGCAGACACTTGTTCTAAAAATCACATATGAATTCAGTCCTCTCTGTATTTCTAATGGACTAGCATTTTTAAGAAAAGGTATGTTTGGCAAGACAGAAAATAAAAATACAATGAGCTTCTTGGAAAATTTCTGAAGCAGACAGCAGCAAACGGAAATTAAATGAGCACACACTACATCAGGCTATTTCACACATATTATCTTATTTAATTCTCATAGCTGTACTATGAGTTTACTATAGCATCATGCCATCAGCTATAGCTGAGCAAACCAAGGCACTGAGAGGTAAGTAATTCACCTAATAAGTGCAGGGCCAGAACTTAAAATCAGTTTTCTTGATGTGCCCTACAACATATGTGCTTTCCTGTAGACAGCTAAGTTATTTTATTTATCCAGTAACATTTCATCAACCTGTGAAATAACAAGACTAAATTACATAGTCTGTGCTGAGAATATCTGCCCTCATGGCTGCCCGTAGTATTTTGAGCATCCTGTCTTGATAGTATTCCATGGTATAAATCTTGCCTTATCTGGATAGAATTAAAAAGAAAAAGCAAAAACAAACAAGCACAAAACAGGGTCAAAGACCTTAAAAGACACCTCACCAAAGAAAATATACAGATGGCCAATAAGTGGATGGAACAGATGTTCCCCATCATATGTCATTCAGGAATCTGGGAAATGCAGATTAAAACAATGAGATATCACTACACACCTATTAGCAGGGGTCCCTGACTCCCAGGCCATGGACCAGTAGGAGTCTGTGGCCTGTTAGGATCCAGCCGCACAGTGGAAGGTGAGTGGCAGATAAGGGAGATTTACCACCTGAGCTTCACCTCCTGTCAGATCAGCAGCGACATTAGATTCTCATAGGAGCACAGACCCTATTGTGTGTGAACTGTGCATGCGAGGGATCTAGGTTGTGAGCTCCTTATGAGAATCTAATTGACCTGAGGTGGAACAGTTTCATCCCGAAACCATCCTCCTACCCCATTCCTGGAAAAATTGTCTTTCACGAAACCAATCCCTGGTGCCAAAAAGGGTTGAGACCCCTGCTATTAGAATGACCAAAATCCAAAACACTGACAACACCAAATGCTGGTGAGGATGTGGAGCAATAGGAACTCTCATTCATTGCTGGTGGGAATGCAAATAGTACAGCCACTTTGGAAGACAGTTTGGCAGTTTCTTATAAAACTAAATATACTCTTACCATATGATGCAGCCATCATGCTCCTTGGTATTTACCCGAAGGAGAAGAAAACTTATGTCCACACAAAAACCTGCACATGAGTGTTTATAACAGCTTTATTCATAGTTGCCAAAGCTTGGAAGCAACCAGTATGCCCTTCAGTAGTTTTGGATACACAGTTTATGGATACATAAACTGTGGTACATCCAGAGAATGGACTATTATTCAGTGCTGAAAAGAAACAAGCCATTGAGCCATGAAAAGATATGAAGGAACCTTAAATGCATATTACTAAGTGAAGGAAGCCTATCTAAGGCTACATACTCTGTGATCTGACTGCATGACATTCTGGATATGGCAAAACTATAGAGATAGTAAAATGATCAGTGGTGGCCAAGGTCTGGGGATAGGGAGGGTTGAATAGGTGGAGCACAGGGTATTTTTAGGGCCATGAAATTACTCTGTATGATACTACGATGGTGGATACATGGCATTATAAATTTGCCCAGACCCGTAGGACATACAACACCAAGAATGAACTCCAATGTAAACTATGGACTTTGGGTGATAACGATGTGTCAGTGTAGGTTTATCCATTATAATAAATGCACCATGCTGCTGGGGGATGCTGATAATGAGGGAGGCTGTATGTGGAGGGGGACGGGGAGGATATGGGAAATCCCTGTTCCTTCCTCTTAATTTTGCTGTGAACCTAAAACTCCTATAAAGAAAAGTAAAGTCTTAAAAACAAACAAATACACAGCAACAATCTTATTTTCCCCAGCCTGTCTTATGTTAGGGTGCAGATGTGATTTCTGTGTGGCTAATCAGATGCCCTTGTGTGAGAGACTGATTTGAACAGAGGCAGGGGCATCCATCTTCCTAGTGTCAGTCACAGCAGAAGCAGTGAGGTCCTGGTGTCTGTCGCTGCAGTGGTGGCTTTTGATACAGGAGTTCCCTGATGGCAGTAGCTTCTTTGTGGGTTCAGTTCTGTTGTGTGGTTCTGCAAGTTCAGCTTAGAGTCTGTTTCTTCAGCTGTTTCAATGACCCTCTGAGCTGTCTACCATGAAAAATTCTATCCTGCTTACACTAATTAGAGCCAATCCTGTTATTTACAAATGAATATCCTGACCAGTAATGAAGGTCTAGACTTAACTGTAATATTTTATGACTTAAATCGTTGGCATATGTGAAAACTTTTTGTTTATTCTAAACTTTTTTGTTGTTGTTGTAAAATAAAACATTTATGAAAAGCGCACCAAAAAGGATAACAAATGAGAGTAATGCAACATACAGGCACCAGCAACTCAGGCCAGGGAGATGATATATGAGCATCCCCAATCTCCCCTTTACACTCCCTCAAATAACTCAATCAAGACCACAGTTCCTTCCCTTTCTCTCAGGAAAAACAAAAACCATCTAAACTTATTGTAATATATTTCCTGCTTTTCTTTGTAATTTTACCACTTATCCTCCCTTAACAGTAGGGCTTAGTTTTGTTAGTTTTTGAAATTTACATGAGCAAAGTTATACTGTAACTTTATGCATGATTTTATGTCTTGCTCATTTCACTCAACGTTGTGTTTGTAAGCATCACTAATTTTTGGGCATAGCTATAGTTTGTTCATTTTCCATGTCATGTAGCAGCAGTCCCCAACCATTTTGGCACTAGGGATGGGTTTCTCTTGTGGAAGACAGTTTTTCCATGGATGGAATGGGGTAGGGGAAGGTGGTTCCAGAATAAAACTGTTCCGTTCCACCTCAAATCATCAGGCTTTAGATTCTCATAAGGAGCACACAACCTAGATCCCTTGTATGCACAGTTGATTCTCCTATGAGAATTTTATTTATTTACATATTTATTTATTTATTTATTTATTTATTTATTTATTTATTTATTTTTAAGACAGAGCCTCACTCTGTTGCCCAGGCTAGAGTGCAGTGATGCCATCTCAGCTCACTGCATCCTCCACCTCTCAGGTTCAAGCTATTCTCCAGCCTCAGCCTCCTGAGTAACTGGGATTACAGGCACATGCCTCCATGCCTGGCTAATTTTTGTAGTTTTAGTAGAAACGGGGTTTCACTATATAGCCCAGGCTGGTCTCGAACTCTTGACCTCAAGTGATCCACCTGCCTGGGTCTCCCAAAGTGTTGGGATTACAGGCGTGAGCCACCTCACCCAGCCTTCCTATGAGAATGTAATGCCGATGCTGATATGACAGGAGACGGAGCCCAGGCCAGTAATGCTCGCTCGTGCTCACTTCCTGCTGTGTGGCGAGGTCCCTAACAGTCTGCAAACAGTTATTGGTCCCTGGCCTGAGGGTTGGGAACCCCTGTCGTACAGTAAGTATTCCGCTATTTAACGATACCGTTTAGTACTTACAGACATTTGCATTATTTCCAGTTTATGACAATTATGAGTGATGTAGCTATGAATATTCTTGTACCTTTATTTGGTGCATGTGCACATGACTTTCTCTCTTACAGAAGTGAAAATGTCGCATCATTGGTTATTTGTATCTTGAACTTCAATGAATAATGCTACTCTTTGCTTTACAAAGTGTTTCCCCCAGTTTTAGCCCCACCCACTGTGTCTGAGCATTCCTATTGCCTCCTATTCTTGAATATTTTTGATTTTAGGATTTTTCATCTTTGTCAAATATGTGTAGTGTGGGCTTATTATGTCTTTGATTTGCATTTCCCTCATTAGTAATGGGATTAGGCATTTCATTTGGCTATTTGGATTTCTTCTTTCGGTTGTATGATCCAGTAGTTAACTCATTTTTCTATCCTCTAACCTATTTTCTAATTGATTTGCATATCTTGGAATCCTTTGTTAGTTTTATATGAAGTTTTTTTTCTGCCTCCAGGGTTCAAGCAATTTTCCTGCCTCAGCCTCCCGAGTAGCCAGGACTACAGGGGTGCACCACCATGCCCGGCTAATTTTTCTATTTTAAGTAGAGCGGGGTTTCACCATGTTGGCCAGGATGATCTCAATCTCTTGACCTCCTGATCTGCCCGCTTCAGCCTCCCAAAGTGCTGAGATTACAGGCATGAGCCACTGTGCCTGGCCGTGTTTGAAGTCTTATGTGTTCTACTCTGTGGCTTGACTTTTCTCTCTCTTCATGATGTTTTATGATAAATAGAACAATTTAAGTGTGATCACATTTACTATACTTTTATAAGTAGAGCTTCTTGGGTCTTGTGTATTATTTCTGTCTCCACTATGAAGGCATGAAGGTATTCTACGTAATCCTCTAAAAGCCTTATAGTTTTGACTAATTAAATTAAAGAAATACTCTATCTTGCTTGAAGAGATCAGGACACTTATTAGAAATGTGTTGTTTTGATTTTATAGACAGGTGTTATGTGTTGTGTGTGTGTATGTTTTAATATTTAATCTGGATAGTTATAGATTTCAACATTTATTTCCTTTAATGTCAACTGAACAAAGAAACTTTGTGTAAAATTCCTTTCTAATCCTTGAACATCGTGCTACTCAAGAAGTCCAGTGTTTGGGTGGCTGCTTAGTCCGCCAGGGATGCCAATAACAAAATATCACAGACTGGATGGTTTAAACAAAAGAAATTAATGTTCTTACATTTCTGGAGGCTGGAAGTCCAAGATCAAGGTGTCGGCAGGTTTGGTTGGTTTATTGTGTGGCCTCTCTCCTTAAGGTGCAGAGAGCCACCTTCCTGCTGCCTGCCGCCTCTTCGCCTCTTCGCGTGGGCATCCTCTGTGCACACGCCCTCTTCTCTCTGTGTGTGTGTCCTGATCTCCTCTTCCTAAAGGGACACCACTCAGGCTGGGCTAGGGCCCACCCTAATGGCTCATATCAACCTCTTCTCTCTTTTCTCCCAGCTTTATTAAGGAAAAATTAACAAATAAAAATTGCATGTATTTACGGTGTGCAACATGATGTCTTGATATGCGTATGCAATGTGAAATTATTAAATCAAGTTAGTTAACACATCCATCACCTTAGATACTTATGTTTTGTGGTCAGAACATTTAAGATCTATACTTTTAACAACTTTTAAGTGTGCAAAGCATCATTATTATTAGGTTGGTGCAAAAGTAATTGTGTTTTTTTTTGCCATTTAAAAGTAGTGACCAAACAGAAATTATTTTTGCACCAACCTTAACTACTATAGTTATCATGCTGTGCATTAGATCTCCAGAACTGGTTCATCCTGCATAGCTGACACTTGGTCCCCTTTAACCAACTGTCTCCTCATTCCCCCTCCCACTCCCTTTCCCCTGGGAACTGCCACTCTACTCTCCTCTTCTATGGGTTCCACATTGTAAAATTCCACATATAAGGGAGGCCATGAAGTATTTGTCTTTCTGTGCCTGACATAGTTCACGTAATATTTTCCAGGTTCATGCATGTCATCTCAAGTAACAGAGTTTCCTTCTTGTTTGTGGCTGAATAATATTCCATTGTGTATATATATATTTATTGTGTGTGTGTATACATATATTTGTTGTATACATATTCCATTGTATATATATTTATAAATAAAATCCTGCATTTTGTGTGTATATATGCAATCCTGAATATATATATACAATGGAATATATATATATAGAATATATATACACACACACAATGGAATATTATATATATACACACACATATATATATACATATATACACACATACTCACACACACATACACACTCACACACACAAACACACATATGTGTATACACCACATTTCCTTTGCCCATTCTTCCATCAGTGGACACTTAGGCTGATTTCATATCTTGGCTATTGGAACAATGCTGGTATGAGCATGAGAATGCAAATATGTCTTTAACACAGATTTCATTTCCTTTGGATATATGCCCAGAAGTGAGATTGCTGGATCAAATGATAGTTGTATTTTTTATTTTGTTGAGGAACTGTTTTCTATACTTTTTTCCATAATGGCTGTACCAATTTACATTCACAGCAACAATGCACAGGGTTCCCTTTTCTTCAGATCCTCACCAACACTTGATATATTTTACCTTTTTGGTAATAGTAGCCACTCTGACAGGTGTGAGGTGGTATTTCATTGTGGTTTTTATTTGCACTTCTCTCTTCTCTGATGATTAGTGATGTTGAACACTTTTTCATGTAACTGTTGGCCATTCGTATGTCTTCTTTTAAGAAATGTCTCTTCAGGTCCTTTGCCCATTTTAAAAATCAGGTTGTTTTCCTACTGTCGAGCTGTTAGAACAGAGCTAGAGGCATCACACTACCTGATTTAAAAACATACCACAAAGCTAGAGTAATCAAATCTGCATGGTACTGGGCATAGAAACAGACATATAGACCAATGAAACATAATAGAAAAATCAGAAGTAAATCAATCAATTTATGGCTAGTTGATCCTTGACAAAGTTGCCAAGACCATGCAATAGGGAAAGGACAGCCTCTTCATTGCATAATGTTGGGAAAACTGGATACCCACATAGAGAAGGATGAAATCAAACCCTTAGCTGACACCATAGGCAAAAATCAACTCAAAAGGGATTAAAGACTTAAATGTAAGACCCAAAAGTCTAAAGCCACTAGAAAAAAACAGAAGAAAAGTTTCTCAACATTTCTATGGGCAAATTTTTTTAAAAATATAACCCCAAAAGCATAAGCAACAAAACCAAAAATAGACAAATGAAATTGCATCCAACTAAAAGTCTTCTGCACAGCCAAGAAAATAGTCAACAGTGAGGAAACAACCTTTGGAATGAGAGAAGCTATTTGCAAACTATCCATTTGTAATCTATCCATTTGCAAAATATTCAAACTGTATAAAACTCAATTCCTTAACTACCTCTTATAGGTTCTGTCTACAAATACAGTCACACTCTGCAGTGGGGGCTTCAATATGTGAATTCCAGGGGTCTACAATTCAGCCTATAATAGAGACTAATGACCCAGACTTCATATGTGTCATGTGTTAGTGTGAGTTCACTTGTACTTCTAAGTAATGTACAGATCTGATTGAAGGATTAGAGACAGATCTTTTGCTTAGAGAGTTTATTCTTCTCTATTAAAAACAGCATTTATTGCAGCACTATTCACAATAGGAAAGACTTGGAACCAACCCAAAAGCCCATCAATGATAGACTGGATAAAGAAAATGTGGTACATATACACTATGGAATACTATGCAGCCATAAAAAAGGATGAGTTCATGTCCTTTGCAGGGACATGGATGAAGCTGGAAGCCATCATTCTCAGCAAACTAACACAGGAACAGAAAACCAAACACAGCATGTTCTCACTCATAAGTGGGAGTTGAACAATGAGAACACATGGACACAAGGAGGGGAATATCACACACACGGTCTGTCATGGAGGTTGGGGGCAACAGGAGAGAGAGCATTAAGAAAAACACCTAATGCATGAGGGGCTTAAAACCTAGATGACGGGTTGATAGGTGCAGCAAACCACCATGGCACATGTATACCTAGGAAACAAGCCTGCACATTCTGCACATGCATCCCAGAACTTAAAGTAAAATAAATTAAAAAACAGAAACATTTGCCTATTTTTTAAAAAGACAGCACTTATTACTGAGGAATCAGTAAGGTTTATTCTTCCATGTACTGGGAACTTGCAGCGGAATGGTTACAGTCAGAATCTCTATTTCACGGGCCTCTCCAAGTCTTATATTCACTACTTTGTGAGTAGTTAGGGAATCCTGGAAGACCCACCCAATTCACATAAAGGAAGGGTGGGCCTGAATCTTATCAGACCATAGAAATAATATCCAACTTAGGCCATCTTTTACTTTGATAGAATTAAAACAACTTCAAAATAAAATCTATGCTTAAAATCCTATCGTCTATTGAGTTTAAAGACCTGTCAGAGCCTAAACCTTATGTCCACCCCAGATCCAGGGCTGGTTTACAGAGAGCAATAGCACTCTCTTTAGGAAATTCCCCAAAGGCTTAAGGAGAATTCAGAAAGGATGATCTCTGGAGAGGGACTGGCAGGAGGAGGGTGATGAGGAAGTTAAAACCCCGCTGATAGGAGCAGCAAATGTAGCCATTTCTCCTGTGTTGTTGAGCTGGAAGGGGAGAAATTAGGTCAACTCTTAGATTTGAAACTCTCCCTAAGAGGAGGGACTGCTGTCCCTAGAGTGGTCCATGTGCGGCTTTAGAATCCCGTGCTAGTAAGACTGATTTCCTTTACCAAATTCCTGCTGCAATGCCATCCATCTGTTTTAAAGTTGTATATCCTTTATCTTAGCCTTCAATAAACAGTCACACACACGCACGCACACACACATGCACACACACACACAATTGCTCAATACATACAAGGCTAGTGAGGTATTTTCTGTGTAGGTTTTAATTCTTGGGACTCGGCTAGTATCTCTTAATAGCTTCAGGGCTTGGCACATATTGGGTGCTCAAAAAATGATGCAGGTTGAAGGAATATTGACATCATTTATAGTCAAGAGTTACTAAATTAATGGGATTCTAGCTAAGAATATTGGGAGTGAAGCTGAAAGCACTGAGTGGATCTCATGTAGGTTAGTCTTCATCGGGCCTCAGTTTACCCAGTTGTGAAATATACACACACACAGATACACAGGTAGATAAAGAGATCGATAGATACTAGGTAGGAAGATAGACAGATAGAGACAGGCAGACAGGCAGGTGGTAGGTATTATGTAAGTATGGGTAGGTAGACTAGATATGTATGTTTCTCCTTCAGAGTGTTCTTTTAAGGCAGTAAGAAAATAAGGCAATAAAGGCCCTAGGATAATGCACGTCAGACGCACATGTGTTTGCTCAATCTGAATCTGCCCGCCTTGCTTGTCTTGTTTCTTCTGCTGCATCTCCTTCTTCTGCCTGCCTCCCACCTGAAGGAAGTGAGGTGCTGCCAGGATGGGAACAGCCAGGACCCAGCCACTTTCTCTGGAATCCTGTGAAGGGAATGAACAGACTTAGAACTTTGGCGGCTGCAGCGACTTCTATGCCAAAAAGCTGCTTTTTAAAAAAAAGCATTGAAGATTCATTGTAAGATACTAAATCCGGATGCAACAGCAGGCATCACAACCTGCTTCTCTCTCTTCCCCCTTCCCCCTTCCCTCTGTAGGAGTCCCCGGTCCTGACAACAGATGTCCCTTCCATCAGCCTGCAGCAGACGCCCAGTAGCACCTTGACACAGAGCAACAGCCTGCTAGATTTCAGGGTCATCTTAAAAGAAAAAGAAATGCAACCACTGTTTAAATTGGAGAAGAAAATATTGTGTAAACAGAGACCATTTGGTGAGACCTCCCTTTGCAAAGGTTCACCATGCAAGCAAACAGAAGAGAAACCTTGTGTTCCCTCCAGCAGCTAAACTCCTTGTGAGTAATTTTTTAAGGAGCAAATGTAATTCGGACTGTCAACTAACCTAAAAACTGGTTAGGAATCAAGAGAAACAGATTGCCCTCGTTAACCTGTAGTCATTGCTGAATCCCTGCTGCGTTCCTCACAGGGAAAGTGGGGCTGAAATGGTTAATAAACACGGCATCTTCTCTGTAAGAGAAAACCAGATTAAAAGATTTCTAGGTAGGGAGGTTCCCTGGTAGGATGATGCTTCTAGGGTTTCTTTGTCTGTGTCACAGCCATTAAAAATCCCTGTAGCATTTAAGTGCTTGTGTATATGTGTGTCTGTGTGCATGTGTGTGTACCGTGTGTGTGCCTATGCATTTACCTTTTCTGCCCTACCTTTGGAATCTTGATTTTGTTAAATGGTATTTAATGTAAGAATGATAGCAGTAATTACCAAAGGATCCTGGGGTACCAGGAAGGAGCTCAATGAGAAATGGTTTCAGAGGCAGCCATCTGCTACTCGGGAGTGGGAGGGGTTGGCATCCAAGTCATAGCCTCAGGGACCAGGCTGGCGATTTGCTCTCCGTGGAGAAACAGCATTGGTGGTGTGGGTTCACAGCTTCCCCTAGAGGAAGAGAGAGTCTGGAAAGTCTGTTAAATAATATCACTTTCTCCGCAAGCAAAGGACAGGTTGTGACGACTTTCCCCATGTAGGGAGTGGGAATGGTCAAAGAGGGTTCAGGGGCTTAGGAAGCAGACTGGTGCTGAAGGAAGACCCCTCAGGTTCAGATCCAAGTTTTGCCACATGTAAACATTGTAGCTTTGGGCATGTTATTTGACCTCTTTTTGATTTTTTTTCGAATGCAAACTAGGTGAATACTGTGTACAAGTCTCACAAGTAGTGCAGGGAGGGATCAGGAGTTCAGTTGCTTACCCCAGTCTAGTTGTGGGAGCTTGGACAGACATCAAATGTCTGCAAAACCCACCATTCAGCCACAGAGGGAGAGGCAGCACTGCTGACATTTATTGAGTCATCATCTGTTCCAAGCCTAGTATCAATTCATATGATCCTCCCAGAAACTCTATCAGTAGGTGGTGATATTAACCAGATGGGAAAAGTAAGACACAGAATAACTTATCCCTGGGAGTAGTTGGCATTTATTAAATTATGGACTCTGTGCTAGGGCATTTACATGTGTTGTTTAGGTCTTAGAACACCTCTGTTGCTATCCTACTATAACCATATTGTTATCTTAGTTTTAGAGATGAAGAAAATAAGGCTCAGAGAGGTTAAGTAACTTGGCCAAGATGCACAGGACCAGGGATCAGATCTGAAGCTTCAGGTCATCCTGGAGTGTTCATCTCTATCTCTGAGATATTCACAGGTTGAAGTCATAGGACACCGAACCTTCTGTTGTCTCACTCAGCGCCATCATTCATCCACTTATGCATCCATTCCTCCATCCATCTGTCCATCTATCCACCCTTCATTCATCCACCCATTCATCTACTCATCCATCCATCTATCCATCATTTGCCCATCCATCCATCCACCCATCCATCCATCCATCCAACCATCCATCCATCCATCCATCTATCCCCTATCTATCCATCCATATATCCCCTTTCTAGGTGCTGTGGATACAACAGTGAATAAAACAAATAAAATTACCTGCTGTCTTGGAACTTATAGTTAAGGATGGATGGACAATACCTAAGATAAAATAAGTAAAATGTCAACTATGTTACACAGTCAGGAGTGTTAGGGAGTAAAAAAAAAGCTCCCTCACTAAGAAGTGACATCTGCATAAAGATTTAAGAGGCCAGGGAGTGAATCAAATAGTTGTCCTTAGGAAAAACTGTATAGACAGAAGGAACAGCAAATGGGAAGTCCCTGAGATGGAAGCTTCAGAAGAGAAAAGTAGCTAATGTAGACATAGTGAAATGAGCAAGTGGCAGGGTGTCAGGTGGGAGCATGTCTTTTGGACCATTGTGAGACTTTTTAGTCCGAGATGGAAAGGTATTCGAAGACATTAAGTAGAGATGTTACATCATCTGACTTGGTTTTAATAGGATCGCTTAGTTTTAACCAAGCAAATTGAAGAGAAACTGGTACAGAAACAGGGATACCAGTAGGAAACTCTTGCAATAGTTCAGGCAAGAGAGGATGATGGCCCAAGGACCAAGATGGTAGTGGTGTAGGTGGGAAGGAGTGCTGAGATTCCAGATGTATTTTAAGGTAGAGGAAAACAGGATGTACGGCACATGAGAGAGATGATGCCTGTTCCAATCTATCCTGATCCACAAAGAAAGGAGACAAATGCTCTAGATCTTGGACTCTAGTTGTTTAATAGGATATTCCCTGGAGTAGCAATAAGCAGAGGAAATCAAATCACATGGGTAGAATACATTGGGTAGAATACATTGCCCAAGAGTATGTTAGTTTGGATCTTCCAAGATGCAGAAGCAGATGACAATACAGGATGAGACATACAAGAGTTTTTGGAGGAAAGCCTGTGAAGGAAAAAGGCAGCGGGGTGATGGAGGTGGCAGGGACAGTCTTCAAGTTGCAACACAGGTCTGACACCTGCAAGAGAGAGGGCAAAGGAAGGCAGGTTTTGTAGGAAGGGTTGCAGACACAATTCTAAAAAAGGTTTTGCCAGGCCAGTGGAGAGTCCTTAAGCCAGAGCTGCCCATCATTATTCTTCTAGGTGCAGCAGATCTGAGAGGCATATTTTTGTGGTTGCCACAGAGAAGGTGCACAAGGTCTAAATCAGAGAAGGCAAATCAACATTGGTGTGGAAAAATTACAGCCACATGTCAGGAGTTTGATAGATTCAGGAGAGAGGTTGGATGACAGGAGCAAGGAAGGATAATAAAAAATAATAACATATATAGTGCTTATGATGGTGAACCCGGTACTTGTACGTATGTGTATTACCTTATTTAATCCTTACAATAACCTTATAAAGTAGCAACTATTATTTGTCACATTTTTCAAAAAAAGAAAACTGAAGTACAGAGAGATTAATTAACACAAATAATAACTCCTGGATTCAGACTCAGGCAGTGGACCTCCAGAACCTGTCCCCTCACACATTATGTTAACAGCTCAGGTAGCTATCTTTCTATCTTACTGGGTACTCTCAAGCAGTGCATGGGTGGATTTTTTGGGTAAAGGTCCTGGATCAGGCTAGACAATTGTCAGAATGCCATTTTCTACTGAAAACTCTTCACCGGCAACATGAAGACAAGATGATTTTTCACTCTACTGTATGGGAACAAGAATATGAGGCTGTAGTCCCTATCTTTGAGGGGCTCAAAGTGTAATGGTGATGGAGGGTAGTGGCTGGGTATAGGTCCAGTTTGCCCTAACCTAATTCCAGCTCCTGATACAACCACTTAGCCATGTAGGGGGAGGACCCCTATCTTACCTTCCACTTTGTTTGCGGGACTTTCCCATATTGGTGCTAAATCAATGTCTGCTGAATAAATTATTTAAAAAGTGACTGAATAAATAGGTGCATGCAAGCTGTCTCTCAAATCCCAGAGCGTGGTCAGCTTATGTGCTTATACTGATGAGAAGTGGTTTTGCTGAAATTATCCCTCCACCTTAAGGGCTACTGACAGAAAGAAATGGCTTTGTCACACCAGTGTGTTCACTTAGTCTGCTGGAGTGGTTGTGGCTACTCGTGATTCTCTGTTTTTTTCAGAGCATAACACACCACCCTGAACTTCGTGGCTTATAATGATAACCATTTTATAATTTTGCATGATTCTGTGCTGGTTGGGTGGTTCTTCTGTTTGTGGGCAGACTCAGCTGATCTCTGCAGTCAGCTGCCAAGGAGCAGGGGCTTCTGTTCTAGGATGGTCCCATTCATGTTTGGCAGTTAGATCAGTGTCACCTGAGGTAGTAAGCAGAGCTCGCCCATGTGTCTCTCAGTGTCTAGCAGGCTTCATTAGCCTGAGTGTTCACAACAGTGGCTGTAAGTTTCCCAAGGCAACAAAAGAGCTAGCCCTAAAATGCAAGCACTTTTCAGCTTCTGCTGGATTCACATTGCTCATGCACCATCGACCAAAGCAAGTCACATAGACAAGGCTAGATTCAAAGAGTAGATGAATAAAATCTACCACTTGATGGGAAGAACTACAAAAGCATATGTTAAAGGATGCATCTATAAGAGTAAGAGACATTGTGGTCATTTCTGCAACATACTACAAGCTTCTCTGTGGGTCTAGCTATTTCAAGGAGTTTTGTTTTGTTTTGTTTTGTTTTGTTTCGTTTTGCCAGAAATATCTCCTGTGGCTGGGCACTCTTTCTCATCTTTCTCATGTAATCTCAGTTGAAGTCTCTGGCTTTGCCCACTTCTGCCCTGATGTTCCTATTTCATCCAGTTCTTAAATATGTTGACATTGGCTCAGAATGCACTGGCTGTGCACCTAGATTTGGCTTTTGTGGAGTTCTAACTGTTCCCATGTAGACCATTGCTTCAGCTTTCTTTCTTTCTTTCTTCCATCTGTCCATCCACCCATCACCCACACACACATTCACCCACCCATCTATCCATCCACCTACTCATTAGGCCATCTGTCCATCCATCCACCTATCCATCCAGCTAGCAAGCCATCCATCCATCCATTTGTCCATTCATCCATCCATCCATCCATCCATCCATCCATCCATCCATCCATCCTTCCTTCCTTCCTTTCATCCATCTATCCATCCATCCACCTAGCAAGCCATCCAGTCATCCATCCATCCATCCATCCATCCATCCATCCATCCACCCATCCATCCATTAATCCATCCATCCATCCACCCATCCATTTACCCACCCATCCATCTATCTCTCTATCTATCTATCTATCTATCTATCTATCTATCTATCTATCTGTCTATCTATCTATCTTTCTCTATCTATCTGTCTATACATCCATCCACCCATTTGTCCATCCATCCATTCATCCATCCATCCATCCACCCATCAATCTACCCACCCATCCATTCATCCATCCATCCATCCGTCCGTCCATCCATCCATCCATCCATCCATCCATCCATCCATCCATCCATCCATCTGTCCATCTATCCATCCATCCAGCTAGCAAGCCATCCAGTCATCCATCTGTTCACCCATTAATCCATCCATTCTTTCATCCATCCATTCATCTACCCACCTATTCTTCCATCCATGCATCCATCCATCTATCCTGCCCTACATCCAGCCTTATACCTGTTTAGTACAATTGTTTCCTCTTTAAGGGTCATGTGGACATCTCTTTAAAAGCCAGGTTTGACAGTGGGGACCAACACGTACAATAGTAGCCAGCCCAAGTGAAGCAATATGGGAACATCAAGGAGGAAAAGTGAATTATACCCTTATCAAACACTCTCATCGCACCTCACGCTTTCCTCTTCCAAACACTCATCTATCCATATGTTTTAATTCCCCTGTCCTCTCTGCTTTACCAGTATTTCTTTGAACACTAAGGGCATATTGTCTAATTTACTGTTGTATCCTTACCCCTAGTACAAAGTCTGCATAAAGAACACATTTTGTAAATATTTGTTGAATTGAGTTGAATTGAAAACTACAGAAAAAAAAAAGATGACATTTGATCTGGGCTCCAAACAATAGCAAATAACATTTAGTCCACAGCAACAGTGTGAGTAGAGTAGCTGGGGTTATTCTCATTTTCTAAGTGAAGAAACAGGTCCAGAGGGGTTAAGTGGTTTGCTCCAAATCACACAGATGGTAAAGGGTTGGAGCCAGGCTTCTAATCCTGGAGCCTGCATGAATTCCACTGACAAATTACCATTGGATGCAGGAAAAAAACAGAGAAAGACTCATGGCCTCTTCTACTGATGACTTTCCCATGACATTTAACAGGCACTTTCCACATATTTGAATCCCACCCATCCATCAATTTTTCCATCCACCAACTTATCCATACATCAACTCATCCAGCTATCCATCTGTTTACCTATCCACTCTTCCATCCATTCATTCATCCATCCGTCTATCCTTCCATCCAGAAAATGTTTAATGAGCCTCTGACTTCTGTTTATTCATAGATTGTTCCAAGTAGCTAGAAATGTGGCTGGCATATAGTAGATACTCAATTAATATTTGTCCCAGACAGTTGGAAAGTAGCATAAGTACAGTGATACCGAGAGCATGGACTCTGGAGCCATGTAGTTTTGGATTCAAATCCTGGCTCCACCATATACTAGCTGTGTGGCCTTGTTCAAGTTAGTTAGCCTGTGCTTCAATTTACTTATCTGTACATGGGATTAATAATAGTGCCTACCTCTTGGGATTATTAAAAGAATTAAACACAATTGCACACACATACCTACACACACATGTTTAGAATATTGCCTTGCCCGTTGTAGTTCCTTTGTAGTGTTACTGGTTTATTATCACTGAATAAATGGGATACAATGTTGATCCCTAAAGACAAGGTCACTGCTCTCACAGAGGCTATATTTTAGAGTATTAGACAGATAATTAACAGCTGAACAACCAGATAACCAAGACAAGTCCAGATAAGCAAACTTTTCTATCGTTTCAGCTTTATCTGAAATTGTTCCCTTGTTCCTGTTACTTGTATACCTGGATGTGAGCCCGGTGGTACTAGGAGCCCTGCTACTCTTTTACTTGGTCCCATTTGAGGAGGGAAGGAGCAGTGCTTTTTCTGTGTGGCACTGGTCATTCGCGGCACTGATGAGAATGCCAAACAGTCTATTCATGTCCATGTGCTCATGTGGCTGGTCCAGGCTGCAAGTCTGTGCTGACTCTGTAGACCTCATTTCCTTCCAAGACACAGACAGATGCACCTACATTCCCTGTGTGAAATGCGTAGAATGAATTTCTAGCAATCCCTGGTCCATCACATTCCCTGTGTGAAATGAGTAGAATCAATTTCTAGCAATCCCTGGTCCATCTTGCCCCTTGATATCTGTCACACCTGTTAAGTCCAATATGAGGTTCAGGGTCCTAGGCACGTTAAGCTGTGCCTTCAAATTTCAATTCTGTTTCCCACCCTTAGGAAAGATCTGGAGTCCAGAAGTGGGAATTTCCAGTAGCCCTAAGTGTAATTCAATTGCAAATACCTGAGGCTGGGAGACTTGGCCATGGGTCATACAGTCTGTGAAGATTATTGCCAGGTGTGTGATCCAGAAACCCAAGGACCATGGGCTCCTCCAGCTGAGGGCAATAATTCTTGCCCCTGATTCCCTGCTTCCCACCAGATTGATGGATACAGATAAAATGCCCAACAATAGGTATATTAGGATCTGAGGCCATAACTCAGGCAAGGCTGCTTCTCTTGGGCTAATGTTCCCTTTTTCTTACAAAGATTTCTGGAACATAGACTCAGAAAACCAAGGAATTTCAGAATTGGAAGGAACATAACCTCCACGATGATGCCCAAACCCAATTTGACCTAAAGTTCCTTCCAGTGAGACCTCCACCAGTCTCTTCATTCATTTCCCACTCATCAACTGCACTCAATTCTTGAGCATTCCCAGAATACAACCTGATCTTTTTGTCTCTGTGACTTCTGACATGCCAGTTTTGCAATCTGGACTGCTATTTCAATTAAGAATCATTTTGTGGTAGGTGCCAGGAAATCCAATTTCACACTGGCTTAAGCAAAATAAAATATAACTATTGACTCACATAATGAAGGTCCATGGGTAGGTATGGCCTCAGGTATGGCTGGATTCAGGGCATAAATAATGCCAACAGGATCCAGCCTTTGGCATGCTTCTTATGAGTGGCACCATTCCCAGGATCTGCTGTTGTTCTTGGCTGTTTCAAGTTTCTCTTATTAGGATTGCAAGATGGTTCTAGCAGCTGCAAGCCTCACATTCTTACAGCACTGAATTCAGTGGAATTCATACTCCTCTTTCATAAAACCCAAGCAACTGTCCCCTCATCTCTTATTGGTTCTAATTAGTCAAGAAAATGGAATATGTGGACTGACCGAAACCCTCTGGAGCTGGGGGTAGGGTCATCCCACTCAATCAACAGTGCTGGGAATGGAGGGGTGGTCTCGTAAAGGAAATTTTTTACTTTTGTTAGAAAGAGGAAGGATGAACCCTGGGCTGGAGACTACATATTTTTGCCATGCTTTTTCTGCCTGGAGAACTCTACTCATTATTGACGCTTCAGTTGTTCTCTCCTATCTCCTCTCCAAGCTGAGCTAATTCATTTAACCTCTGTGCTTCCATAGCTCTTCAGATTGAACTTCCTTGTATCATGTTTTGGTTGTTCCTTTACAGGTTTTTCTCCCCTACTAGGCTTTGAGACTCACCAGAAGAAAAACTGTGTCTTACTCATATCAGAAAACCCTAGCTACATGACTTTGTGCTAGGTATACAGTAAGTGTCAGTAAATGTTTATCGAATGAAAGGATGTCATCCTAGATGGGTCTTTAATTTTATTTCCTGCATCTTTCTTTGCTATTAAATTTTAAAATCCCTGCCTGACCATTCCTAGGGTAAGTTCATGCCCTAAATCCTAACATGGCTCCTCCTACTCAGTGATTGTACTGGGTTGAAATGTGTCCCCCAGCCTGAAATTCATGTCTACCCAGAATCTGTGAATGTGAACTTATTTGGAAGTAAGGTCTTTTCAGATACAATAAAATTAAGATGATGTCATAATGAGTTAGATTTGCCCCTAAGTCCAATGACTGGTGTACTTATGAGGAAAGGGATTATTTGGGGACACAGGGACAGACACATAGCAAAGATTTTAGAAAGAGGAATCATGTCACCCCAAGTCTTCTCTCTCTGTTAATCACTCCCAGTTTCTTCAACCACCAGAGGTGTCATTCAAAATCTCCATTACCTCTCTGGTTATATTTGTTTCATGATGCTCCAGAGTGCTAATATGACAACAGAGACAGAGATTGGCACGATGTACCTGCAAACCAAGGAATGCTGGCAGCCACCAGAAGCTAGAAATGGCAAGGGAGGATTCTTACCTAGAACCTTTGGAGGAAGCATAGCCCCTGCTGACACTTTGATTTCAGACTTCTAGCCCCCAGAGCTATGAGATAAGAAATGTCTATTGTTTTAAGCCACCCAGTTTGTGGTTTTTTGCTGCAGCAGCTCTAGGAAACAGATACCATGATGATTCTTACTACAGAGAGTTCTTCCTTGTATAACACTGTAGCTTGTCTTTGTTCACTGATTTCATCATTTCTTCAGCAGATATTTGCTAGACATTTACTGTGCGCTAAGCACTGGAGATGTGGTAATGATCAAAACAGTGTCCTATTATCTCAGGAGCTTCCAGTCTGGGTCAAAAGCAGTCAGGTAAACAGGCATTTCTTTGATTTGCCTTATGTAGGATGTGTCTCTGTGGAAGGAATCTGTCTTCCATAGAGCTTATAGGTTGTGGTTAAAGTGCTGAATCTGGAGTCAGACAGACCTAAACTCATGTCCTAGATCCACCATTCACCACCTAAATGAACTTTGGCAAATTGTCTTTTAACCTCACCAATTTCAGTTTCTTCATTTTAATTATGGATAACAATGGCATTGTGATGAGGACCAAATGAGATGATGTATGCTACCTTTTCAGCCTATTGCCTGGTTCAAAGAAGTTACTGTTTTTTATAGCTTCTTAAGATTTTGGCAAGAGCGATCTTCCAGGTCTTCCAGTGACCCCCAGTCTTCTATGTTAATCATTCCCAGATTCTTTAACCACCAGGGGTGTAATTCTAAATTCCCATCACTTCTCTCATTACGTTTGTTTAATGATGCTCAGAAGTGCTAGTATCTATCAGAATGGTACCCAAACTTACAATGAAAAGCAAAGCAGAACAGAAATCTCACCTCCATTGCTCTAGAATTCTACTTCAACTAACACAACCAAAAATGGTCCAGCTGTCTTTGAAAGCCACGTCACGCTATGGACTAGTATTGAGCTTGTAGGGAATGAAAACAAGCCAGGTGCATTTGCACCTGCTTCCCCATTAAGGACTTGTCCAGATGGTTGTTGGGACCCAAGGGCAGGACCTTGTGTTTATCTCTGTTAAATTTCATGTTATGTAATTCAGCCTTCCACACCAGCTGCTGGAGGTCTTCTGGGATACTGATTCCATTATGTAGCATATTGCCTACAAGATAAAGTCCCAACTTTGTATTGCACACAGATTTTTATCAACCTTTATTCAAACCTTCGATAAAAATACCAGATATCGGGCCAAGGGCTGAGATTTCCCTCTCTTTTGGTTAAAGTGGTAAACAGTATCTTATGGTTCCTGGTAGTGGGCTCTCAGAAGGGCTAAAGGAAGCTCTGTGCTCTGTCTGCTTCAGGAAAAAACAGTTTCCTATGCCTCTTTCTCATAGCTGGTACTCAGAAAAACTCCAGGCAGCTGGAAGAAATTAGGGTGTCACTGACTGAAGCATCTGAGCCAAATTCCCTAGGGTTAACTCTAACACACTGCACATAGCAGACCTTTAGAGGTCCATTTAATTCTGAATGATTCCAGTACTTCTTATAAATCTGATATACGTTTGGATGAGCAATGAACCCACAATTTAGGAGGCTTTTGGAAAATAATATTCATAGCTATAATTGCTCACCTTTACTGAGCAATTGCTTTGGGTAGAAAGAATGCACTGTCTCACTTAATCCTTTCAACAAAAATTTTGATGTTGGCCACTGTATTAGTCCGTTTTCATGTTGGTGATACAGACGTACTCAAGACTGGGCAATTTACAAAAGAAAGGGGTTTATTGGACTTAAAGTTCCACGTGGCAGGGGAGGTCACACATCATGGCAGAAGGTGAAAGGCACGTCTCGCATGGCAGCAGACAAGAGAAGAGAGCTTGTGCAGGGAAATTCCCGTTTTTAAAACCATCAGATCTCCTGAGACTTATTCACTGTCAGGAGAACAGCATGGGAAAGACCCACCCCCATGATTCAGTCATCTCACACTGGGTCGCTCCCACAACATGTGGGAATTATGGGAGCTACAAGATTAGATTTGGGTGAGGACACAGAGACTAACCATATCAGGCACTATTAGCTAGATGAGGAAACTGAACCTAAGGAAGAATAAGTCTAAGGGTGATGTATTAGTCTCTTCTCAAGTTGCTAATAAACACATACCCAAGACTGGGTAATTTATAAAAGAAAGAGGTTTAATGGATTCACAGTTCCACATGGCTGGGGAGGCCTCACAATCATGGCGGAAGGCAAAGGAGAAGCAAAGGCACATCTTACATCACAGCAGGCAAGAGAGCTTGTGCAGCGAAACTCCCATTTATAAAGCGATCAGATCTTGTGAGACTTATTCACTACCACGAGAACAGTATGGGGGAACTGCCCCCCATGATTCAATTATCTCCACCTGGCCCCACCCTTGACATGTGGGGATTATTACAATTCACGGTGAGATTTGGATGGGGACGCAGCCAAACCAGATTAAGTGGGTAGCTAATAATTGGTAGTACAATTATTCAAACCCAGACCTCTTTTTCCTGAGACTTAAGGTTATAACAGTTTCTCTCTTAGTATCAAGCAACTTTTCTTTATATTAGTCAGTAGGTTGTTCGTGTCATTAATGAATTCATGAGATATGTTGGATTAATGGCTGTTTCATCCCTGAGATTCTAAGTTCCATTTGGCCAGGGACCTTGTCATTTAGTGTCCCTCCCAGAGTCTAGCACAGTGCCTGACACGTGGTTAACACTCAGTGAATATTTGTTGAATGAACTCAGAGTGGCAGATGCAAATGTGCTTTCAACCACTTCTATGAAGTGTAAGGTGAACTTGATTTAGGGTTGTTTTATTTTGACACGCAACCATCTCTTTACAGTAGTTCTTGGAGTCCCAAATGGGAGTAAATACTTTCCTCCCAGCACACTGAGAATTAATTAAGGTTTGTGACATCTTTTAAAATCCCTTACAATGTATAGCCGCTTTCATCTGGCCAAGTGTAAGGCAGCATTATAGGGCCATTATTGGGCCTGGCACTAATGGGCATTTGTCACCTCCCCCTCCCCACTGCAACAGTGCATTAGACCTGTGCATACCCCAGTAATTGCTAAATAACTCATGGAGTGCTTGGGTTGCTAAATTAAGAAATGAAATAATAGAGGGAAAATAGTAACAGGCATGTGGAATGAATAGAGACATCCTAATACAGAGGATTTGCTTGCTTGTATGTCTTTTAAATAAAGAGTATGACTCCAGTTAAGATTGCAAGAATGGATTTTTATAGACTTTGGGGTAGTTCAGTGGTTTTGTGGGAGGATGTATTTGACAGGTGGTCTCCTCTAGTTCTGCCTGATATTCTATGAGATGAGAAAAGTTAGTTTTCTTATACTGATTTGAGTATGGATGGCTCACCCATCAAGGAGACAAATGAGAAGAGCCAGCTGGCTCCATGAGCAGGAGTAAAACAATGGTGATAATGCCTTTTCAACAATCATTGAAGAACAGGCTGGAAATTTAGGGAAGGGATGTCCTAGTGGAAAAAATAAATAAACAAGAATGGTAGGAGACAAGAATGAGAACCCTTCGTAGGCAAATTCATCTAAACCATTTCATTTAATGACCAAGACATTCAACTTCATTTTGAGTATTTTCATAGCTTCCTTTTGGTTTTTGGTCTGTCGATATAAATTAAAACAAATTTTGAAGAAAATAATTTAACCAAAACTCAACTCTTTAGAATTTCATAGTTAAAAAAAAGTTCTATGTCTAAGGACATAGAACATTCCTAAACTGCACTTGGGATTTGTTCAGTGTTTATTAGACATGTAAAATTAAGATGAAACTGTCCTTAGACAAATTAGTTTAAAATAAAATCCTTCGATACCAGACAATGGCAGTAAAGGGCACCTGGATGCTTGGATAGACATTCAAAAGGGGTTGAGAGGCAAACTCCAGGTGAAGTGGTTATTTGGGTGAAATGGGATGACAGCTGCTTCTTGGTGTTTGGCATGCAGACAGAGGGCTCCTGCAGTCTCTTATCATCGTGGGGCTCTTATCAGAAGGATTTGTTGTGGGCGATGAAAGCACCATCCTTCACTGTGGTAGATGGTCACTTGGCTTCCTAGATGGTCATTCTCTGTTGGTGTAGGACTGGCCAGAATGGAGGGGACAGGAATCAGAGAATGGTGAGCCTCAGGGGATGGGCTGTTAGCCAGCTCGGTGACCCACAGGGGTTTCTCACACTGAGTGCAAGTCACATTGACTATGAAATTGATTTTATTAAAAATAAAAAAAGCTTCAGATTCATAATCTGGATTCTAATCATTCTTTTTCAGGGACAGTATTGATGGAAAGTCTTTTCTGAATGAAGACAGTCAGTTCACCTTTCCTTCTTATAGTTTTGCTTTTGGCAGCTTCAGGTGGCTTTGCTTTCAGAGATTCAAAGGCTAAGCCTCTTTGGGGAAACTGAGGCAGTTACCCTCCGTCCCTCTCTCTTGTTGGTTTAAATGTGAACAGGGTCATTGTAAATTCAGGTAAGCTAGTGATGAGTGCCTTCTCTTTCATGTGCTACAGAGTCCAGAGGGCAACCCAGGATGAACACATTCCCTGAAGTGAATACACCTTTGAGAAGCCTCCTCCAGCCCTTCTTGGTCAAGGTAGTTGTTAGAGCTGCTGTAAAAGATTTCTGGAGTATGGAGTCCAGAAAGTGAAAGGGAAGAGCTTTGGAGACTTTGGGACATAGTCCCTCCAGTCTAGCACCACCTTGCAGAAGTTTATGTTCCTGAAATTTCCTTTCGGTTCCAGGAGAGGAAATGAGTTGGAAGGCAGGGGAGCAGAGGGCTATGTCAGCTTCATGGCAGGCAGTTTCAGGCACTTTTTCTCTGGGCCATTAGTTTGCCGATGGTGGATTGTCTTTCCAGCAAATGTCTTTTGATTGCAACTGTATAATGAAGGCATGTTTTAGTGTCCTTCCAGCTCTAGGGAGAAGTCAAACTGGTTCCTTTTAGTTCTACTGAAACTATCATCACTGAGGCTTATTCACCTAGATTTTTCGAGCCACTGTTCCATCTTGAGGGCTTATGACTACTCTGAAAGATAGTAAAGGGGGCTTTTCCGCATGGGCAATTCAGATGGCATGAAGCAAAGTCTTGGGGCACAGACAGATTCCTCTTTGTTGAGACATGCTGGTCACTGTCTTCACCAGATGCCCACAAGAATAATTAACATGGTGATGAACCGTGCTCATGTGAATGATGGAAGGCAGGCAAACTCGCTTCTTCCTGCAGATCCAGGGGACCCAGCTTCTTCCTCTCATCTCACCAGCTGTCATTCCTGTTCTACTGCTCTGACCTCTGGGAGGGTGACAGAGAACTCATGGATCTTGCTCACTTTCCTGGTCTCCACTTGAGATGTGAAAAGAAGCTCCCCTTTACCCTCCTCTCTGTATTTTTATTATTATCTCATATTCCACTGGCCTTGGCTAAACCAGGCTCCCTGACCAGAATCTAACTTTCTTGTTTCTTCTCTGCTGCTTCTCTCTGGCCCATACGATTTTTTTTTTTTTTTTTTTTTTCAGACAAAAATCTCATTCTCACAGATCAATGAGCATATTTTTCTACGCCTATTAGTTAGCCTAGGATTTTGTTCTTTTGAAACTCAAAAGACAGGCTCTTGAAACTCAAAAAGCCTTTTGCTCAAGACTGTAGTCCCTGCCTTGAGTTTCAAAGGACTGTTTTGAACCTCAAAGGCCAAGTACTGACTCTTTCTCTCTTTGGATCCCTGCTGAAAAAACAACAAAAAAAATACCCCACACTGAAGACAGTGGGCAGAGAATGCTCTAGCTGTTGACGGGGTAGCAGGAAGTACCTAAAACCAAAATAAATAAATAAACTACATCAGTTTCTGTTTTGTAATAATCCCAAACTCATTCAAACAGGAAAGGGCTCAGAATTCAAATTCAGGTCAGCTTTTGGAGAGGACTAGGTGTTTAGACCATGGGAACCTATGTGTCTTCTGGAATTTGTCCAAGGAAAGCAGTGACATTTCAGGAATGAGTAACCATGGTGTGGAGTGTTTACACAGGAATAAGCTGAGCATTTTATATCCATCATCTAATTTTCACAGCAATCCTATAAAATAAGTGTTATTATACTTGTTACCATTTTGCAGATGGGAAAACTGAGACTTCAACAAGATTAGTCTTATTATTAACTAGTGATGCTATTAAGAATCCAGCCCAGTTCTACAAGGTAGCTCATGCCTGTAATCTCAGCACTTTGGGAGGCCGAGGCAGGTGGATCACTTGGGGTCAGGAGATCGAGACCAGCCTGGCCAACATGGTGAAACCCCGTCTACTAAAAACACAAAAATTAGCCGACTGTGGTGGCAGGTGCCTATAATCCCAGCTACCTGGGAGGCTGAGGCGGGAGAATTGCTTGAAGTGGGGAGACTGAGGTTGCAGTGAGCCAAGATCATGCCACTGCACTTCAGCCTGGGTGACAAGAGCGAGACTCTGTCTCAAAGAAAAAAAAAAAAGAATCCAACCTAGTTCAGAGCCATGTCTCTAAATCACGGAAAAAGAAGTGGAGGGTGCATAGAGAAGGTTCAGTACTCGAGGAAAGTAAATAAAAAGGAGATGAATTGAAGGAGTTCCGTGGCATGGCTATTGTACATGCTGTCACTTTACCAGGGATGCCTTTCCCTCAGATCTTTTAAGGCTGCTTCTTTCATGCATGATTCAAGTCTCAGATCAAAATATTACAGAATTCATCACTGGCCACCTTGGCTGTCCACCCACAGCATGCACACACACATGTGCCCGCAGGCAAAGTTCAACAAATCCTGTTTAATTTTTAAAATAACATCACCTTTTCTGGAGTTATCATTTCATTTACTTATGTTCTTGTGTATTTATTGTCTGTCTCCCCTTTGTAGCATCTTTAGAACATAGGCTTTTGAGGTTAAGTACCTTGTTGGTTTGTTTGTTTTTGAGACAGAGTCTGGCTGTATTTCCCAGGCTGGAGTGCAATGGCGTGATCTCAACTCACAGCAACCTCTGCCTCCCAGGTTCAAGTGATTCTCCTGCCTCAGCCTCCCGAGTAGTGGGGATTACAGGCGTGCACCAACAAGCCTGGCTAATTTTTGTATTTTCAATAGTGATGGGGTTTCGCCATGTTGGTCAGGCTGGTCTCGAACTTCTGACCTCAGTTGATCCACCCGCCTGAGCTACCAAAACTGCTAGGATTGTTAGGATTACAGGCGTCAACCACTGCGCCCGGCCGAGGTTAAGTATTTTGTAGATTCTGACTTTTTGTTTACCCCTTAGTGTCCAGAACAGTGCCTGGTTCATAAAGGTTACTTAAATAGATTTGAATGCATTTGGTTGAGTGAGAAGGGGCAGTCAGGAAGGTTAGGAGGAGAAGAGCCCCATTTCAGAATAAAAATGACGAGCATAACCATTTCAGAATAAAAAATGACAAGCTTAACCACTCACTGCTTTTCAACCTTGATGTCCAAAGCTGCTTAGGAAGGTCTGGCTGGTTTGCTTTGGGGCTGCCTCCTTAAATGAGGATCAGAAAGTACCTTTAATGTTTAGCTTCATTTGTTTATCAAAGGCAGAAAAGCCTTTGTCCTACATCACAGCTGGGATTCAGCAAGATGGGGACTTCCTCTGCCTTGTACTTCAGAATAGCCATGTGTAGCCAAAACAGTGGTTTCTCAACTCTGCAATAATCCAGAAATGTGAAAATTTGGTTTCGAGACCCTCAGAGGAGGGGACCAAGGAGAAAAGTTCATGTTATTACCTGGTTTCTAAAACCCTCTAGGAAGCTGGGAAGATCAGCTTCAGCCAGTTTGTCGAGTTCTGCAACTTTGGGATACCTTATTTGGGGCACTCCCCACCAAACACTGCATATATTGATTAAGTTTCAAAAAAGGAAGGGGTCTTAAGGTATAGCTACTCCAGCCCATTGTTGTGGTCCCACCCCTCAACAACCCTACCTGTCCCCCAACCACAAACTCGATTCATTTGATGGTCACCTTCACAAATTTTTGTCATATCCAAGCACCAGCTGTGATTAATATTAAATATATGTAACATTATATATATTATATAGAGTATCACACATATATGTATATGTGTGTAAACATTTTCTTAGTATCTTTAGTTTGACTCTGCACTTAAATGAAAACTTTACATTATGAATATAAATGGAAAAGAAACAAAAGGTCTACCCTTCTGTAAGTAGAAGGAAATTATAAACATAATACGATGAGAAGAAAAAGTATTATACTTTCTTTTGCCTGTCCAACATGAGAGATTAGGAAAAGTTAGGTGCTAAAGACCAAGAAATAATAGAAATTAGACTTTCTCTTTTTTAAGTAATCAAAAAGAATGAAGAAGAATTGAAATGGGAGTACTTTTCTTACTGTGGTTTTTTTTTTTTTTTTTTTTTTTGAGACAGAGTCTCACTCTTTCACCCAGGCTGGAGTGCAGGGGCATGATCTCGGCACACTGCAGTGTCTGCCTCCTGGGTTCAAGCAATTCTCCTGCCTCAGCCTCCTGAGTAGCTAGGACTACAGGTGCGTGCCACCATGCCTGGCTAATTTTTGTATTTTTAGTAGAGATGGGGTTTCACCATGTTGGCCGGGCTGGTCTTGAACTCCTGACCCCAAGTGATCCGCCTGCCTCGGCCTCCCAAAGTTCTGGGATTAGAGTAGTGAGCCACCATGTCCAGCCCTTACCGTGTATTTTAATATCACCTACTGCAGTGTTTGTGTCCCACGTAAAGTCAACCGGCAGAACACCTAAAGTAATGGTGGTGCTTGTCCTGAATTTGGGGAACCACTTCGTTATCCAAATCTGCATTCCCATTTATAACATCTGGCCAAGTTATCATCAGTCCTGGCTTGATCATCTGCTCAGAGAGAAGGAAGCTCAGTTTCCCGAAGCAACCCACTCCAAGTTCTCTCTCTTTAGGGTGAGAAAGTTCTGCAACACATGAGCTTGGGTGGGGTGAGAAGGAAACAAGTTCTTTAAGAGCTTCTGAGTAGACAAGATATTTCAGGCAGATGGAACAGCATTTACAAAGGCAGAAGGAAAGAGACAGCATGGCCTATTTTAGGGGAACTGCAAGTAGTTCATTCAGCACGGCTGGATCTGCATTAAATGTCGAAAGGAAGGCGGAGAGGGGTGAGACAAGAGGTGGGAGGTGAGGCAGGTGGGAGCCTGACCCTGGAGAACCCCGCAGGTGGTGCTTCTGACTTTCAGTTTCAGCTTTGACACCAGCATGGAGCTGACTGTTTGTCCTTTGCTCTGGTATTTAGAGGTAAATTATTTTTGGGTGGCAATGGCATTTCCTTCTGGAAGAAATCTATTTTTGCTGTGTGAATATATTGATAAGTTTTTGGAGTGGGTGGAAGGGGTGTGAGAGCTTCTAGGATTTTGTTTTGCTTCGTGGGATATACAGACTAAAGGAGAGAGGGATGTGTAAGGAATCATAAAAGGGGATTTGTAGAAGGTTGGGTGACCTGGGGGTGGGGGAGAAAAGGCTGTTCGTGAAAGGAATGTCCACTGAAGGAGTAACAGAAAGCTGATGGGGAATTTGAGGAAGTTTCCGTTCTTTAGGCAGAAGCGGACACTGAGGCAAGGCTATATCATTTATTCAGGAGGGATATAGTTTACTTACACCTTTGAGGAAGTAGGAAGGTGGCACAGGGAAGGGAAAATAGGGGTGCATTAGTAAGACAGCTATCCTGGTGGGTGTCTAAAGCTTTATCCCATGGTTAAAAATACGCCTCACAGTCATCCTCACTAAAGGGCTAGGAAGGCGGAGTATTTTAACCCCCACCCTCTTAGTCAATGGGAAAGGGTTGTCTACAGGGAGATATTAATTTTCAGATATTAATTACCAGATATAAATAAATTCCCACATATTAATTACTGACTTGTGATGGGCACAGCTGGCTTCTGCAACTGGGAGCCGCCTTCCCACAAAGCTGGAGGCTCTGAAGGTTGGAAGTCAGAATGTTGAGCATGGAAATGGTAAGACATCCATATGGCTATGGGTGGAGCATCCCTAGCGCCCGCTACACCTGATTTTTTTTTTTTTTTTTTTTTTTTGAGATGGAGTCTTGCTCCATCACCCAGTCTGGAGTGCAGTGGTGCTATCTCGGCTCACTGCCAGCTCCACCTCCCAGGTTCACGCCATTCTCCTGCCTCAGCCTCCAGAGTAGCTGGGACTACAGGCGCCCACCACCACGCCCAGCTAGTTTTTTGTATTTTTAGTAGAGACGGGGTTTCACCATGTTAGCCAGGATGGTCTCGATCTTCTGACCTCATGATCTGCCTGCCTCGGCCTCCCAAATTGTTGGGATTATAGGCATGAGCCACCGCGCCCGTCCCGCTACACTTGATTTGGGGTGTGTATCCAGTTTCCCATCAATCATGTGACATCTTCCATAATATGCCTGTATGTTGTTCATGCCATGAAAGTTGAATCTGATTGGAAGATGTGACTAATTGCTTAATGTGGACTTCAGTTGGCCTCCGCAGAGCAAGCAGGCCTGCTTCATCTGGGCTATACTGCTACACTGGAACGGTTAGGTCTTTCTTAGTTGCATGACAAAAACCCAGCTAAAATTGCCTTGAAACCAAGAAAAACAAAAGGTATTGGATCTTGGAATGAAAACGTCCGGTTGATGGTCTTCAGGAGAAGTATGATCTAGGAGCTCAAATGATCTAATCGGATTTTGGGTTACCTTTCTCCCTCTCTTTATCTCTGCGTTTCTCTGGCCTGATTTTATTCACTTCTTCTTGTGATAAGATAGTTTTCAGAAGCTTCAGGTTGCATCCTTTCTCCGCAGTCACCCCAGTAGAAAGATGACTCCTTTTAACAAAAAAAATTACAGTGACTTCCAAGACTGAGCAGCATTGGCTCTGTCTGTCCTTCCTTGGGCCACGTGCACAAACCAGAACCTCTCACTGAGGGCAGGGTGCTGCTCTGCTCTGATCTGGCCAGCTGAGCTCACATGCCTGCCTACCCTTGGAGCTAGATTTGGGTTAAATTCCTCCTTATTCTTGCAGACAAAGTAGTAGAAGAGGAGCTAGTCCCTAAGATAAAGTGGGTACTATTGGATAGAAAAATAAGAGAGAGTAGATGTTGGGCAAGGAAATACAAGAGGTATTCACAACAACAACAAAACAACAACAACAACAACAACTCTGAAAAGATGCTCAGATGCTTGGAGGCCTGGAAGCTGAGGCCTATTTCAAGGGCCTATTATGAAATTAGCACATCCATTAAATCAGCTTCCATGGTTCCAAATTCCCAGTCATGGCAACCATCCCCCTTCCTGAGCCAGACCTACCGCTTCCTTTCAGAACTGCTGACACTAATGATGGATGAGGGTGTCAGGGTTTCCAAGACACTGGATTTCCATTGACTGCTATAACCTTGAGCTACAGGCTTTATTGGCAGTATTTAACGCAAATCTGTTTTCCATCCTTGTCAGATCCCACTTCAATATGCGCCACAGGAGGAGAAGTCGAATGTGAAATTGATTTCTTTAATGGGGAGTGCTCCGCAGCAGATAGCAACACTTCCGGAGATGCATTAGCTGGATTACAACTGAATCTTTTCTTGCTCGCTCTGAGGGACTCTCTCCTTTGCCAGAAGGATGTGACTCTGAGCTCATCGTTTGCCTAATTGTTTCTTAGACTGGAGAACAAGAAAGTCGGGGCTCTCCCCTCCGGCCCCTAGGTCAGAAGCAGGGACTTCCCATCGCCAGACTTGCTAGAGAAGATTGAAATTTAGGAATTAGTGTCTTATGATTGCTAAGGGTGATGGTGTCTAAATGTTTCTTAGCAACATTTAGACACAATCAATAAGCAATCAGTGGTTGAAATCATGTGAATGAACACTTAGAAATCTGAGGACTGGTATTCTTGATTCTTAGTGGGATTTTAGGGATTCTTCATGCTGTAAGTTGAGATTTCAGGGTGGTTTTTCTAGAATGTAGTGAGATTCTGCTTATGTCTGTTTAGCAAGGACCCACGCTGTTTTCGTGTATAGCAACATTAGTAATGGTCATTTTTTGGCTTTTATTGTGTGCTACACTCCCTGCATGATATTTTTTGGTTCTCTGCCCCTACCCAAATCTCATCTTGAATTGTAATAATCCCCACATGTCATGGGAGGGGCTCGGTAGGAGGTAATTGAATCATTGGGGTGGGGTTTTCCTGTGCTGTTCTCTGATAGTGAGTAAGTCTCATGAGATCTGAAGGTTTTATCAGGGGAATTCCCCTATACATGCTCTCTCTCTCTCTCTCTTGCCTGCTGCCATGTAAGATGTGCCTTTCGCCTTCCACCATGATTGTGAGGCCTCCCCAGCCATGTGGAACTGTGAGTCCATTCAACCTCTTTCTTTTATAAATTACCCAGTCTTGGGTGTGTCTTCGTTAGCAGCATGAGAACAGATACACTGTTTTAATACACTGCATTATCTCACTTAGACCTCACCACAACCCCATGAGATGAATCCTATTATTATATTATTATTCCCTCTATACTGAGGAAGGCATGGGGATTCATGGAGGTTACACAATTTGCCCCAAGTCACACAAATAATATGGTAAGTAGCAGAGCCTGTATTTATACCTTTGTCCGACTCTAAATGTTGTCCTCTTAGCCACCACTATGTATTTCCTTCCATAGGGAGGCATCACACACCCATCAAGGATGGATTTGTTATCATCTCCTAGGGTAAGGACCCAGATGACTTTACCTTGTTAGGTCTTGGAATGTGACATAGAGACAGAATAAAAATTGGAGGGTTCTGGCCAGTGCATGTCATCTTAGCCACACCTACTACATTAGCTCATGGAGAAGGACCATCTTTATTTCCTAGAGGTATTGATGACATGAATGTGTTTGCAAGGAAGGGAAATTTAGACCAGGGCTCTTGTCTTGCTGGGACATCAGGTACACTTTTTGGCTGGAGAGAAACCTAATGGCTTTTCCATCATGGAATCTATGATCTATCTTATCTTCAGTCTTCCCAGATCTGACCTCTCTGGGGAAATTGAGCCAGCTTAACCTAACTGCATGACCAAACATGGTTTATTCTTTTTGAATCTCAGGATATTCATTTGCATAATAGGGTCAATATTGTTAAATATGTAGAATAACGTGTTAAGGTTAGATGGAGTAATGTACAGTAAGGATTCAAGAGATGTCAGTTACTACTATTTTGTTTTATTTTGCTTGGTTTCCATTTTTGCATCTCTCAAATGAAGAAGGCGGATCAGCTCCATTTCTGAGCCATGATTGGGTCATTTGAAAATGGATGGGGCTGGCTGGGAAGGGAATGAGACAGGTAACTGAGATCTATGGGCAAGCTCTGAGGGGTCAGAAACAGCTTCAAGAAGGGAAGCAAGTTCAGTCTAGCTGGTAGCACTTGGTGATGTGAGGATCTGCCTACAGATAAGAAGTGGTAATTGAGGTTGGCTGTGGGCACTCAGAAAGCCCAATAAGAAGTGATGGGGTAACGTTTCAGGCTTGCAGACTACAGTGAGCCTGTCACCGGGTATTAGGAACTGAACCAGATACTGTTCAGAGGCTGAGTTCTATAGACTGGGTATATATAAGGTTGCGGATAGGAGATGATATTCCAGTTACTCTTGCTGTGTAACAAACCAGTACGAAACCTAGTGGCTTGAAATGACTATTTTTTTAGGCTTACATATTCTGTGGGTCAGGCATTTAGGAGGGCGTCTCTGCTTCCTGGTGGCTGGGACTTCAGCTGGGCAAACTTAAAGGCTAGGGGTAACTCAATGATGGGAAGCAGGAACCCTTGGAGAGATCTTTACTTACATGTTTTGTGGTGTTGCTGGCTTTTCTCTGGGACCTCAGCTGCCAGGTAGAACACTTACATGTGGTATCACCATTTGGTCTCTGTGTCGAGACTGAGTGTCCCATGAGAACAACACAGAAATGGATGGCATTTCTATTATTGAATCTCAAAGCCACATAGCATCACGTACTCTAGGTTCAAGGGGAGGAAACGTAAGCCCCAGCCCTCAAATGAAAGGGATGTTAAAATGATGTTGTAAGAAAGCTGTGGGATGGGAGATTTGTTGCCTCCATCTTTGGGGACTCTAGTCTGCCACAAGTGGTGCAGTCTTATGAAATTATTATGATAGTGTTATTGTTAGTAGCACAGGCTATAGAGTCAGACTGCCTGGCTTCACATTGCGACTTCACCACTTACTAGCTGAGTGATGTTGGGTGAGTCATTTAAACTCTGTGCCTTTGCTTCTTCATCTATGAAATGGGACTACTAGTTGTACCTATCTTATTGGATTATTATGAAGATTACATGAACTCATAGCAGGTACTCAGAACAGAGCCTGGCACACTGTAAATCCCAACTCAAGGCAAGGGTTTACTATTATTATCATCATCACTAAGTAGGTTCTCAAGACAGAGACTCAGGCTAAGGGAACAAGCAAGGAATTTAGTGGCCAAAATGAAGGAACAAAGTTCAGGCCAACCTGTTAGAAAATCTGACCTCAAAAGAATGTGAGATGAGAGATGATGAGTTGCTTCTCTTTGGGGTCAGAGCTGATCCCAGAGAGAGGGCCTGTGTTTTAGGGGCAGGCATGCGGCAAGCTGAAGTGGCCCCTGCAGGAGTGAGGAGGGCCCCAGGCACAGCAAGAGTAGAGGAGCTGATTCTGTCACTTCCAAAACATTATGACCCCGAACACACTTTCTTTCACTTTTTTCAATTTAATCTCCTCTGTGTCTCATTGAGCCTCATCTTACTTGCCAGGTAAAAGGCCTGGAACTAAGCCATGTTAAGTCAACAGTGAGTGACAGAGGACAGCAGCCTACGCCATTGTGACAAAGCCTTGTTCAAATATGTTGAGAGAATGGATGAGTTGAAACGGAAGAGAGAGCTCACAAGATTGGGCTCCACTGCCTGGTATCCGTCTTTGATTGCAGGTGACAGAAACCTAGTCCCAACCAGCATACACTAAAAAGGAAATTTATTTGCTCACTTAACTGAAAAGTCCTGGGGGAGATAGCCTCAGCTGTGTCCACATTCCTCAAAGATGTTGTGAGGAATTCTGTCTCTATCTTTCAGAGCCATTACCCGCCCTCCTTTTCCAGGGAATAAATCTATTCCCTTCTTAACTCATCCATAAGATACTTAGTAGGGGCCCCTATGCACTGGGCATGTTTCAGAAACCAGGGATATAGCAGTGAACAAGACAGCAAAGTCCTTGACCTCACGGAACTTATTTCCAGAGGGAGAAGATAGAATAAATAAGTAGACAAATGAAAGCAGATGTATAATTTTAGTTGATAGTATAATAAAGAGAATAGATTTGGGTAAGGGAATACAGAGTGAGAGCAAAGAAGTAATCACAGAAAATCTGTTTGAGCTGTTAATGTGTGTGAAGGCGCAGGTGGAGGGAGGCAGCCCACCGTGTGTGGATGTGGGGAATGGTGTGCAAGGCAGAAGGAAGAGTGCCTGAAAAGACCAGAGGCAGGGATGATTTTGCTGTGTTTGAATAAATAAAAGGAGACTAGGATGGCTGGGGCTTAGTGATCAAAGAGAAAAGTCATGTGAGAACTGCGAGAAGCCGATGAAGGATGGTGCTGGGATTATGGCCATGATAAAGAGTCTAGATTTTATTTTAAGCCTAATGGGAAGCTGTTGGAGATTTTAAAGTAAGGGAATGATGTGATCGTATTTGCCTTCACTCAAAGCTGACATGCTTCCCAGTTAGCAGCTTCTGTGGACAAAGTCCCAGGAAGGGATCCCACTGGTCAGCCTTAAGCCACATTCAAATCTGTGGACCAGGAAGGGATCCCGTTGGTCAGCCTTGTGTCACATGCAAATTCATGGGCCAGAGATGGATACCATTGGTCAGCCTTGGGTCACATGCAAATTCATGGACCAGGGAGGGTTCCCATTGGCCAGCTTTGAGCCACATGCAAATTCATGGGCCAATCACTGTGGCCATGGTGTTGTGGTATTTTGAATGACCCAGTTGGGGTCATATACCTACGTTTAGAGCCTGGAAATGGGGGCAGCCCCACCCCTTCCACTGAGCATGAAATGGTAATTTTTCAAATGAAAATTGTGGGGTCCACTTAACAAACAAGGTGATGGGCATTGGACAGGTGAAAATAATATGTGTCCTCTGTGCCTCATCTGCAATAATATCCCTGAACTGTGAACATCCCATCCCCGTTTAGGATATCCAGGGACACCCCGGGATGTCCAGGGAAGTCCTTTCTCTACCTTGCCTTCTTCACTACTTATCAGGCCAGCCAGTAGAGGATTGCTTGGGTGGTGAAGCATTTCTTCCAGGTTTTAAACCAGGGCGATTTCTACCTGTGTGGTCCTTGTACTAATGCATGTCAGGTGAGCCCAAATATTATTCCCTGTAGTCCTTTTGAACAGAACAGGAGCATCTCCCTCAAGTCGCTATTTTCTTACCCTGAATAACCTCAGTTCACTCCTTTCTCTGCTCAGGACATGGTTCCATTGCCATTTTAGTGGCTTTCCTTGGAGTGCTTTGAACTTCATCAGATTTCCAGATGCTGTGTTCTGTGAAGGGGGCAGGGAGGGTGTTTCCTAGTTTACAGGAGCAATTTCTTAGTTTAAGCCTGATTTGGCTGCAATAAAACAGTCTAGTATGCAAATGAAGTTGCTCCCAGATATAGGCAAAGAAGTCACTAGTCAATAAATCATTGATGTTGTGGGAGGCAAGGTGAGCATAAAAGCAGATCCGAAAGCAGAGTGGGAAGTTGCTAGGAGGAAAATATCCCCCGGCCCCTCTGGGATTTCTGTAATACTGTGGCGTCCTGTGGTGTAGGCCTCTTTTTCTTTCTTTTTTTTTTTTTCAGTTTTTTTTGAGATGGAGTTTTGCTCTTGTCACCCAGGCTGGAGTGCAATGGTGCGATCTCGGCTCACTGCAACCTCCGCCTCCCAGGTTCAAGTGACTCTCCTGTCTTAGCCTCCCAAGTAGCTGGGATTACAGGCACCTGACACCATGCCCAGTTAATTTTTGTATTTTTAATAGAGACAGGGTTTCACCATGTTGGCCAGGCTGGTCTCGAACTCCGGACCTCAGGTGATCCACCTGCCTCCGCCTCCCAAAGTGCTGGGGTTACAGGCATGAGCCACCGTGCCTGGTGGCCTCTTTTTATTTGTAAGAGTCAAGTTGGTAGGAAAATTCCTTCTCATATCATTCCATATTTACCTCCACTATGGAATGCGTTATGTTTAGCAATTATGTATTCATTCAGCAAACACTTATTGAGCACTTACTGCATATCAGGCACTGGACAATAGTGATGGGGAGATGAGCGAATAAAAATCCTGGTTTTAGTTTGGTGTGGGAGACAGATGAGAAAAATGGTAATGGCAAGGAAGTGTGATGAGAGTTATAACAAGAGTATGTGTTAGTGGGGTCCCTCTAGGAACTGCCTGGAACCAGGGCTGAGAGGGAAGGGTAGATGGGTGAGGCAGGATGTGTGTGTGTGTGTGTGTGCTCACAAGTGTGTGCGTGTGTGTGGCAGTTCTGGACCATGGTAACCATGCCTACAAAGGCCCTAAGACTTGGGAGAACAAGGTGATGTGAGTTAATGTATGACCAGGTAGAGGGATAAATGGGATATGGCAGGATATAAAGCTTGCTCGGTAGACAAGGATCAGACAATGTAGGTCTGGGGACGACATATGAGGACGATGGAGAATGATTGAATGTTTTGGTCATGGGCAGTGATGTGATCAGAGTTGTTTTAGAAAGATCACTCTGATAGATTTGTGGAGGGTGAATGGATGCTGGGCTGGTCACAGGAGAGTTGTCAGGGGCTCGATAAGCAGGCAGTGGACCAGAGAAGGAATGGAAACTGGAGCCGAGACTGTGGCTGTCTCGGTTGTCTGGGCTGCTGTAACTGGATGCTGTGGACTGGGCGCCTTCACCAGCAAGGATTTATGTCTCATGTTCTGGAGGCAGGAAGTCCTAGGTCAAGACCCTGGAAGATTTGAGACCTGGTGAGAGCCTGCTTCCTGGTTTGCAGATGGCTGCTTCTTGCTGTATACTCACACAGCAGAGGGAAAGAGGGAAAGAGAGAGAGAGAGAGAGAGATCATCTTCCTTGTGTCTCTTCTTATAAGGGCATAGATTTCATTCCTGAGGGCCCCCATGACCTAATCACTTCCCCAAAGCCTCATCTTCTGACAACACTATATTGGGAATTAGGCTTCAATATCTGAATTTCAAGGGGACACAAATATTCAGTCTGTAACAGTGGACAAGGGGACAGAAGGCTGGGGATGGAGGAGACTGGTGGGAGATGGGGGGAACTAATGTCCACGGCCCTGGTGAGAGACTGGTTTTGGGAATGGGAGGTGCTGGGCTAGGCTCCACATCATGTCCCTCTGGACCCCACCCTTGACCAACAGAATCTCAGTCTCTTCTTAACGATTCTCCTGGGATTTAAAGCCATGTCCCCTGACTCCAGCTCTGTTGTTTGTTACTTCTACCACAAACATGACTATGAAAGTACTGAAGGATGCTGGGATTGTCTGGGAACAGGTGGAGTGATGTGTCTTGGGTGATTCAACAGAGCCAAGTCAAAAATAATAGTACAGGGTTCTAATAGCCTTCAACCCTCATTTTGCTTAACCTTTAGGCTTCCTCAAATATTAACCTAGAGGGCAAAGGACTGAACAGACACTTCTCAAAAGAAGACATACAGGCAGGTAACAAACATATGAAAAAATGGTCTTCATTATAAATCATCAGAGAAATGCAAATCAAAAGCGCAATGAGATACCGTGTCACACCAGTCAGAATGGCTTTTGTTAAAAAGTTAAAAAATAACAGATGTTGGCAGGGCTGTGGAGAAAAGGCAACATTTATACACTGCTGGTGGGAATGTTAAGTATTTCAGCCACTGTGGAGAGGGGAGATTTCTCAAAGAACTGAGTTGAATTATTATTCAACCCAGCAATCCCATTACTGGGCACCTGCCCAAAGGACAATAAATCATTGCACCAAAAAAAGCACGTGCACCCGTATGTTCATTGCAGCGCTACTCACAATAGCAAAGACATGGAATTAACCAAGCTGTGGAATTAATCCACAGTGGATTGGATAAAGAAAATGTGGTACATATACACCATAGAATACTACACAGCTGTAAAACAAGAACAAAATCATGTCCTTTGCAGCAACAGGGATGCAGCTGGAGGCCGTTATCTTAAGTGAATTAACACAGAAACAGAAAAGCAAATACCACATGTTCTCACTTATCAGTGGGAGCTTAACATTGGGTGCTTACGGAGTAAAGATGGGAACAGTAGACACTGAGGAATACAAGATGGGGGAGGGTGGAAGGGAACACGGGTTGAAAAACTGCCTACTGGGTACTGTGTTCACTTGCTGAGTGATGGGTTCAATTGTACTCCAAACCCCAGCATTATGTAATATACCTTTGTAGCACACCTGCACATGTGCCCCCAGAGTCTAAAATAAAAGTTGAAAAAAATACTGGGGGCCAGGCACAGTAGCTCACGTGTGTAATCCCAGCACTTTGGAAGGCCAAGGCAGGAGCTCACTTGAGCTCAGGAGTTCGAGACCAGTCTGGGCAACACGGTAAAGCCCCATCTCCACAAAAAATACACAGATTAGCCAGGCATGGTGGTAAGCCTGTAGTCCTAGCTGCTTGGGAGGCTGAGGAGGGAGGATCACTTGAGCTCAAGAGGTCGAGGCTGCAGTGAGCCAGGATTGTGCTGCTGCACTCCAGCCTGGGCAACAAAGTGAGATCCTGTCCCCCCACAAAAATGATAATATAAAATTGGCCCAAAGGGGCACTTTGGACACAGACGGGCTGGCTACATGTGGTTCCGGTCCCAGAGGGGATCCTTTGCTGGCTGCGTGATCATGGGCAAGTCACCCAGTTCCTCTGAGCTCTGGCCTCTTTACAGAACTGTGATAAGGATTGAACTGGATAACACATGGGGAGTGTGTGTGGTGGTAGGGGGGCAGTAGAACCCACCCACAGCTTCCTCTCTCTCCCCCTTCTTCTCTCCCCCTCGTTCTGCCGTTCTGCCTGGGGGAGGTGCTGGATTGTGTTCCTGGCAGGGCTGCCTCACTGAAAAGACTCTGGCTGATGAGATGTTCTTTAGAGCAAGGTTTCAAATCTTTTTTTAGTTTATGTTCAGGTGCTTTGCTTTCCCCCCGCCCCCTTTCTCATTTTAGCAGATGAGGACTCTCGCTATGTGTGACAGCTGATATTCTGAAAATGACAAGGTGCCTCATTTGGGACAGAATGTGCTTGGGGATTTTTATGTGTGTGTGCACTGCGTTCATCTGAGTAGATCCGCGCAGGCGAGCCCTGGCAGTGGGTCACAGTGAGCCGCCTGGGACTCAGACAGCTTCAAGCTCCAACTGAGGGAAAGGAGGAATTCACCCCGGCCTCTGTCCCATGGAGAGCTGCAGAATCTTTCTTGCTCAATGTCTTCTCACTGTCCCTGGATTTTGCTTAGCTTCTATCAAACTAACAACCTCTTGACTCACCACCTGTGTCCAATCTCTCACCCTCAAACTCACCTTGCTTGCAAACTGAAAATGACTTTAGTAGTGCTAATGGCACTCACATAGTTAATACTTATTTTATGTGCCTGGCAGGATCCTGAGCTCCTTGCATGTCATCTACTCATTTATTAACAGCAAGTCTTTGTGAGACCAATCTGATCATTTTCCTCCCTTTCTGCAGAAATATGACTGCCTTCCCATACACTGGATCAAGATTTCCCAAACTTTCCCTTCTTGCAGATCAGCTTCATGGTTTTACGATGTAAGGACATCACTGTGGATGATCTTCATGACTGCTGTCATATAGTATACCACGTATGCCATATGTATGCAAGCTTTTCCTGTAAATTAACTCACTTTGGGAAATATTTATGTAGATTAAAATACAATAAATTATAGCTTTCATTCAAATGCACACTGCCCTTTGCCATCTCTATAAGGTCACCGGAAGCATGAATATGATGAAAACAGAACAAAACCAAACAGTGTTATTAAATCCTCTCTGGGAGCTGTTGACAAGGCACTCTGCCTGAGGCTTGCTCTCTTTGTGCTAAAAATGGGGCATGAATAAGAGAGGGAGATGTTGAAGATAGAGCAACACCAAACCAAGACTTTCTCCTTGGTGCAAAAACAAGACTTACGTGAGAATTTATAAGGGAATACTTTTTTCATGTAACTCAATGCTCTTTAGTGCTGTTTTCATCTGCCTCCTAAAATGCTCTCCTATTCGCTAACAGCAGCGTCTTATTTTGAGAAATACTGGTGGACAAGATGGACCCTAACTTGTTTCACTGTCTAGATGTCTTTCACACCGTGGCACAGTTACTTTTTCTACCAACTGCAAGCTCACCTTTCTTCCTTGATGTCTTTCTCTTTCCAATCTCTCTGTTTTTGCATCTGCTGTTCTCCATGACTGAAAGATCCTGTCCTTAACTGCAAATGGCACACGTCCATGCATTTATTTCAGATGTTACTCCAGTGTTGTCTTCTGTATAAAGTCTTCCTCAAACCCCAAAGCACAGTCAGTCAACCTCTCCTCTGTTGACAATATAAATGTTCCCCCCATATCAGTTGGTGCTGTATACTGAAGGTTTCTGAGGGAGACATTATTAGGTGGCTAACCCAACAGGCATTAACTTCCATCTTCTCTCTTGCTCCTTTCTCTGTAGAAGCTGAAAAGCTTGGGGTATACTTTACCAGCTTTCCCTGAACCTACAGAGGAAGGGCCTATGACCCAGTTCTGTCCAGTGCAATGTCAGGACAGGTATGCTGATTGAACTCCTTTTTAAATTTTTTTTTTTTAATTTTTGAGACGGAGTCTCACTCTGTTGCCCAGGCTGGAGTGCAGTGGTGCGATCTCAGCTCACTGCAACCTCTGCCGTACGTGTTCAAGCAATTTTCCTGTGTCAGCCTCCCAAGTAGCTGGGATTACAGGCGCATGCCACCACGCTCAGCTATTTTTTTTTTTTTGGTATTTTTAGTAGAGATGGGGCTTCACCATGTTGATCAGGTTGGCTGATTGACTTCTAAAAAGGTGTTTTGCTTCTTAGGGGTAAGGAAAACATGGCAAAAACCCCATGAGGACTTCTCCTTCTTCTCTCTTCCTGTCTTAAAGGCAAATGTGAGAACTCCTTCAGTGGCAGCCTGCTGTGATCACACAGTAACAAACATAAGAAGGATGGGTCAATATAACAAGGAAGGAAGAATAGAAAGGAGCACACATCCCATTAGGAAATCATGAAGCTGCCAGGCCAACCCTGGGACCAGCAACTTTCAAATTCCTGGTTAAATAAATCATAAATGTTCTCCTGCTTTGAGCCATTGTTAGCTAGAAGTTCTGTCATGCATAGTTGAAAACATTCTTAACAGATAGTTTAACTGGTCTTCATTCCTTACTGGATTTTGTGTAATTTTAAGATAGGTGTGTAACGTTTATCTTGGTAATCTTGTCATTCAAATAGGGTACGTGGTAGTATTTATTATTAGTTACCTACAAAACAGCTTATATTTATTCAAACTCTATGTTCTTCTGTTTCCCGAGCTTGGATCCTTAATCCCTATTGTTATTAATGTCATTAATGAAAGTGGAATGAATGAAAAAATGAATGAATAACTTACCAACAGGAGGATTTGCAAAAAATGCTTTTTATGCCACCTTTAACAACTTTATTAGAATTTATATTATAATGAAAAAAGTGAGTCTCTGTTGTTTGTTCTGTATTTATTTTGTTTTTGATTTATTTTTATTTTTTGCTTTTTGTATCCTAACCCATAAGAATTTACATTCTTGAGCTTTCAGGGAGGCATTTAAGGGAGACAGTCAGGGTGTTATTTGGATCCTCACATGTGCCAGGCGTGTTAGGAGTGCGGGTTAATGCAATACAACAACATTGGGATGTAGCTGTTATTGCTCCCTTATTACCCGAGGAATGATAGACTTGGGTAAACTTGATAAAGAAGCAGAGAGCTGTTGAGGCTGCAGGGCAATGGTAAAACATACACACTGGCTGGATAGATTGCTGGAATCTATAGCATCTTACCCCCAAACTCCCGGCACTGTAACATGGGACCTCAGGGAGTGACATGGGACCTCAGGGAGAACTAGGGATTTTTTTCTCCCACTATACCCTGCAAAATAAAGAGAGTTGAAGATTTTAATGTAGTCCTAGATTACATGATTACATTACTCTAGATGCCATGTTCTTCCTACTCTGTTACTCAGCACCTGCTTGAGAAGCCGCCATGATACTCTGCTACTGACATTGATCTTTTATTCTGGAAAGTCAAGACCATGGAACCCCTTGGCGCATCCTTGGAGAGAAGAGTTGAGTAATGACCTGTGTGGTATTAGGGGAGGATCTCTGGCTTCCCTGAGCTCATATGCATGGAATCCTCCTTAGCTAGTAGTTACTCTCTCATCTCCTCTGCAGTTTCCTGGTGAAGTTACCTGTGACAAATTTCTCCCTTGCCCCTGAGTACTTTTCTCTGTTTCTGCCCTAAGACTTAGTAGCTGTGGTCCATGGGGTCCCAGGGCCATGTAAAAATGTCTGAGAATGGCTCTCAGCATCTGCAGAAACTTAACCAGTCTCATGAGGGCTGGCAGTGCAATATCCCACGTCCAGCTCCAGGGAGTACTAGAAAATCTTCAGCAACCATTCTTAAAATGCTCTTTCAGACTGGGAGTGGTGGCTTACGCCTATATTCCCAGCACTTTGGGAGGCTGAGGTGGGTGGATCACTGGAGGTCAGGAGTTCAAGACCAGCCTGGCCAACATGGAGAAACCCCGTCTCTACCAAAAATGCAAAAATTAGCCAGGCGTGGTGGCTGGTGCACATCTGTAATCCCAGCTACTCAGGAGGCTGAGGAGGAGAATCGGTTGAACCCAGGAGGCAGAGGTTGCAATGAGCCGAGATCGTGCCACTGCACTCCATCCTGGGTGACAGAGCGAGACTCTGTGTCAGAAGAAAAAAAATGCTCTCTCATCTTTCTTCTTCCTTTCTCTGTTCTCACACAGAAGAGCTGTTTCAGCCCCTCTTTCCTCAAGCTACCTACTGCTCTTCCTCCATCCTTGCTTTCTCTTATCTTTTTCTTGTCCTCTCACCACTCCTTTCATTTTTTCCATTACAGAATTCTCCCAAAAAACTGGCAAGGCAGGGCCTTCCTTTAAGTTTTGGAAAATGGAGAAAAAATGAGTTTCACTTGCAAGGAAAGTTTGGAAACACAAGTGTAATAACACCGTTGTATCTTATCATATGTCTGTGTCTCCCATCTACCAGGTCTGTTGCTGGGTCTCTGCTTATGTCTACCTCTGCATCACATCTCCACCACGATATGGGTGTTAATCTATTGTTCTTTTTTTCTGCATTTCCCCATTTCTTCCTCACCTATCTCCTACTCCTGCCCCCAACCAAATTGATAATCAGCTCACTGTCCATGGCCTTGAGTGGAGATATGATAGGAAGAAAACTGATGTTGTCACCCCTACACTTTCTTCCTGGCTTTTGTATTCAAAAGATGAAGCCCGGCATCATGGTGGCTCATGCCTGCAATCCCACACGTTGTGAGGACAAGATGGGAAGATCGCTTGAGCCCAGGTGTTTGAGACCCCGTCTCTACCAAAAAATTGAAAAAATTAGCTGGGTGTGGTGGTGCACATCTGTGGTCTCAGCTACTCTGGAGGCTGAGGTGGGAGGATTGCTCAAGGCTGAAGCTGCAGTGAGTTGTGATCATGACTGCACTCCAGCCTGGGCAACAGAGTGAGATCCTATCTCAAAAAAAAGAAAATAAAAAAAGATGAAACCATAGAAAAGACAATTATTTTGGATATGAAGTAGCATCATGGGAGGAGTGTGGGTCCCCTCCTCATAACCCTGGAAAGAGGTTTTCTACCTTCAACCCATCAGTTGGGAGATGAGTGAAGAGGGTTGACAGAGAGATCTCTGGGTACAGAAGGGAGGTGACCCAGGCTACACTTCCTAGACTCATGAACGGGAACCCATAAAATCACAAGAAAGCGGCAATGTGGTGGTTCTAGGCAAATGGGACTCCAGACAGCATTAAAAACAAAAAAAACAGAACAAAAAAAACAACGTCTGGCGGATGCCTGGGTGCAGTGGCTCATGCCTGCAATTCCAGCACCTTAGGAGGCTGACGCAGATGGATTGCTCGAGCCCAGGAGTTCAAGACCAGCCTGGTCAACATGGTGAGACCCTGTCCATACAAAAAAATACAAAAATTGGCTGGGCATGGTGGCATGAGATTGTGTCACTGCACTCCAGCCTGGGTGATGGAGTGAGACTCTGCCTCAAAAAAAAAAAAAAATGTATGGTGTTAAGCTTGATAATGAAGCAGAGAGCTGTTGAGGCTGCAGGGCAATAGTAAAACATCCATACTGGCTGGAAAGATTGCTGGAGTCTACAGCATCTTACCCCCAAACTCCTTGCACTGTGACATTAGACCTCAGGGAGAAATAGTGATTCTTTTTTCTCCCACTATACCCTGCAAAATAGAGACTTAGGATAAGAACTGAAGTTGTTTTACAGGAAGATGAAGAATATACGTGTGTGTGTGTGTGTGTGTGTGTGTGTGTATGTATATGTATATATTATATATATGTATATGTATATATTATATATATGTATATGTATATCTTATATATATATATATATAAAATCACATATCACACACACACACAATTTGGACTCTCATGTTTGAATGCTGTAATTCATGCCTGATTCATTGCATCATTACCTATAACAATATGTATATTGATATGGGTATGGTTAAATTAAGTGCCCTTCAACTTTGCACAGTCCATTCTCAGGGCATCCCTTGTAGATCCACATAGCAACTGACGTTCCTTACTTATTAGAAGCAAAAGGGAGGATTGAGCATACTTGTCCACATCTTTACCTCTTCTTTCTTCCTTATGCCTGTCACTCTATACTCTCATTTCTGTTCTGCCATCTTGAACTTCCTCCAGTGCTTCCTGCATGCTAGGCTTTCTCTCACACAGAGCTTGCACACCTGTTGTTACTGATGTCTAGAACTGCTTCCATACTCCCCTCCCACATTCTCTAAACAATACGCACTTTTTTGCCTGAATAGTTTTTGCATGTCCTTCAAGCCACAGTTCAGAGGTCATTTTCCATGTTTTAGGAAAATTCATTTGACCACTATTTTCCAAACTTGACGTATTTCCAGCACCTAAATAGTTCACCTAAAATGTACTACAGCTTAATAAATATTTGGTGAATGAGAGAACATTGAAATGAATCAATGGGTGGATAAATGAATAAGTGAGTGAATACATGCATGGGTAGATTAGTGATGAAACGATGGATGGATGACTGGATGAATAGATGGATGGATGCATGGATGAATGAATGGATGAATGGATGGATGGATGGATGGATGGATGGATGGATGGATGGATGGATGAATGGATGAATGGATGGATGGATGGATGGACGGATGGACAGATGAATGGATGGATGGATGGACGGATGGATGGATGAATGGATGAATGGATGGATGGAAGAATGGATGGATGAGTGAATGATGTTTGGCATTTCTAACCTCTCATGTCTTAGTGATAAATATAAGTAAAAAATATTCACTGCTCTTCAACTTCTTTGAGTCCATCATGCTGGTCAAGCATTTCCATATCCTTCATCTTGGTGTCAAAGCATTGAAATAACAGGTGGCAACATTTGCTTTTTAAAATCGAATATACTTTTGAGCTGCCAGAGGTGAGATTATTAAATGGGAAGCATAAATCTCTTCTTTAGTTTTTATACATTAGCACTGGCCGTCAGAATAGGGCACTTTCACTGGCTTGTGGGGACAGGTTGCTTGGCTTCCCAGATATCCAAGGGCAATGAAAGTCATTCATTCATTTATTCCTATCTTCATTCATTTTTTCAATAAGTCTTTCAATATAGCTTGGTAATCAAGAGAAAGAATTTTGAGATTTTAATAATACCTAATTCTGATTCTGTTTGCCAGTTAGTAACTGTGCATCTCTGGGACAGTTATGTATCTTTTCTGAGCCACACCTCGTTCCTGTATAAAGCGGGGCTCATGTATAAAAAAAGTATTTAACTGTAGGGTTGTTTTAAGCATTATATGAGTTAATAAATGTGAAGCATTTTGGACAGCGCCTGGTACAGAGTCAATGGTCAACAAATGTTAGCTCTTATTATAAATTTCCTCATATGTGAATTCCTCCTGTCCTCAAATGTTTATTGAACTCATTGAGTAGCAGACTCTGAGCTGAGTAAAGTATGCTTTCTACCTTTTAAGACCTCACTGTCAGTTGATTTGACGGAGGCATGGGTCAGTTATTAGGAACTCTCTGACAGATTTAATGCTGGAGTATAGAAAATAGCAAGACCACCCTGCCTCATAGAGAGAAGGACTCCTCCTCTCTATGAGGAGCTGGGTGGTATAGCTGGGGACAGCTAAAAAGCTCTGGTCAAATTATGTAGGGAAGGCCATGCTGGGATTATCAAAATGTTTTAAGCTAGGAACCTGATAAGACTGGATTCCTCTCCTAAAACTTCCTTGGCAGCAGGGTGGAGGAAAAAATAAAGACAGGTGGGATTGCAAAAAAATTAGATAGGGGCGGAGGGTGGGGCAGGTGTTAAACAGGTCAGGTGTGAAAAGAGGGGGTTCTGCATTGAGGAAGAAGGTGGATGCAGCAGAGGGAACATGTTGGGAGGACTCTCTAATACCTTGTTTCTCAAAGAGTGGAGTTGGACTAGCAGCACTGGGGTTACCTGAGAGCTTGTGAAATTGTGCAGACCTTCAGACTCCACCTGAGACTTCCTGGATCTACATATCAGCAAGATCCCTGGGTGATTTGTATGGGCATGAAGGCTCGTGAAAGACAGCACACAGACTCAGTAGGATTTGGTAGCCACCTGGATGTGAGGTGAAAGGGAAAATAATTAATCAGGAACTAGAATGTCCACAAAATCAAACACACATACTAGACTTTCCTTTTTGAGAAATGGGGGAAGGCTATATACCTCATTCATGATTTTTGTTCCTTGGTATTAATTTAGGATTAGTGTTATGAAAGAGAGACAAACCCTTGGTTTCTCCTTGAGCCCCTTGGGGTGACAGCTCCAGAGGCTTCACGCATGTATCTTTGCGCATCAGGGCAGGTTTCATTCCTTTATCACCAAAGCCATAGCTGAGTGTTTATGGCTGAGTTATAAATCCCCAGAACATGGATTTCTTCCTGGAAGTGCTGAGTCAACCTTAACTTTAGCAGTGCAAATGGTGCCACAGTAAAACATATATATCAAAGTGGTGGCGACTGTAAAGGTCTTTTAAAATTGAGTTGACGTTGCAGCATGTTTCGTTGAGATAAGGTGAGGATTTACGTTCATAAATAGAATCTTGAAGCCTGAGAGGCATAATTGGCAATTTGGGGTGTTGAGATTTGGGGATCTTTTGTCCTTGATCCTAACTGAAGACTTCCTTCTCTTTGTGGGAGGCAGTCTCACTTTTTCACTTTTAATCTGGCTTTGTATACAGAGATGAAGTAATTTTGAGGACCCTCCTTCATAAGTTCTCCTGAAAAGTGCTTTTCAAGCAAATTCAATTAAACATTATTTTTTATTCTTACCCTATGTATCTAGAATACAAAATGAATAAGAAATTCTACCCTGAGTGGACTTTCATTTGCTCATTCATTAAAAAATAATATTTTAAATGCTTATTACATGCCTGGCACTAATTCCAGGATCCAGGATGCTGGGTTAGAGCAGTAACCATGAGAAAGTCCCTGCCCTCAAAAAGCTTATATTCCACTGAGGGAAGAAAGTCAATAAAACAGGTAAGCAGATAAATATAAAATATAATGCTGCAAAATAAATGCTGAAATAGAGAGATTTCTTGTGGGGTCATGAAAGGAAACATTTATACCTGTTTAAGATAATCAGGAAAATAGGACAGACAGAACACACTAGAACTTAGTGTTGATAACTAGTTTGCTGAGCAAATTCATGAAGGTGTGAAAATACAAGACATGTATATGCCAACGTGGCTGGTATCTAGGAAGCATGTTTGGAAATAGCGCTTAAGGAAGGTAAAATTAAGTGGATTCCTAATAAACTGCCAACAATTTTAGATTTCAAGCAATAGAGAGACAGGATAAGATGCCTGTCTTGATTAAAGATTATGCTGGGGCTGGGTGCAGTGGCTCACACCTGTAATCCTAGTGCTTTGAGAAGCCTAGGCAGGAGAATTGCTTGAGGCCAAGAGCTTGAGACCAACTTGGGCAACATAGCAAGACCCTATCTCTATAAAAATGTTTTAAAAATTAGACAGGCATGGTGGCACATGCCTGTAGTCCTAGCGACTAGAGAGGTAGAGGCACAAACTCACTTGAGCTCGTGAGTTTGTGGTTACAGTGAGCTATGATGGCACCACTGCACTCCAGCCTGGGTGACAGAGTGAGACCTGTCTCTAAAAATATTAAAATTAAAATAAAAAAAGATACTTTGGCAGGTGAGAGACATGGGCATAGCCAAGACCATGATGGAAGAGATGAAAAGACTGAGACTTGATGGCTAATTCCAGGAGGGCTTCAGTAGGAAAGCTTAGTGATTAAATGGTGACAGGGACATGGGGAGGCGGGGTAGGGGAGTCAAAGGTATCTAGGTGTTGGACGTGTTACCTTTTTTTCCACATTAGAGGTCACCTTGATCATGACATTCCAGCCATGCACCTTGGAGCTTATAATTTTGTCTCTATCTATTTCTAAAAGATATAATCAAATGCAGGGAGTAAAGAAAGCTGAAGCTTCATCGATGACCCAGAGACTTAGCCGCCTGCCATGGCTGGACAGCTCAAAGCACACAAAGTGAAGTCAAAGGGGCAGCTCAGAGAAGGACCCAAAGATACCCTTATCCTAACAGTCAATATTTACCCTGCTCAAAGTGCTTGATTAGGATTGTTCCTTCGGCACCCGGGCCCCCCAAAACACACACACAGTGCACATGTTCTGCATTGCAAAGTGCGTATTTTTAATATTGATCTCTCCAAATCCAACAGGCTTCATTGATTTTCACAGAACCTGGAAGAAAGACTGTGATAAACCAAAGATGCGTACAGCTTCATCAGCCAAAAGGACATGACTTATTTTCCTCTTCCTTGAACTTTCCTTGGCTTCCTGGGAAGATAACTTATTTTTATTTCTCTCTTTATTTCTTTATTTTGTATCAGCCTGTATTAAAGCCCTATAAATAACCTTAGAGACACACGGAACAGATTCATTTAATTTTCCTTTAGTTATCCTAAGTCGGAACAGATGTGTGTTTGTGATAGAAGAGGGGAGGGGGAGAATGAATCATAGGTGTGGAGAGAGAGGTGAGAAACTGGCATCTGCAGTAGAATGTCTGGCTGATTTTCGGAGCTTGGAAAACAGCGCAGGCTCAGCCTGGCTGGGTCTGCTTGGCCCTAACGACATCTGCCACAGATGAGAACCTAAAAAGCCAAGATATGAAACAATGAGCAGGGAGGGATCAAAATCATGGAGTGATGTATTTTCTAGCAGCATCACCCATGAATTGCTGAGTCCATGAACTGACCCTTCCTTCCTTACATGCTTAAAAGATGTGGTGTTGAAGGTGGGGAGCAGACCAAAGATCAGAAATGTAGCTGTAGGATTCACAGAGTAAGGAGATCAGTTGGTTGATCCACAAGTCATGATTGAACATCTGTTGTATGCCCAGCCCTGTGCTGGAAGCCTGAGTTGTGTGGGACATGGTCCAGATCCTTACAAACAAGGCATCTCACCCTAAAGGTGAGGTCGAATACTCTTTACATTGTCCAGTGAGGAATGACTGAGTGTCACATTTCAGGCATGAGGCTGGCTGGGGCATCAGGAATGAGCCAGGATGAGGACAAACCCTCAAGGTCAAGTGTAGATAGCTGTGAGTGTCCAGTGGGGGCATATCTTGCCTGCATGACATGAAACAATGTTCAATGGCAAGAGCGTGTTATCAGTTCAATGTCAGGAATCACAGCGCAGAAGCTGCAGGTGAGGTAGCAAAAGTTGTAAGGAGCAAATCCTTAGGAAAAGAAGCCTTAACAACCAAGGAAGGCATCAGAGTCCAACCAGGTGGTCTTGGCAACAGAATGGAGTGCCTCTTTTGAAAGTTTTAAGGGAGAAAACGAGGACAGAAGTCCATTTGGACAATACAGTGATGTTATAGAGATGTCCCTTGGTGCCCAGGGCTGTGCTGGGCACACAGCCTCACATTTCACATGAGTCCTTGCTCCATCATTGCTGGCTGAGGCTGATGGCATCATTCTGCCCTGGTCAGGATTTCACAATGATGGGGATTACAGCAGAGCATCTCCAACCCTAATATGCACACTAGTCGCCTAGGGATGTTATTAAAATGCATGTTCTGATTTTGTAGGTCTGGGATGGGGCTGGAGATTCTGCATTTCTTTTTCTTTTTTCTTTTTTTCGAGATGGGCTCTTGCTCTGCAGCCCAGGCTGGAGTGCAGTGGCACATTCTCAGCTCACTGCAACCTCCACCTCCAGGACTCGAGCGATTCTCCTTCCTCAGCCTCCCGAGTAGCTGGGACTACAGGCATGCACTACCGCACCCAGCTAATTTTTATATTTTTTGTGGACACAGGGTTTAGCCATGTTGTCCAGGCTGGTCTTGAGCTCCTGGACATGCCCCAGGCCTTCCAAAGTGTTAGGATGATAGGCGTGATCCACCATGCCCCGATGAGATTCTGCATTTCTAAGGAGCTCCCAAGTGATCTTTGGACCAACTTCGAGAAGTGAGGGAGCACAGGAGTCTTATCCAAAGAGATACAGTTGGGAGGAGCTAGGGAACATAGCCTGCCATCTACACATGGATATGTACTCCCCTGGGATGTAAGTAACCACTGGGGTGAATGTTTAACTGAGATCCAGCGGGTTTCTACTTGCGGTATCTCATTTAATGCTCACAACAACACTGCCAACTAGTCTTTATCGTGAGTCTCTTTGAACAAGTGTGCAAAATTAGGCAAATTGTCTTGCTTTATTTAATGAGATCCCTTGGCTTGTGAGGGTCAGTACAGGCTCAGATATCAAGATTCTAAATAAAGATGATTATTTTTTGTTTGTTAGTTTAGTTTAGTTTTGTTTTTTAGAGGAGTCTTGCTGTATTGCCCAGGCTGGAGTGCAATGGCTTGATCATATCTCACTGCAGCCTTGAACTCCTGGGCCAAAGTGATCCTCCCCACTTGGCCTCCTTAAATACTGGGATTTCAGGCAGGAGCCACTGTACCAAAGATGTGCACTGGCCAAAGATGCCAGCTGAAGGCATCAATCAGATATAGCTGATGCAACAATAGGCTTGAATGTGATTCCGACACTTGATTGTCTCATCTGTAAAATGGGATCTCATGTAGATTAAAGGACACAAAGAACCATGTATTTTGCACAGGGCTTATGCTCTAAAAACGTTGGTTATTTGGCAGGAGTTGGCAGCTCTCCGTAAAGGGCCAAACAATAAATATTTTGGGCTTTGGCGGTCTTAAGGTCTCTGTTGCAGCTGCTCAACTCCGATGTTACATCAGAGTCCATGAAACATTGGAGTTTATATAATAAACATCAGAGTCAGCCGGGCACGGTAGCTGATGCCTGTAATCCCAGCACTTTGGGAGGCCGAGGCGGGCAGATCACCTGAGGTCAGGAGTTTGAGACCAACCTGGCCAATATGGTGAAACCCTGTCTCTACTAAAAATACAAAGAATTTAGCCAGGTGTGGTGGTGGGTGCCTGTAATCCCAGCTACTTGGGAGGCTGAGGCAGGAGAATCGCTTGAACCCAGGAGGCAGAGGTTGCAGTGAGCCGAGATTGCCCTATTGTACCCACTCCAGCTTGGGCAACGAGAGAGAGACTCTGTCTCAAAAAAAAAAAAGTTAAACAAAAAAAACAAGTTTATGCAAGCGGCATAGACAATAAGTAAACAAATGGGTGTGGCCATTTTCCACTGAAATTCCACCTACAAAAACAGATGGCAGATCAGGTTTGGTCCACAGGTTGTCATTCTCCATCCTGTGTTATAGAATATTATTATGGTAATGTTATTGCTAAGAAGGCACAGCAGGAGGTCAGACGGGACAGCCTAGGAAGGAGTATAGATAAGGCTTCATTCTATCCCAGGAGCTTCGTTTGACTCACAAACAAATGGCAAATAGTGTTCAGGCCCTGCCCAGTCTGAAAGGCTTATCTCACCAGAATGGAGAATAAAACAAAATAATTGTAAGTAACTTAATGTCTGGTAATATTGGACTCTTTGGCAATGGAGCTGTAAGGGCCAATAAATAGTGACGTTGCTGCAGTTTATTGTATTGAGAAATATGAAGACATTCCCTCAGAGGCCCCAAAAATTGCAGAATGAATCTCTCTGAGGCCGAGTCAACCAGATAAGTGTTATCAGTCCAGGAAGGCTGCTCCATCCTGGGTGATTCTTATGCCTGATATTACCTTAAGCTGTCACAAAAGTGGGCCCCCTTAGAGAGTGCCTGCCCATCCCTGTTTATTAACAGGTGCCTGCAGAAATGGAGTCTCTGCAGCAGGTGTTGAAAGAGGTGGTGGGAAAATCTGAGTGTCCTGACTGTGGGCCACTCAGTTTTCAGCATAGAGGCCAAGCCAGCCTGTCAGGTAAACCCTGGGCGTTCTCTCCTCCTTGTCTCCATCTCCCATTCCCCAGCATCTGGCAGAGTGCAGAGGGAGGTGGTGTTCCGTTGTGTGGTTTTTTTTTTTTTTTTTTTTTTTTTTTTGGGACATGACCTCACTCTGTCGCCCAGGCTGGAGTGCAGTTGTGCAATCATAGCTCACTGCAGCCTCCAACCCCTGGGCTCAAGTGATCCTCCTGCCTCAGCCTCCTTAGTAGCTGGGACTATTACTGGCAGGCACCAACATACCTGGCTCATTTTTAATTTTTTGTAGAGATGGGACCTCTCTATGTTGCCCAGGCTGTTCTTGAAGTCTTGGGCTTGAGCGATCCTCCTGCCTTGGCCTCCCAAAGCGCTGGGATTACAGGTATGAGCCATTGTGCCTGACTCGGATTTTGTTTTTGTTTTTGTTTGTTTTTCTCATGTCTCTGTTCACCTCTGTGTCCTCAGGGCTTGCCACATAGAAGGACTCAATAAATGTATTGAATAAGAGTGAGTGAATGAGTGAATGATAGAGACACCTGTCTAAATGCAGCACGGAACAGGAAAAAGATGGGGTTTGGGTAAAGCAAGATCCAGCTTTCTTAGAGACCAGAAAGCGTGTGGAGGCCTTGGCTAAGAGACCTGCTGATTTAGAAAGTCTCAAGTCCATCTGGAAAAGATAGCAGTAGTTGAAGAAAGGAGATAAAGCCCATCTGTGTTCTTAGTAACAGGCTCAGAAGGGGCAGAAGTGTGTGTAGAGATAGTCATAATTAGGATATTGTCCATTTCTCCATGGTAAAACCCTCTTGGGTCTGGAATCTACCAATATCCTCAGGTCTTGCTCACTCTTGTCCCCGGCATCTCAAGGCTCAGCTATGAATTCGTTATGCTCTCGCTACCATCTTTGGGTCTTCAATGACTGTGTTCCCTCATCCTAGAAGACTTTTTACCTCATTTTGACTGTGTTCTCTCATCCTGGAAGACTTTTTACCCCATTTCTGCTGGCTAACCCTTATTCACTCTTCACTCCCAAGCTAAAATGTCACTCCTTCGAGGAGGAAGGCTGAGTCAGCAGGAGCACTGTCCCTGCCCCACACACCTGCCTGCTGACTCAGGATCTCAAGCCTTTCTGAGGTTATTTCTTCATTTACCGACTTCCTCCCCAGAACATCAGCCCCAGTGAAAGTAGGAACCAGGTCTACTTTCTTTATCACTGCATCCTCACTGCCAATTTCTGTGCTTCCTTACATAGTAAGCTCTAGTGGAATTGGACAGCGTGAGTCCTGGGTCGGCTTAATTCTGAACACCACTGACTGCGGTTGCTGAAGATGTTAACATACCCCTGTGGCTGGCCTGGAACCAACGCTGACCTTAACTGTCTGGAGAAGGACATAGTGTTTCTATCTGGCAGGAACTGGGGAAGCATGGGCAGATAGATAATTCATCTGTTTAGCCATAATACATTGGGTATCTGCTATGTGTCAGTTCTGTTTTGGTGCCAGTGATAGAAAGATGAATAAAATGACATCCTTCCCCAAATCAGAATCACAAAGTGGAGGGAAAGGCAGATGCACAAACAAGATGATTATTTGATAGTAGATAATCTGTGAATGGGGGTCTATTTGGGAGGTTCTGGGAGTGTAAAAGATGCGACAACTTGCGCTGTTTACGATAGTGTTTCTCAAGCTTTGGTGAGCGAATGGAGCCTTGGGATCCGTAGAAAGGCAGATTCTGATGGGGTTGGTCCAGGGCAGGGCCTGATTCTGCTCTTCTGATAAATTCCCGGATACTGATGCTGTTGATTAATGCTGTGGCTGAATGTTTGTGTTCATATGCTGAAACTCATGTGCTGAAACCTAACCCCCCCGGGGATGGTTAAGAGATGAGGCTTTTGGGAGGCTATTAGGTCACAAGGGCAGAGCCCCCATGAATGGGATTCGTGCCCTTTTATGAAAGCCTGAGGGAGCCTGTGCACCCCTTCCACCACCTGAGGACACAGTGAGAAGCCACTATCCAGAAAGCAGAGAGCAGGGAGTCTACCTTGATCTTGGACTTCTTGGCCTCCAAAACTGTGAGAAATCTGTGTGTGTTGTTTATTAGCCACACAGTTTATGGCCTTTGGTTATAGCAGCTCCAGTGGACTAAAGCATTCCATGAAACCCAGTTTGAGTAGTGAAGGTTTTTAGAAAGGTTTCAAAGAAGGTGACATGTTAACTCTTGAAAGGTGAATAGTGTTTTGCAGGGTAGAGAAGAAAGGAAGGGTTACTAGGTTGAGAGAAAATGGAATGCAAAGGCAGAGAGCATGTGTGTGTGTAGTGTGGTGTATGTGTATATGTAAGTAATGTGGTAGATGTGTGTGTGTATGTGTGGGGTGTATGTGGATGTGGAGGGAGGGTGTATATGTGTGGGGTGTGTGTGCACGGGGGAGGTGTATGTATGTGGATGTGGAGGGAGGGTGTGTGTGGGGGTGTGTGTGGGGTATAGTATATTTGTGGAGTGTATGTGTGTGCATATGTATGTAGGGAGAGGCTATGTGTGTGTGTGGTGTGTGTGTAAGTGATGTGGTAGATGTGTATGTGGTGTGTGTGTGCAGGGAGGTGTATGTGTGTGTATGTGGATGTGGAGGGAGCATGTGTATGTGTGTGTGGGGTGTGTGTGTGCACGGAGTGTGTGTGTGGGGGTATGATATATGTGTGTGTATGTGTATGTAGGGAGAGGGTATATGTGTGTGGTGTTTGTATGTGTTGTGATGTGTGTATGTGGGGTGGTGTGGAGGGTATGGTGTGTGTGTGGAGTGTGTGTGTGTAGGGTGTGGTGTGTGTAAGGGGTATGTAAGTGATGTGGTATATGTGTGTGTGCATGTGTGGGGTGTGTGTGGGTAGGGTGTGCACGTATATGTGTATGTATGTGTGTATAGGGGTATATGTGGTGTGATGTATGTATGTGGGGTGTGTATGTTTATGGGGCTGGATGTGATGTTTTTATAGGGAATATGTGTATGAGGCTTGTAGAATGTGCGAGTTATGTGTAGGGTGTGTACATGGTGTGGCGTGTTGTGTGTTCATGTTAGTGGGGTGTGTAAGCAATGTACATGTGTGGGGGGAGGCAGGGGAGGTGCGGTGTGCATGTATATGTGTGTATGTGTGTGGGTGTATGTTTATGTGGTTGGATGTGGTGTCTGTGGGGAGTATGTGTATGGTGTGTGTAGGGTGTGTGGGGTGTGTGTGGTGTGTGTGTGTGTGTGCACGTGTGTGGGTGTGTGGACTTTGTGTGCTTCTGTGTGTGAAAGCACCTGCAGAAGTCCTGTGCTACTGGTCTTAGCCAGAGGGAGATGAGAGCTGAAAGGCAGCGGAGGGCGGGTCTGGAGCTTGGAGCCTGCTGTGCTTGAGGGATTCTCACCCCTCTGTGAGAAACAGGGAGCCCTGGAGGCTCATGAAGGAAATCATCTAAAGGAGTATGTTTTGGAAAGATCATTTTATTGATAGGCTGAGAGTAATTTGCTTTTTAAAAGATACAATTAAAAAAAAAAGACACTCTCTCTAAAACGGGTTTCTGAACCTTAGCACCATCGACATTTCACCAGGAAATCTTAGTTATGCGGGCTGCGCTGTGCATTGAGACAGGTTTAGTAGCCTCTACCGGTTGGATGCCAGTGGCATTCACTCAGGTCCCTGATCGCCAGTCGTGACAACCAATAACGACTCCAGATGTGGCCACATGTCTGCTGGGGCACAGGATTGCTGGCAGTGGAGGACCAGTGCTCTACGACGTGCTTCATTCTTCTTTGTATTCACTTCACGGAAGCCCAGATCCTTCAAATATTCAGCAGCCCCCAAGACTCCGGGCGTGGGTTCCACCGCGGAGCATCTCCTCTGAGCCCAATAGATCTGCTTGCTGTCTCTCTGAACAGCAGCGAGGAGAGAATCTTGGCCTGGAGTGAGAAACACAAACATACCTGCTCATAAATTCTGTTTTAAAACTAATAAAATTATTTGCCTCTTCCTTCCATTTCTTGGCCCTTTTCCTCTTCTTGACGTTTTTGAGGAACATATAGTAATGAAATGAAAATTCCAAGAGCATAACATCTGTGGATGCATTTGGATTTCTAAGAATACTTTTAAAGTAAAATAATACCAAAAGTAAACTCCCACAAATGATACTGAACTCCTAGTAATTTCCTGTCCATCATCATATCAGACCAGGCTGGCTGATTCTTACATGGCCTCAGCTGACGTCTCCCATCTTCTATCTTTAAGTTTTCCTGGTGATTATACATACACATAAAATGCCACGTTAGGAAATATGATTGTGAAAATATGAATGAGCAAGAAAGCTTACACCTCTCAATATTTATTGTCTTGGAGTGTAGACAGGGTGGCAGTACAGCATAGTGGTTCAATAGTCTGGGCTTCAGCTTAAAATAGACTCAGCTTCTGCATTAAGATCAACAAGCTGTTTAACTTCTCCAAGACTCAGTTCCATGATCTGGAAGAAAAAGAAGTTGTTGGAGGATTAAGTGAAATACGGCATGTTAAGGGCTTAGCTGGGTGCCTGGCATGTAGCAAGTCCCCAGAAAAGGAAAATGATCAGTATCAGTTTTTAGAGTAAACATCATAGTGGTCCTTACTTGCTTCAGACATGGAGGAGGATAAGGGAAATTGTCATTCATTATGCATCAGTTATGTACCAGACAACCACAGAACTCATGACCACTTGGCCAGAGGTACAGAGATATTATTAATATTTAGCAAATCCCCTGACATCACATATGTCATCAGTGCAGAGGAAGAATTCAAATCTAGATCTGTCTGGCTCCAGAGCTCAGGTTATTCAACTACGTCATGCTCTGCACTGAAGATGTGGCCATGCAGGCTCAAGTAACATGCAATTGGAGATTTCCCACCCAGAAATTTACAGGGGCCTGATTTATTACTTCCTTTGTTGTGTTGTGTTTATATTCGAATGCATTTTTTTTTTTGAGACAGAGTTTCGCTCTTGTTTCCCAGGCTGGAGTACAATGGCACTATCTCGGCTCACTGCAACCTCCGCCTTCTGGGTTCAAGCAATTCTCCTGCCTCAGCCTACCGAGTAGCTGGGATTACAGGCATGTGCCAACACGCCCGGCTACTTTTGTATTTTTAGTGGAGACAAGGTTTCTCCATGTTGGTCAGGCTCGTCTGAAACTCCTGACCTCAGATGATCCGCCCGCCTTGGGCTCCCAAAGTGTTGGGATTATGGGCATGAGCCACCGTGCCCAGCCTCAAATGCATTCTTTTTTTTTTTTTTTTTTTTTTTTGAGACAGAGTCTCGCGCTGTCCCCCAGGCTGGAGTGCAGTGGCAGGATCTTGGCTCACTGCAAGCTCCGCCTCCCAGGTTCACGCCATTCTCCTGCCTCAGCCTCCCGAGTAGCTGGGACTACAGGCGCCTGCGACCACGCCCGGCTGATTTTTTGTATTTTTAGTAGACACGGGGTTTCACCGTGTTAGCCAGGATGGTCTCGATCTCCTGACCTTGTGATCCACCCGTCTCGGCCTCTCAAAGTGCTGGAATTACAGGCATGATCCACCACGCCCTGCCTCGAATGCATTCTTAAGTGCCTGTGCCACTATCTCCCACCACTTGTCAATTGTATTACCTTGGGCAAGTGCTTCAACCTACCTGAGCCTCAGTTTCTAAATCTCTAAAAAAGAAGTAACAATTTCTCTATGTAGGGGTCAAATCTGTTTTTGTAGATGGGTTTGCCTAGCCTAGTTCTAGCACATACTAGGGGCTTAATAAGTATTCATTCTATTATCACTCTTTCTATTTTTTGTTTGTTTGATTGTTTTCAAGATGGAGTCTTGCTCTGTCACCCAGGCCGGAGTGCAGTGTCATGATCTCAGCTCACTGCAACCTCCACCTCCCAGGTTCAAGCGATTCTCCTGCCTTACCCTCCCGAGTAGCTGGGATTACAGGCGCATGCCACCATGCCTGGCTAATTTTTGTATTTTTAGTAGAGATGGGGTTTCACAACATTGGCCAGGCTGGTCTTGAACTCCTGACCTCCTGATCCACCCACCTCAGCCATCTAAAGTGCTGAGATTATAGGCCTGAGCCACTGTGCCCAGCCTATCGCTCTTTCTAAACAGACCAGGATGTGAATTGGATAGGGAAGCCTTAGGTGGACTATGTGGAGTGAGTAAGTGTGTTTTTCTATTGTATGTGTGTTGGAGAGTTATGGAGGCAATGTCTGGAGCCTTTCAGATGAATTTGAGTATCCTTACACTGATCTCACTGACAGACAAGTCGCATGCCTCTCCTCCCCACCATTGCACACCTTAGCTTTTACTTCTGCTATACATGTGAAATAGACATTTGAAATTATTAAGCTTCTTTGGGAGAAGACAGACTTTCTGTAATCTGCAACTGTTTCCTTTTGCTGGCCAAACCTTCAAGCAATAAGCATCACCTTTATTGACAAACTTCAGACGCCTTTCAAAAAAATAAAACAAACAGCTAAGAAACAGAGACTTGTTCAGGGCAAAGCTTGCCCTGGGCTATAAATTTATTGATTCACCCCATCCATGCTTACTTTAATATCTCCAAACCTTATGATCAGGCTAACGCATCTTTTTGAGATAGGGTGGGGGGGAGCATCGTCTGTGGGCCAGGGAGCCAACATCAACATTTGTTTTACCTTTCTGCAGACATATAATAATAACAATTCAATTCAACACACATTTGTTGGACAGTAGGTCTTGGTGATACAAATATGGGTAGAATAATCTTTTTTTACTGGAGAATAAAAACTGTAATAAAACAGTATGCTGCCTCATGGTTTTATTTGGTCCATCAAGTAATACGTGCACAAGGAAGGGCACGTCTTATTGTCACCATGTTGTGGATGAGGACACTGACCCTCAGCCTATTATAAAGCAGATGACATTCATTCATTCACTCAAGCAATATTGATTGTATAATTCATGTGTGCTGGGCACTAGGTCTCAAGCGATGAATACTGCAGGTCATGGATGTATGCAGTTTACAGCCTACCTGAGGGGAGGTAGCACTACATGGTTAAGCATGCATGTGCACAAGAGTTAGAAAAAATAGAGAGCACTCCAAAGGAGCATGTAGCATGAGTAGTTTAGAGGGGCGCTGGCGTGAGGCCAATGGACTGAAATCTGAAGGATGAGCAGGTGTGGTTTGGTAAAGGATGAAGGCAGGTCTCCAGGAAGAGAGAAGGTGCTTCAGCAGAAAAACACCTGGTTCATCGGAGGAATAAAGCGCCAGCCAGTGTGGTCGGATCTCAGAGTGCTGAGGCTGAGGCTGGAGAATCGCTTGAACCTGGGAGGCACAGGTTGCAGTGAGCCGAGATTGTGCCACTGCACTCCAGGCTATGTGACAGAGCCAAGACTCCGTCTCAAAAAAACAAAAAGTTGCAAGAGAAGCCTGCTGGAGGGGTTGCCATATGCCTTGTAGGGGTCATGTAGGTAGTATATGTGTGTGACATGGGACAGCCAGGCTGCATCCTTGTGCCTCTTATGACAGACTGTCACCCTGTGGGAATAGGAGCTTTGTGTTAACAAATCTTTCCATGTTTTCCAGGAATTTTCTTGGCTGTTAAAGGTTGGCAATGCATTTTATTTTATTTTACTTCTTTGAGACAAAACCTCTCTTTGTCCCCCAGGCTGGAGTGCAGTGGTGTGAACATAGCTCACTCTAGCCTCAAACTCTTGGGTTCAAGTGATTCTCCTCCCTCAGCCTCTTAAGTAGCTGGGACACTACAGGTGCATGCCACCACTCCTGGCTAATTTTAAAATTTTTTTTTGTAGAGGCAAGGTCTTGCTAAGTTGCCAGGGCTGGTCTTGAACTCCTGACCTCAAGTGATCCTCAGCCTAGGCCTTCCAAAGTGTTGGGATTACAGGTGAGAGCCACTGCACTCAGCCAGTAATACATTTTAGAAGTTACCGTTATAGGAACAAAGTAGAAAAGATAGGACATTGGGGGTGGGGGAAAACATCAAGAATCCTCTTTGGATATGTCAAATTTGAAATGCCTGTTAGATACTCAAATAGAGTGGTTGAGAAAGCAGTTGTATATATTGGTCTGAGGTCATGGCACTAGTTAATTTGGGGAGTCACTGGCAATAGCTGGTATTGTAAGCGGGGGGACTTGGTGATATCACTTAGGGAGATAAGGTTGAGTGAGAAAAGATGTCCAGGCCTGAGCCATGGCAAATCTTAAAATAGCAGGGGGAGTAGGAAGACCCAGATTGGAGACTGAGCAAGAGTGGCCAGATGCTTTGAGGAAGAATTAGGGAAATAGGTGTCACCAAAGACAAGATAGTGTTTAAAAAGAATAGTCAACTTTGCCTAAACTCTGCTGAGAGGTGGAATAAATGGGGTCTTAAACATGTCCTGTGGAGTTGGAAATAATGCTAGAGGAGTGATAAGGAAAGAATTCATATTTGAGAGAGCTAAAGAATGAAATGGAGGAGAGGAATCAAAATCAGTATGTAAACAGTTTTTTAAGAAGCTTGGATTTACAGGGGGCCAGAGAAAAACACCCAATCCTCCTCCCTAAGCTATGAGTGGAGCCACAGGCTATGAGTCCAGGATGCAGAGGGTGTGGATCTGAGTCTTTTGCTTCATATGATTCTCTGGGTTCTGTGCCTCTTTCCACTGTACTGTCTTTGGTTTCCCGTGATGGCCCATGATTTCTAATGTCAGTGTTGGTGATCGGATTCTTCTGGTCTCATTGCTCAACCTTAATCTAGGCCCCCATCCTATTGTGTCTGGAATATTGCAGTAACCTAAGCTGCTCTCTCTTTCAACCCTTGCCTAGATTTCAATCCAGCAGCTATAAATTAAATCAATCAATAGATCGATCCCTTACAGGTAAGTTATATTGTACCACGTTTTTCTCAAAACTAAACTATGGTCTGTCATCTGGCTCCATCAAAGCCGTACTCATTATCATACCCTACGGGGCCCTCCATGATCTGCAACTCATTTTTTGAAGTCAATTTATCTTTGATTTTATCTCCTACCACACTTGCTTCATTCTTCAGAAGAATGAATACACTGGTCTCCTTGCTGTTTCTCAAACACTCTGGCCCTCCCTGGTCCCAGGGACTTCAGCCTCTGAAGTTATCTGCACCTGAAATGTTTGTTCTTAAATGTCCACAAGTAGAAATCCTTCCCCTCACTGCCGCCCCCACCCCTCTTTTTTTTTTTTGAAACAGGATCTCGCTGTGTCACTGGGGCTGGAGTACAGTGGTGCGGTCATGGCTCACTGCAGCCTCGAGCTTCTAAGCTCAATGGATCCTCCCACCTCAGCCTCCGAGTAGCTGGGACTACAGGCATGCACCAGCATGCCTGGCTGATTTTTGTGTTCTATTTTTTTTGGTGCAGACAGGGTGACAGGGTTTCACCATGTTGCCCAGGCTGGTCTCGAACTCCTGAGCTCAAGTGACCTGCCTGCCTTGGCCTCCCAAAATGCTGGGATTACAGGTGTGAGCCACCACGCCCAGCCTGAAATTCTTCACTTTTTTATGTCTTTGTTTATGTAGTCATACCTATCTGGGCAGTCATATCTAAAATTGTAACCCACTCCTCTCGACACTCTATCTGGGACACGTAGCACTATTTAATAACACTATACATTTTACCATAATCTTTGTCATATTTATTTTCTCCCCACTTTAATGTAAGCTTCATGAGAGCAGAGGTCTTTGTTTCTCTTGTTTACTACCTTGTCTGTAGTGCCCAGAATGGGGCTCCATGCATAGCTGATGCTCAAAGAACAGTTGTAGAATGAATGGATAAAATGATGTGTTAATTACGATACAGTCTCAAATTCCCAAGGTTGCCCAAAGTTCGGGAAAGAGATTCAGCATCCATACAAATTTACTGAGCCCTCACTATGTGTCAGTTATTGTATCTGGCAATTTTAAGTTTATCCATTATTCCTGTAAGGGGATAATCTTATCTGTTTCATAGACGAGGAATCTGTGATTCAGAGATTTTAATGATTTTTCCTTATTGGCCAAGAAATAAGCCACAAAGTCAGGCTTGGGAACCAGATTTAAATTGAGTTGACATGAGGCCTTGTCTCATTACTAGGAGGGGAGAATGGTGAGGAAATGGAGAAAGAAGAAAGTCAGAAAGCAACATTACTTTGCCTTATGGAGACTGAAGGATTTTTTGAAGAGCAGAAGCTGGTGCAATATGGTTTTCTTGTCATCTCATCAGCAGGAAAACTTTTTGGTGCCACTTCTAGTTCTCCAGATGTGAAGGAACCCAACAAACCTTAGCCTTTGCTCTCACTACCCTGGGTACCATTGATTAATTTCTCTCTTCTAAGTTTTTTTTTTCTTTTTTTTTTTTTGAGACAGGGTTCTGCTCTGTCACCCAGGCTAGAATACAGTGTCTCAATCACAGCTCACCTCAGCCTCAACCTCCTGGGCTCAAGCAAACTTCCCACCTCAGCCTTCCAAGTAGCTGGGACTACAGGCATGTGCTGCCATGCCTGGCTAATTTTTGTATTTTTTGTAGAGATGGGGTTTTGCCATGTTACCCAGGCTGGTCTCAAACTCCTGGGCTCAAGTGATTCTCCTGCCTTGGCCTCTCAAAGTACTGCAATTACAGGCGTGAGCCATGGTGCCTGGTGTCTTCTAAGTTTTGACTCACCCATGGCTAGAACAAGCTAATGGCCATGGGCTGACTTATGGCTTCTTCCTACTGCCTTCTCTGTTTGTGTCTTTTGGCTTTCTGTCTTCTGCTAACTGCTGCTATGGTCTGAAAATTGTATCTCCCTAAAATCTATAGGTTGAAACCTAATCCCTGGTGTGATGGTATTAGGAGGTGGGGCCACTGGTAGTTGATGAAGGCTCATAAGGGTAGAGCCTTTATGAATGGGATTGGTACCCTTAGCAAAGAGTCCCCAGAAAGCTGCCTTGCTCTTTGTACCATGTGAGAACACAGCAAGAAAACATCATTTGTGAACCAGTAAATAGATCCTCGCTAGACATTGGATTTGCTGACCCCTTGATCTTGGGCTTCCCAGCCTCCAGAACTGTGAGAAATACATTTCTATTGTTTATAAGCTACCCAGGCTATGGTGTTTTGTTATAGCAGCCTGAACTGACTAAGACACTGGTCACCACTAAATATTGGAACTCCTTGAGAGAGAGGGTTGTTTATTCAACAGATATTTGTTGAGCAATTACTGTGGCTTGGCACTGTTCCAGGCACGCTGGATACCTGAGTATCGTTGCCCTTGCAGAGATAACAGCTGTTAAGCCATATGCTTACACTAGTCTTGGGGACAGCAACATTAGAATTACTGGAAGCTTGTTAGAAATGCAAATTCATGGGATGCACCCAAACCTACTGAATTCCAGTCTCTGAGCATGTGTCCTAGAAAGCTGTGCCTTAAGCTTTTCAGATGCTTCTTTTGTCCATCAACCTTTAAGAACCGTTGCCATATTGAATGCCTTTCCTTGGGCTGTGCGTCTCAGCCTGGCTCACTCAGCTTTGGCAGAAGGTCAGGGCCATTGGTCAGTTTTCCTCTGAAGGGCCTGTTGGAGCGGCAGGCATCTAGAACATAATATAAATTTCTCTGATGAAAACACAGTTGTTTGATGAGCACAGCAGCTACCCTTAGAAATTAGGTTTTCTTCCTCTACTACATAAAGTTTACCAACTTGTTTTTATTACTCTTGCTTCTTCCATTTTTAGCCATTGTTGTACAAATCCATGTACAGAGAGAATTTCAAACAAGACATTCTAGGATGACTGTTCAAATTCTAGTTTTCTCTTCTCTGGAACTTCTGAAGAAGTGGCAGGGTTTCTTGTGAGTTTTTTGAACTGGGAGGAAAAGCTGATGCTAATTGGAAGATACCCAAGGCTATACTTTGTATTAAACAAAGTTATTAAATGCACGCCCTCAGCCAAGATTGCCTTATTCTTTTCTGTGTCTCTATGTCCAAGCTGGCAAGCTCAGGGCTTGGCTTGTCAAGTCTTTCCAGGACTGCTAAACAGAGACTACCCTAGGAAATTCTATTGCCTGACACTTGAGGCATCTATCAAAAAGGAGGAAATTTTGGCAGAATAAGAGTGAACAGGTTTCTGTGACTAAATTAGCTTTTTTTGTTTGTTTGTTTTGGGGGATGACCCTTCATTATACTGTATTTACCTGCAACTTCTGGCTCTACATTTTTCCTCCAAATTAAAATATATGTGTGTGTGTGTGCATGTGTGAAAGAGAGTCTAGAATTCAGGAAATAAAATTTGGTGGCAGGCCATTGTCCCCTCTCACTGCCTGCACAGAAAGATCTGATGAGCAGCTCTAGCTTTCAATCCTGTTCATGAATTGATTGATTGATTTGTTTTTTCCAGTAAGTCAATATTTACTGAGCTGGGCTTCAGGCGTTGGGTTGCGGGGAGCATTCTTGGTGAGCTGTAACATCCATCATGCTTAAGTGGATCCCATTGGCATTTTCTGGGACTGTGACCCTGGATACTCCCTTTGGAGCATCTCATGCTTACCTGTGGCTTCAATTTCGGGACAATGATGACTCAAAAGGTTTCATTTTTAGGTTTCTCCTCTGCGCTTTGGCCACCTATATTCAAATGCTTACTTGACATCTTCACTTGGCTATTTTAAATTCACCTTGCATTCAACATGCCCAAAGACTAGACTCATAACCTTTCCCATACAACTGAGCCCACTATCTGGCATCCACTGTCTCAGTTAAATGATGTAAACGGCCGTTTAGTTGTTCAGTCCAAATTCTGAGATTCATCTTGGAGCTGCTTGTTTCTTTATTCTGTACGGCCAATCTGTCACCAAGTCCTGACAATTTTACCCCTTAAATATCTCTTTAATCTATTAGCTTTTCTGAATATCTACTGATACCACTCTAGCTAAAAAATAATAGCCCCTCTCGTTTTGAAGATGGAAACAGCCTTTCATCTACCTCCTGTGTCCTCTGAGGCTCTGCACCGATCCATTTTCCTCCCCACATCCGGGGGACCTTTCAAAATCCAAAACTGAAGTTATAGCTGTGCTAGAAATCCTTTAGGTGCTTCCCACTGTCTTCAGGGTAGTAATATTAACTATTATTTACTAATGGTAATTGGTACTTGTTGTATACCAGGTACTACCCTAAGTGTTTTACATGTTTTAACCCATTTTCATATGTTACCCCATTTAAGCAAAATTGAAATCTTTGCAATGGCCATAAAGTCCTGCAAATACGACCTCTACCTGCCTCTCCTGGCTTGCCTTTGCATGTGCAATTTCTTCATTACAACTTTTCCCTCTATTATAAAATGTAGTCCCTTCTCAGGCTGGACTTGAAGTGCACTTGCTTCTGGAAACAATCACCTGAATTCTGTGTTGGTGTCTGGACTGATGAGCAACTAACCTCTATGGTTTTGGATAATGAACATCAAGGCCCCTGGTCTGGCAGGGCAGCAGGGTTCTGGTGTCAATTTTACATTGTGATTTGGGCTAGCCACTCTCTGACTCCATTAGGGTGCTTTGATTGCAAGTGTATTCATTTTCATCTTGCTTAAGCAACACGTAGGAATTTCCTGGAAGCATACAGGGCATGTAATAAATCCCATGGGTAGAGTAAAGTGGATTCAGCCTCACAGAGGGCTAAATCCAGGTACCAGACAGCAGTCAGAATGGAGGTTGGAAATCAATGGCATCTTTCTCTCTCCAGGCTGTTGTAAATGTTTTCAATACACTGAGCTCCTACTTCTACATGGGCTAAGGTTCAGTAAGCATCCTAGATGAATTAATATTCCTCTCCTTGGTTCTGAGCTCTGTAAAGAGCTCCTCTGATTGGCCCAGCTGGTGCCAGGGATCAAATCATCATCAGCCAGCAACATTAGGTCACAGACTCTAACCCTGTCTGTTAAAGAGGAAGGCAGGGGCAGCTTGAAGGGAAACAGTGGCTTGGCCAGGAACCCGGAAAGGTGCTGCTTTTGGCCTCAGCTTTCTCATCTTTAAAAGCTTCCTGGGCACCTTGATTTTTCCCCAGCTCACTCCCTGCACAGAGAGCTTGAAGCTCAGTGTCACAGATTACGCCGCGACGCTGTTGAAACACAAACCAAATGCAGCCCCAACTCTAAAGATCTGGGGATTAAGCAGAGAAACCTCTTGTGTCGTCTCAGCAAAGAAGCTGCAAATCCCCTAAGTGCCAGTGACGGGGAGGCTTTGACTGGGGAAACATCAGAGAAATTAAACACTTCACTCCACTCTCATGTCCTATGAGGGGATTTGTGGTTTCAAACAGTAAGCTCGGATGTGTCTTTCGCAAAGCCAAAGCCCTCCATTAGCACAGGAGATAGAATCTAATAGCAGAGGGCCAATGTTGCTGAGGGTGGGGTAGTGCAACAGTGTGCCTGTTCCTGGAAAGCCCCATGCCTCGTGGCTTGACACTAGGTGGAATGCCTCCACCATCCTTTCATTCACAACTTGTGTCTCTCCTTCTACCTGCAATGTTACTGATCCCTATTAGGCAAGTTGTACTCCCTCTCTGCCTCCGCTCCCATGCCAGACCCTCTGTCTGGACAGAAGCCAAATCCTTCCTATCTGTATAGTGAATATTAACCATCCTGAAGGGTTGGTTGAAATGGCACCGTTAAAAAAAAAAGTTGATCAAGGTTATGATTTATATGTCATAAAAACTTTACTACATTAAATGTACAATTCCAAGGTTTTTAGAAAATTTACATCGTTGTGCAGCCATCACTACAATCCAACTTAGAACATTACCTTCTCCCCCAAAAGATCTTTCATGCCCCTCTGTAAATCAATCCCTATTCCGACCCCAAGCCCCAAACAACCACTAATCTCTCTGTCTCTGTAGATTCACCTCTCCGAACACTGGGACTCCCCCTGGCAGTAATTCTGCCCTGTGAGCTTCTACTATCCTTCGTAAGCATTTGCAAAATAATCTGGTATTTGTTGTTTACGTGTATGTTTCTCCACCTACAGTTTAAATACCAAGACCACCTTGTTACTGTGGAGACCTCTGCATGTGGTAGGCAGACCAGAACAGTCTGTGTATGACTGGGCACACACATGAGTTAAATTCACTTGATCTAGAACAAACTTTAATACTATCTCTCTGCTAAAATAGCATAGCTAACTTTTAGTGAGCATTTACTATGTGCCAGATGCCTGCTCAGTGTTTACCTTAATTCTGAGACCTCACGATCCTTATTTAACCTTTACTTAAATTGAAGAGATAGTGATTTATGATTGGCATTTATAGATGAGGAGACTGGGGCGAAGAAAAGAACTTTTAGATAGTAAGTTGTAGTACCAGACCTTAGATCTGGTTCTGTTTAGCCTAGAAATACATTCTGTTAACCACAACACTTCAATGCCTTCCAGCCACTGATGGTTTGCCCATAAGACCCATGCCTAATGGTTTTCCTATGATCTCAGTAGGTCTGTATCCTTTAGATTTCAGTTCGTGTTTTGGTTAGCAAGCACCCCCATTTTGCATCCACTTTGGGTTCCCTCTGAAGGGGTGGGACTGTTCAGAATACTTTAAGGTCAGGAGAATTGCTTGAACCCGGGAGGTGGAGGTTGCAGTGAGCCGAGATTGTGCCGTTGCACTCCAGCCTGGGCGACAAGAGCGAAACTCCGTCTAAAAGAAAAAAAAAAGAATACTTTAAGGTCTTTGACTAACTTAGTGTGAAACTGTTTGATTTTACTGATCAGCTAAATCAACTGCATGCTTTCTTTCCACATTGATTCCTCACAGGCAATGGCCCAGGGAATATGAAGTAATAATAAACTTAGCATTTATAAAGCATTTGGGGAAAAAAATTGCCAGAGAGCTTACTAGAAAAACTGAACTGGATTCTTGGGAATTTTGAAAGATTCATGTTCAGCCTTTTGGGAATGTTGGAAGCAAAGAAAGAAGAAGATGTAGGATGGGCTTGTGACATTTTGACCTTCCATGGCCTTCAGACACTGGCAGAAATGAGGCCCCAGCTCTCTTGGGAGGAATGCCAAAGGGACTAACAATGTGAGCAATAATTCTAACTCTTCTGCCTGCATTCTCTTTCGGGACTAGGGCTGACTTAACCTGGAAAATTCCCGTGACAGCTTTGATCATGCTCAAGAAACTTAAATGCCTGTGTGCTGGCAGAAGATCAATAGAAATGAAGTGGACCCAACATAAGACAATAAGGAGTGGTGAGGAGCATGGTAAACTGGATAGAATAGCTCCCGTCTTCAAGAGGCAGCTGCTCCTCAGCCCCAGCTCGCTGTTTTTCTGTTTTTTTTTTTCCCCGATTTTTCGGATTTATAAAAAGAAGCTAGAAACCTGGATGTTTATTGAAAACCCCTCCATTCCTTTCTCCATTCATCCATCAATTCAGAAAGTGGCTATTGAGCACCTACCATGTTCCAGATCCTGTTCTAGGCACTGAGGATGTAACTGTGATTTGAAAAGACACAGTCTCTGTTCTGATTAATCATTTAGAAACATGTGAAATAGGCTGGGTGCAGTGGCTCACGCCTGTAATCTCAGCATTTTCTGAGGCTGGAGTGGGAGGATTGCTTGAGGACAGGAGTTAGAGACAAGCCTGGATAATGTGGAGATACCCCATCTCGACAAAAAAAAAAAAAAAAAAAAAAAGGTAGCCAGGCATGCCGGTGCTTGCTACTTGAAAGGCTGAGGCAGGAGGATTGCTTGCACCTGGATGTTCGAGGCTGCAATAAGCTATGATCACGCCATTGCACTCCAGCCTGGGCAATATAGCAAGACTCCATCTTTCCAAAAAAAAAAAAAAAATTTAGCCAGGCATTGTGGCCTGTGCCTGTAGTTCCAGCTACTTGGGAGGCTGAGGTAGGAGGATCGCTTGAGCCCACAAGTTCAAGGCTACAGTGAGCTATGATTGCACCATTGCACTCCAGCCTGGGCAACAGAGCGAGACCCCATCTCTATTAAAAAATAAAATAGAAGGAAACATGCAGACCAAAGGGGTCGTATTTTCAGGTCACCAAGGAAAAACAAAGCCAACAACAAAATCACAAAAGTACCCTTAATTATAAATGCAGATGCAGAGTTCTAAATGGGATATCTTCCAATCTAACAAGCACACCTCCAGACCACCTCCTGTAGAATTCATGTGGCCTCCTATGCTTTGCTTCCAAGATAGAGTACTGTCATCTCAGTAGCCTCAAAATCTCCCCTCAGATGTGCCCCACTTTCTTAGTCATCTCCTTAAGAACTTGGGAGCAATAATTGCCGTATGTTTTGAAAGGTTCTGGGTCCACTGTCTCAGGGCCAAATGTTTTCCCTGAACCCTCTCCATGGGCTTTTCCACAGGGCCATGAGTTTGGGGTTCCTCATGACCCACCTTGGGACATGAGCATTCTCGAATTACCAGAATCGATGCAGCCCAAGCCTCTTCTACCTGTAGCCCTGAAAGCGCTTGAGAAGTTCAAGTGCAAAGCTGCTGCTGTGGTAGGAATGGGCACTTTGGGATACTTTACGTTGTATCTGAGCATGGGAACTGGGAGAGAGCATTTAGAGAACTGTAAGTAATTCAGGAAAGGCTTTGGTCCAAGGTGTGCAAGAGTGAACATAGGAAACACGTGTAGAAAAACTAGAAAGGAGAAAGATGGTGAAAGCAACCCTGTTTGGCAGATGACAGGTGAAGAAACTGAGTCTCAGGTGGACCGGCGTGGGGGCTCACGCCTATAATCCCAGCAGTTTGGGAGGCTGACGTGGGTGGATCATGTGGTCAAGAGATCGAGACCATCCTGGCCAATATGGTAAAACCCCGTCTCTACTAAAAATACAAAAATTAGCTGGGTGTGATGGTGCACCCCTGTAGTCCCAGCCACTCAGGAGGCTCAGGCAGGAGAATCACTGGAATCCGGTGAGCTCAGATCACACCACTGCACTCCAGCCTGGCAACAGAGTGAGACTCCATCTCAAACAAACAAACAAAAACAAGAAGAAAAAAAAAAGAAAAGAAAGGTTCAAGGTTATCTTCAGGGGCACATACAGGGAACCAGTACTATCCTCCAGGTTTCCTACCTTCTAATCACACATCGCATCCCACTACTGTCTGGATCCCTTGCCCCATGTGAAGACCAAAGACAGGAAGACAAGCAAGAGTGCTTTGGAAAGAACATGCCCACAAAATAATTGGTCTGTCTCTGAGACCACACCTCTAAGGTGATTTGGGCTCTACTCTGTGGACGCATTTGGAGGCTCAGTTTTCAGCATTAGAATCTCAAGGGCTTCGCACAGGTGACCATCTAGAAGGTTGGCAGCAGGGAAGGAGAGAAAAGAAACAGCTATGTTCAGCTTGTCTGAGAAGAAGGCAAAAACGTGATTCTTTTTAAAAATATATTTCTTTATTTTATATTTTTAAACTTTTATTTTAGGATTGGGGTACATGGTCAGGTTTGTTATATAGGTAAACTTGCGTCATGGGCTTTTGTTGTATGGATTATTTTGTCACCCTGGTACTAAGGCCAGTGCCCAACAGTTATTTTTCCTGATGCTCTCCCTCCTTCCATCCTCCACCCTTAAGTAGGCCCCATTGTCTGTTATTCTCTGCTATGTGTCCAAGTGTTCTCATCATTTAGCTCCCACTTATAAGTGAGAACATGTTGTATTTTGGTTCTCTGTTCCTGTGTGAGTTTGCTGAGGATAATGGCCTCCAGCTCCATCCATGTTCCTGCAAAGGACGTAGTCTTGTTCTTTTTTATGGCTGCATAGTATTCCATGGTGTATATGTACCACATTTTCTTTACCTAGGCATATGAAGAACATGCTTCTGGTTGTGGAAATTTGCAAAGCTGCATGGAAGTGGCCTCACCTAAAGGATATAACTGTTTCTAGATAGTCCTGGATGGAGGCTTCACCTCTCTCAGACCTCTCTAGGCCAGCCCTGTCTAAACTCCAGCCACTCTTACTCCTTTTGTTCTAAAACACTGAAGTGAAATTCAATCTCAAAACCCATATGAGATCTGCTAAGTTCCAGATGGGGAAATGTTAATCTCTCTTCACAGAACTTTCTACTTCCTCTTTCTTTGCCTAATGCTTTAGAATTTTTTTATTTGCAAGTGACAGACACCCGTTCAAGCACTGGGGTAAGCAAAAACCTGATCAATTATCTAAAAAAGTTCAAGGTGTAATAATGGCTTCAGGCATGGCTAGATCCAGTATAATTCAGTCTGACTGCGACCAAGAGGATGTCAACATAAATCTTTCTTTCTCCATCTCTTGCCTGTCTTTTCCTATCTCCTTGTTTCATCCTCAGCCTGGTCCTCCTTAAATATTGACAAAGATATATTAGCCACTCCAGATTTATGTCCTACCGATGTAGGGATCCCAGCAGAATGAGATGACTTCTTTTCCAATGGCACCAGCAAATGTCCGGGTGCTGGCCCTCAGAGGACAACCTGGATCATGTATTTCCATTCCTGATCCAATGACCATGAGTTTTTCCTTCTGAAAAAACAAAAACAAAAACAAAAACAAAAAAAAAACTCAGCTAATTTTTGTGTTTTTTATAGAGACGGGGTCTCACTGTGTTGCCCAGGCTGGTCTTGAACTCCTAAGCTCAAGTGATCTTCTGCTTTGGCTTCTCAAAGTGCTGGGATTACAGGTGTGAGCAACTGTGCCCAACCAAGATGAACTTTCAATATAGAGTTTTGCTCCTTCCCTTTAAAAAACCTCCACCCCGGGAAATGCGGCCTTTGGGGACCGCGTACCTTTCAATGGAATTGTTTCCCCAACAAGCTGCCTTTGGGAAGCAGTGAGACAGCCCTCTGCCGTGTGACCCCTCCAAGCTGGGAAGACTTGAAGGAAGAACAGGAGCAGCCCAGCCCTGCTGCATTTCTTTTCTACCAGCCATGGAGTCCTTGTTCTCTGTGCTTCCCCTCCCTACAGAAAACAGTGAACGAATGTCCCCCTGACCTTGCCCTCTGCCAGGCCCATGGCTTTCATGCACTTAGGGGATGCATTTTTATTTCTTTGCAGGAACAAGGCCTAAAAATAGATAAAGTGCAGGGCACAAACGATAACCATTCAATGTATTGACCCAGCTGTGAGTTTATCTTGGTGAAATTCAGATTCGCTCTTTATTCCCGAAAGCAAAAGCACCTTCAATGGGCAGTTATGGAGGCATTACCAGGGCCATTTGGCAATAAAATGTGACTGACTTCATTATGCAGGATGGAGACAAGAAATAGCTGATCTTAAATCACAGGGCCACTGACCAGGATGCACTTGGCACAGGTCTATGCAGATAGATTCTGTTTGGTGGGAAGCAGTGCTACAGAAAGGGAGTCTGTTATTAAAATGCAGAATTCGTTTAAGTCCTTTGGTTTAGCTTATTGCCAAAAGGTAATTTATGTGTAATGTGTAGTAAGCCATATGGCTCTGTCTGGGGGCTGCTCCTGCTATTCCTTCAAGTCTTCCCAGCTTGGAGGGGTCACATGGCAGAGGGCCGCCTCACTGCTTCCAAAAGGCAGCTTGTGGGGGAAACAATTCTATTGAAAGGGACATGGTTCCTAAAGGCTGAATTTCCCTGGGCTGGAGGTTTTTTTAAAGGGAAGGAGCAAAACTCTATATTGAAAGTTCATCTTGGTCGGGTGAAGTTGCTCACACCTGTAATCCCAGCACTTTGAGAGGCCAAAGCCAAAGATCTCTTGAGCTTAGGAGTTCAAGACCAGACTGGGCAATATAGTGAGACCCTGTCTGTACAAAAAATACAAAAATTAGCTGGGTGTTGTGGCAGGTGCCTGTAGTCCCAGCTGCTTGGGAGGCTGAGGTGGGAGGATCGCTTGAGACCAGGAGGTCAAGGCTGCAGTGAATTGTGATTGTGCCACGGCACTGCAGCCTGGCTGCAGGGCAAGACCTTGTCTCATAAAAAGAAATGTTCATCTCTCTGCTCTGTACTTGGTGCTCTCTATCCCCACAAATTGCAATGGGGCAATAGAAGGGCTCCATGAAGCAGTTTGCTACTTATTACTTCCTTGCTGATATCTTACCTCCATTTTTTAGCCTAGGGGAGGAGTGGTAACTGCCATTTTTTTTGCCCCTGCCTCTTGTCAAGTCTAGTTGAGACCTTCACATTCTGGATCTCATGTCAACCTAACAACATCCCCATGTGACATGTTATTACTCCCACTACCTCAAGGTACTGTCTCATACTCTGATGGACAACAAAAACTGATGACAATACCTGGTATATTAGATGCTCACTGCAAGCCAGACACTGTGCTTAGCACTTTAAATGCATGATCCTATGTACCCTTCACAAAATCCTTAAGAGGTGCTTACTGCTATCATCCTATTTTACAGAGGAAGCGTCTGAGGCTTAAGAAGGTGAAAGGACTTCTTCCAGGCAAAGCAGCTCCTAAGTGGCAGACCTGGTCTTTAAACTCAGTTCAGCTTGGTTTCTAAACCTAGACATTTTCCAGACAGGGAAGGTGAAATTTAGGTGCTGAGTTTTCTCTAGAAGTGGGAAGAGAGAGCGGATCTCAGACACAGTAGATCATTTTCAATTCCTCCCTCCTTTAGCTGTCAATGATGGCAGGTAATCAGAGCCTTTCTGTTTATTCAGGTGTCTGCTTCCAGATTTCTTTGTCCCACATTTTGCCAGAGAGACTTGGGGTGATTCACACCCAACAGTTGAAACTCATATTTTGCTTCTCGGTATCTGTTTCCTTCTGAAAAGCTGCTCTCCCTCAATGCTGCTGTCTAATTCTCCTGCACTCAGACACCCAGCTCTCAGGCAATCTCATTAAACTGGCTTTAATTACTTATGTGGAGGCGAAGAGGAAGACTTCTCATATGGCTCTTCACCACAGCCATTATTGATTGGCTGCCGAGAGGTTTCTGTTAGACAGCGGATTAGAAAAGGTTAGTTTCTCTAATTCTCTAACACTCTTCCTGGTGATAATTGGTTCCCAGGTGAAACATAATCTCAAACAGAGGTGTCTTGAACTGGCTTTCCACCTTCCATAGCATTTGAAGTGAAGTTTAGCACTGCTGAAAAATCTAGATTTCCACCATTTCTTAGAGTGGAACACAAAATTTTAGATGCCACAGCGAGAGTAGGCCTCTCTTTATGAACTCTCTGGCAGTTGTCACATTTTATCTGCTTGTATTTTCTCCCCATTTACTAGAAGGGCAAATCACAGCTGGTGTATTGGTTTTGCATTGCTATAAAGGAATATCTGAGACTGGTAATTTATAAACGAAAGAGGTTTATTTGGCTCATGTTTTTTCAGGCTGCTCGTGATGCATGGTGCTGGCATATGTGTCCGGTGAGGCTTCAGGAAGCTTCCAACCATGGCAGAAGGTGAAAGGGAGATAGTGTGTCATTTGGGGAGTGAGGGAGAGAAGGAGGAGGTGTTGGGCTCTTTTAAACAACCAGATCTCCTGGGAACTCATAGAGCGAGAACCCACTCATTACCACAAAGCCAACACCAAGCAATTCATGAGGAATCCACCCCCATAACTCAAACACCAGGCCCCATCTCCAGCATTGGAGGTCGCATGTGAACATGAGATTTGGAGAGGGAACCATATCAGCTGGTTTTCCCAGTGCCCATGAATATCTTCACCTCTATCTTAGAAAGGGTCAGATGAGTCCTGAGACGCCTTTCAACCTTGAGGCCCTTGATAAATCTTGGGAGGAGGTTCCTGCTTCTCAGGCAGATATGTTTTGACTGGTTTGTAAGTGTCTGCTTCCTCCTTGGCTCTTTTAGCCTGTTAGTCCTCTGAATACTGGCAAACGTTAGTGCATTAGGAGTAGGTAACTAGGCTGAGATGTAGGGTCTAGAAGCAATTACCCATTAGAAGGGGTTGAAGAAACTGAGGTTGTTGATATGTGGAAGGAAAACAGTCTGTCTCCCCTAGGGAGAAATAAGAGGCAAAGACCTCATAGCACAGATGCCCCAACATGAGACAGAAGTGGCCATTACACTTCTTTGTGGTTCCAGAGGACAGAATTGGGTCTAATGGACAATGAAGGGAGGTTAACGAGCAACTATGACTTTTTGAGAAAGAGCATTAATGATTGGTTTTATCAGGAAAGGCAGCTTTGCAGCATTGTGGGCTCCTGGATACTGGGGATGGACAGGCCGAGGTGCTTTTCTGCTGAAGCCTCAGTTGAGGTGCATATAAAGGCATCTGGATGTGGTGATCTTGTAGCTCTGGGCAGTTGACTTAGTGTCTTAGAGAAATGCAGGAGACAGCAGAGTTTGTGAATGAGGCTGCATGTGGACTGCACCAAACCGGAGAACACTTTCCCTCCATGCTGAGCCTCTGCTGGTTGCTGTGATTTGGTAACATGGGTCCACTGTTGCCAGGTATTTGGGATTTTTTAATGTAAACTTTATGTTTCAGAGAAATTTCAGGTTCACTGCAAAATTGAGTGGAAGATACAGAGATTTCTCATATATTCCCCTGCCCCCGCAACCACGCATAGCCTCCTTCATATGGTTTGGCTGTGTCCCTACCCAAATCTCATCTTGAATTGTAATCCTTGCAATCCCCGCATGTTGAGGGACGGAAGTGATTGGATCATGAGGGTGGTTTCCCCCATGCTGTTCTCATGATAGTGAATGAATTCTTACGAGATCTGATAGTTTTATAAGTGTCTGGCATTTCCCCTGCTTGCTTTCTCTCTCTCCTGCCACCGTGTGAGAAGGTCCAATCACCTTCCACCATGATTGTAAGTTTCCTGAGGCCTCCCCAGCCATGTGGAACTGAGAGTCAATTAAACCTCTTTCCTTGAAAAATTACCCAGTCTCAGGTATTTCTTTATAGCAGTGTGAAAACGGACTAATACACTCCCCCATGATCAACATCCCCCACCAGAGTGGTACGTTGGTTGCAACTGATGCACCTACATTAACTCATCATTATCATCCAGAGTCCATAGTTTGCATTAGGGTTCACTCTTGGTGTTGTCCATTGTATAGGTTCAGACAAATGTATAATGGCTTGTGTCCATCATTATAGCATCACACAGAGTATTTTCAGTGTCCTAAAAATCCTCTGTGCTCTACCTTTTTATTCTCCCCTCCCCCAGCTCCTGGAAATCACTGGTATTTTTACTTTACTCATGGTTTTTCCTTTTCCAGAATGTCATATAGTTGGAAACATATAGTATGTGGGCATTTTCAGATTGGCTTCTCTCACTGAGTCATATGCAGTTAAGGTTCCTCTGTGTCTTTGTGGCTTGATCACTCATTCCTTTTTAGTGCTGAATAATATTCCATTGTCTGGATGTGACACAATTTGTTTATCCATTCACCTGCTAAATGACACCTGGTTGTTTCCAAGTTTTGGCAATTATGAGTAAAGCTGCTATAATGTTTATATGTTTATAGCATATTTGGACTTTTTAAAAAGATAGACATTGAGACATTTATGTGAAATCTCCCACGTTAAAAAAAAGTCAAGTTAAAAAAATAATTTCTGGGACTCAAAAAAGTATACTGAGATACTAGACTTTTTTTTAATTTTTGAAAACTAATTTTGAAAATAGGGAAGAGGTCTTGCCATGTTTCCCAGGCTTGTCTCCTAAGCTGAACTTCTGGGTTTAAGCCATCCTCTTATCTTGGCCTCCAAAAGTGCTGGGATTACAGGCATGAGCCACCACATCCAGCCGAAATACTAGAATCTCTTGACTTCTGCTGAGCAACTGAGGGATAATCTCCATGATGGTCCTGTTGACAAGAAAGGGATGTATTTAGGTGATAATGATACCATTATGTGGATTTCCAGCAGGAATGGATATTTCTTTCAGCACCTGGAGAGAGACTTCCTTTAATGATCCTTGGGGTTCTGTGTTCGATTCTGTCCTACTAAGTGATTTGGTGGGGACCTAGAAGGCTCACTAATCAGATATGCAGATGATACAAGGCTGGGTGTGGTAATTACTGAGACATGATGAAATCAGGATTTAGAACCATCTGATCAAGTTAAAGCGCTAGAGAGACACCAGTAAGTTGACATTTAGTAGGAACTCATGCAAAAATCTTGTGTTAGGTCTAAAGTACAAGTTACTTTCTCAAAAAATGAGAAGAAAAGCCAACTTGGAATGTGTTCATGTAAAAAGAGAAAAATAAGATCTAAGAAGTGTTGTTTGATCTCAAGATGAATTTAGCGAGTAATTAATAAAGATCATAAAAAAAGGTTAAAGCTGAAAATACATAGATGGTTACCCATTCATCAGCTGCTACACAGCATTTTCTCTGTGTCAGGGAATGTGCCCCTTGCAGGGAATAAAGAGATGAATAAGGCTGGTCCTGGCCCTTAATACACCTTGAGGAACTCACAGCAACAGATTAGGATGCATTGTAGTCCAATGGGATAAATTCTGCAGATGAGGTTTCTGCAGAAAACTGTGGGACTCTAGGAAATATAGGAACTGCTTTTGTAGCATAATATAATTTCACGTAGCAGGCAAGATAGAGTTTTGGAAGGAAGAACGGAAATGGAAAGTACAGTTGCAGGTGTAGTGGTAGTAGATATTTGTGCTTTGTACCACCAAATATTTGGCATTTGGCATTAGAAGACTGTAGACATCTCTCAGATTTTGTGCTTTGGATAAGATTGGTTCAGAGCCATGGAATGCATGACTGGCTCAGATAGTCAGGACATGGTATCTTTTGGCCACTCAAGTTGGAATCAATTAGGGACAAGGTCATACCTTTCTGGGACTTTTTCTTTTTTTTTTTGGTCAATAGGAAAATTGAACATCTGTCCAACTGGTTGCCAACAAAAGAGAAAGTAGGTGGAAGAACTAATGTAACTGTGGGGTGAGTTAATGGAGGGTAAGAATGGCACCAATATCAAGGAAATACAGACAGAAATGAAGAAAGGGACATTCTGTCCTACTATTATCAGTTGAACCCTAGACCAAGTTGAACTTGAAATCTTACCCATAGACTATTTATTTTTACAAACCTGTTGATTCTATTTTTGTTATATCACTTGAGCTGAACATTTTCTCATTTCTAAATAAAGGGACTCCTACGTGATCTTATTTACCTGTAGTGGTTGGTTGTAGCAAAGAAAGGGCATTCCAGGCAGAGGAACAGGAGCGTAGGAAAGCCTGTGCTCAGAAGTGTAGGAAAGCCTGCGAGTTCATGAAACCCCGAGTGGTGGTGTCACTGGTTTTGTAGAGTGTCCTGGCGAGAGGTGCAGCTGGAGGGCTAGGTGGAAGCTGGATTATGATGGGCCTGAGGACTTTCCAGAGTATGCTGTTTCATGTTGCCTGGTTGACAATGAGAAGCTTATCACAGCTTATGATTGGGGCATAGCTCTGATGTGCTGTGCAAGTGTTTTCAGAATGTACAGAGTATTTTTGTACTCATTTACCCCTTGTATCTTCCCATTGACACAGGGAAGTTGGTAAGTATATCTGTTTTGCAGCTTCAGAAACAGGAATGAGCAGATTCAGCAATTAGCCCAAAGTTACCTAGTGAAGATTCCCAGCTCTGCAGTGTTGAGGGCTCTGTTGGTGGAAATGGGTGGTGTGCTGACCACAAGGCAGTAGGAGGGAAATGCGCAGGGTTGGAGACATCTAACTGGGCTTTCTGGGGCAACCAGAAATCTTTGGGTTCAGCAGTGGCAAAGTTCTTCAGCTCCACAAGTGCTTCTGAATTCAGATTCTACTAGCAGGTGTTGAAATATACCAAACCTGACCCAAACAACTGTATCCTCTCCCCAAAGTCAAGCATAGCATTAGCAGTAGTCACCAATCAGGACAGCTGGGCCCAGCAAGACAAGAAGATCAGAGCAAACTGAAACAAAGAACATAATTCTGGACACACAGGAGGCCCAGGAAAGCTCTCCGGAACAGCTGGGAGAGAGTTGGAGGACCTCAGGCCATAATAATTTGAGTCTGCAAGAAGAGCGTAATCTCATTTTGTAGTTGCAGGCAGATGAGATTGGGGACTTTCGAGTTACATATATTTCATTGTCTTTTTAGGAAAAAAATAAGTGTGCATCTTCTGCCAGGGATCCATGCATCTGTGTAAAACCACAGGCAGGAGCTCGCACATCTATCTCTTGCTCAACAATACTGAGTATATTGGAAAGATTGCTGCTGTGATAGGGAGCTGGTACCTGTTCTTAAGAAATAAACAGAAATGAAATACTCCCAAGGTTTTATCTATGGTATTAAAAAAAAAAAGGAGAAGAAAAGCAAAAGGCCATTTTTAAATTTCCAACATGTGCTAAACTCCTTCCTGCCTCAAGGCCAGTGCACCTGGTATTTCCTTGGCCTTGAACTCTCCTGCCTCCATTTTCCATGTCCCCTGTCTACTTCCCCTTTTACTGCAGGCTCAGCTTAAATATCACATTATCAGGGAAGTCTTCTTTGATCACTTGGACAGGGCAGATTTTTCTATTATTTGTTTTAATGGTGCTCTCTGATTTTCTTTGGAAGCACTTCTCACCTTTGCAGTTCACAAGCAAAGGAGGTAACTGTTGGCTTATACCCCCTTTCTCCTGCTAAACCAGACGTTCTGCAAGGGGAATGTCTGTCTCATGCTGTGTACCTAGAATCTAGTGCAATGTCTTGTATTTAGTTAGTGATCAGCGATGATCAGTGATGGCTGAATGCATAAATTTGGCCCTCTTACTCCAAATTAGAATCGTTTAACCACTATTAATTGTTTGGCTGGTAGTTCCTGCATGCAGAGACCAGAAACACACATACCTCATTGGGCCAGGTGGGGATGGTGGTGGGGAATAGATGCTACACTGCATGGACTATTTGTTGCCCTATAAGCAATGTAGACCCAAAGTAACCAGATCTTACAGGTTTTTAAGGAAAGTTTTGAGACATTGATTTTATGGGTACTCTTTCAACTTTTAAATGCTGACAGCATTTATTATTATTATTATTATTATTATCATTATTATTATTATTATTATTATTGAGACAGAGTTTCACTCTTACTGCCCAGGCTGGAGTGCAATGGCATGATCTTGGGTCACCACAACCTCCGCCTCCCAGGTTCAAGCAATTCTCCTGCCTCAGCCTCCCGAGTAGCTGGGATTACAGGCGCCCACTACCATGCCTGGCTAATTTTTGTGTTTTTTAGTAGAGGTGGGGTTTTACCATGTTGATCAGGCTGGTCTGGAACTCCCAACCTCAGATGATCCGCCCACCTCAGTCTCCCAAAGTGTTGGGATTACAGGCGTGAGCCACCGTACCCGGCCATTATTTTTGAAAGGTAAACATCCTGTTTGTCAGCTTGCTTTCTGTGGAGAGACGCTTGCCATACTTGCCTCTTTGCACTGCTCAGGCTGCGCTGGGAGGGGAGCATTCTGTCCTCAGTGCCATTTTAAAACGTGTTCACTGGAAACCACAGGCAAAAATAGGGCAGCCAGAATGAGGAAGGTTTGGAAATTATGCCATGAAGGGAGCTATGGCCCCAAATGCAAATATTTAACGTGACTTTTCAGCTTTGCTGCCTGGCTCTCCCAGTTTGATGCCTAATTTACTGGATAAGACTCTGGACCCCAAAGTGCCCCGGGAGTTACAACCATAAATACGTGGGATGGTAGGTAGGTAATAAGGCTGATTATTCACAAATATGTTGGTTCTTATGCACCCACATGGATGTGATTCCTCTCCCAAGCAGACCTCGGAGGAGGTCAGAGCTTTATTCCGATTACATGGCAATTTCCCAGCTATTCTGGGAACTGCTCTTTGGAAATTGCCATCAGAGCCTGAACATAATTTTTAAATGTCCTCAATTGTGAGAAATCTCCAGATTTGATTTTTTTTTTTTTTTTGAAACAGCTAAGAGTTATTTGGAGCTAAGTCCAGTGAATTAGTCTGATGATTAAGCTATTCTGGGGCCACTGTGATGTACGATTAAGCCTTAATAAGAGCATGGTCAGGATAAGGCATGCTAGGGTTAGGCACCAGGCCAAAGAGGAGGAGGAAAGAGAAGGTACCAAGTAGAATCCTGGTTAGTATGGATTTAGGCTATACTTACTTGGTTCCAAAATGCCCAAGATGTCAAGGCAAAGCATAACTGAACATGGTTCAGAAGGGATTTACAACATGAGCAGGGATTTGCAGAATGAACCAGAATGTTGGAGTTCGTTCCAGCTATGCTGAGAGCTGGGAGAGCTCTCATGTTTGGGAGAGCTCTCATGTTTAGGCAAGTCTGCAAGCCTTGACCAGGGGCATGGACAGCAGAGCCAAACTCCTGGAGAAGAAGATTTGCAAGAACTATGCACAGATCATAATTCGAGGTTAGGGAGAGTACTCCAGTTCTCTTGGGAGGTTGGAGCATGAAGTAGGTTGACTGTATGGATGAAAGTGCCAATCCAGGCAGAAGGTTTGCATTCAGAGTGAACATAAAACTCCTAACCAAGTCCTTCACTGCCCAAGTGATGTGTTTTCTGGCTTCCTCTCCATCTTCATCTCCCCCCAGCTCTCTCCCTTGCTTTCTGAACTTTAACTGGAAAATCCAACCAATGGTTTTCTTTCTGTTTCTTGAGCACATCTAGTTCATTTCTGTCCCAGGGCTGTTTGTCCTTGCTGTCCTGCCTGGGATACTCTTACATTAGATTGTTAGATTTTCACTTGTCTGGCTCTTTCTCATGTAAGTCTCATCTCAGCTGTTAATTTCTGACAAAGGCCTTCCTGCACCATTGAGACCAAAATAGTTCCTCCCCACCCCAGGTACTCACAACCCAATACCCTGTTTTTTTGTTTTGTTTTGTTTTTTTGTTAGTTTGTTTGTTTTGAGACGGAGTTTCGCCCTTGTTTCCCAGGCTGGAATGCAATGGTGTGATCTCAGCTTACCACAACCTTTGCCTCCCAGGTTCAAGCATTTATCCTGCCTCCTGAGTAGCTGGGATTACAGGCATGCATGACCACATCTGGCTAATTTTGTATTTTTAGTAGAGACGAGGTTTCTTCATGTTGGTCAGGCTGGTCTTGAACTCCCACCTCAGGTGATCTGCCCCACCTTGGCCACCCGAAGTGCTAGGATTACAGGTGTGAGCCACCGTGCCTGGCCAATACCTGGTTTTTTATCCTTGTGGCATACCCAGACTTGCATTGTTATTTGTGAACTTCTTTATTTTCTTTTTGTTTTTTTGTTTGTTTTGTTTTTGTTTTTGCTTCGTTTTTGTTTTTGTTTTTCTTTCTGTTTTGAGACGGAGTCTTGCTCTGTCACCCAGGCTGGAGTGCGGTGGTGCAATCTCGGCTCACTGCAAGCTCTGCCTCCGGGGTTTACGCCATTCTCCTGCCTCAGCCTCCTGAGTAGCTCAGATTACAGGCACACGCCACCACACCCAGCTAATTTTTTGTATTTTTAGCAGAGATGGCATTTCACTATGTTGGTCAGGTTGGTCTCAATCTTCTGACCTTGTGATCCTCCCACCTCAGCCTCCCAAAGTACTGGAATTACAGGTGTGAGCCACCATGCCTGGCCAACTTCTTTATTTTCTATCTCCCAGAACTAGAATAGAATTCTGTGTGGGCAGGATCTTTGTCTGATTGTCCTCTCTTTTATCCTCAGTTATGACGCATGATAGGGGCTCATTCAATATTTGTTTAATGACTCAACAAAGGAACAACAGCTTGGACCATAGGATAGAATTAGCTCATTTAATGTAGGGGTTGAAAGAATTTGGGGGATGAATAGAATCAGCTCGCATCACTTGGTCCTGGGTCTGTTGGCAGCAAGACATAGATAGTGGGGCCTGTACCAATTGATGGATTTCAGAACTCAAGCATGTTGTAGGTCCTGGTGCCCCTAACCTGGAGACTGGGGGGAGGAGAAACAAGAGATGATGGGATATCCATTGCACAATGAATGATATAAAGAGTGGATTCTGAACAATCTGGCCGATAGAATTCTTGGAAGAAGTGAGTCACCAACCAGTGAAGAGTTCTGAATGTTTGTTGAGCAATGAGTCTCTAAGGGTTATAATCACATATCTTATTATATTTCCTCCTCTTTGACAGCCGTAGAGAGAAGGGTCATCTGGAAGTACAGAGAGGTCCTCTGCCATTCAAAATCCTTTCTCAAAGAGTACTGAAAAACAGCACTTTCATCACCCCAGGCTGGCTTACTGTTTAAAACAGGCTGTCTCTTCATAGAATTATTTCCTTAGGTCCTTGAGGCCTTTATTTTATATTATTCTACTGTGTCATCACTTCCTTTTTTTTTTTTTCTTTCCTTTTTTTTTAGAGGCAGGGTCTTTCTCTGTTGCCCAGGCTGGAGTGCAGTGGTGTGATTGTGGCTCACTGCAGTCTCGAACTTCTGGGTTCTAGTGATCCTTCTGCCTCAGCCTCCCAATTAGCTAGGATGACAGTCATCCACCATCATCCCTGGCTAATTTTTTAAAAACTTTCCTTAGAGACAGAATCCTGCTATGTTGCCCAGGCTGGTCTTGAACTCTTGGCCTCAAGCAATCCTCCCACTTCAGCCTCTCAAAGTTCTGGGATTACAGGTGCAAGCCACCATGCCCGGCCTGCCTGTCTTGCTTTTAAAATAAACTCTGTAGTACCTGGAGAGTGTTTTCTTTCTTTATCTTAAAACGTTAATAAACCAAGCAGTTCAAAAAACAATCCTCTTCATTAAAGCAAAATGATAACACTAACCATAACCATAATTCTAATAATAAAAATCTGGAAAATTGAGCCCCTGCCAATTGCCACTTATCAACTATATTTTATTTTATTATTTTATTTTTCTCACCAGCCACATTTTAAATGCTGAGATATTCTTAAGCATCTGGGGCATGGAAACTTTTTGTACCAAGATATCCCTTGGAAATATATATGGAGGACATAACAGGTGTTCCAACATGAAGGATGGATTAAATAAATTGTAATACATTGAATCCAGGAAATATGGAATAGTTCTGAATACTCTGGAGCAACATGAGGTGCTGTTTATAATATCAGTGGTAAGTGCAGGTTACAAAGTGTAGAGTCTCACAGTGCTTAACCACTATGTAAAAGACACTAATGAGAAAAGACTCAAAAGGAAGGCAGAAAAAGTCTCATATGGCAAATACTGGATGACATTTTGGGGCTATTGAAAATATGGGTGGCTTTATGTCTGTTCTATTACTGAAATGTTTAAATGTGGGTATAGTACTTATGTTTAAAAAAAAATACTGAGGATGATTTCTTGTAAAAGCAAAATTATTCTTGTAAAGTACTCACAGTCAGGGTGGATGGCTGAATAGAATACCAAACTCCATTACGAATTCCATTTTTAGCTCTGTTATCAAATTCTGATGTAAAACCAACTACAACATAATCATGGTAATAAGCAACATTTGTATACCATTTTACAATTTTCCAAGGGCATTTTCATGAGCAGTCTTATTTAATCCTCACAACAACGTGGTGAGATTTAAGAACTATTGGACTGGGTGAGACCTATGATGGTTTCTGCTTCGTGGCTTGTTTATCCTTATCTGCTTGGCATTTTCCTACACCAGAGCTTAAAAGTACTTCGTACATTTAGATATTTAACTATAAATCGCTTTCAGATGATTTATAAACTCTTTAAATGTGCCTAGTGTCAGCAATGATTCTGGGGAAATCTTTCTTTAAGAGATGTGGTAAATTTCCCTGCTTCTTGTTACTTTCCTCCTCCTCCCCTCCCCTCTCTTGTCCCTAGTTGCTGATCCACAGTGAAAGAGCCTCTTTTTCCACATTTGTTAGTGCGGCAATTTCCTTACTCCCTAGTTCAGCCAGGTCTGAGTTCTTGTCCCACAACCAAGAAGAATAAGGCACGCAGACACTGGAGAGTGGGTAAGGCAGAATAGGATTTATTAAGTGACGGAAAAGCCCTCAACAGCAAGAGGGGACCTCAAAGTGGGTTGCCAGGAATGGAGCAAAGTTCTGGGTCTTTTATGTGGCAGAAACAAGGAAGTTTTCTTTGGATTCTCCCTTAATGAAAGGGGTAAAGTTCCCCCCTGGGAATGTTGCCACCTGCACATGGTTGGGGTTGGCCATAGTGACTCCATCTTGGTTATTACCCATGAATGCCTAAGCAAAACCCCCTGGGGGGTAGGCACTAAAACCACAATTTTAATGTTTGTTAATGATATTGTAATGAGCTGGGTTAAGTTAAGGACATTTACATTGATTTATTATGACTGGGCCTAAGTTGAGACATTCCCTTCTGAGCAAACATCCTGGCATAAGAGGAGATTCTTAACTACATTTCACCCCATGAGCTACCTAACAGGTGTGGTGTGGGTGTGGTCCCATGGGTGTTTTTCTTCTCCCAAGACTCTCCCTCTCTATCTTCCTACCCGTCCTCTAACTGCCTCCTCTTTCATTATAAGTTCCTTGATACCCAGAGGTAGCACAGGGCTAGGAATGGGTGCCCAATGACCAGTCATCAATAAAAGCCCCCAGAAGCCTCAGCCAGGCGTCTGGAAACCTGGGTGTCTTTCTGAGGGAATCTCCCTTTTCAAGTATGATTTCACTCAACTGAGTTCCTTGGCTTCCATGTTACTCATTCATGCTTATTTGAACAACTCGACTTTAAAAAATTCTTTTAATTTCATAAAATGTTACTATATTATCCTCTGTGGAAAACAAAACAAAACAAAACAGAATATTAGATAGTGCTAAAATTCCCACTGATCTCCTGTACTTAATTCCAGTTCCCACTCCATCCCCAAAGATGACTGCTGTTAACCATTTATAGTATAATGTATCAGACCATCTCCTACATGCTTACAAATATATGGCTGCAGAAAATGCACAACACACAATATTATTATTGTGCATATTGTATATTATTGTGCATATTGAGTGTGTGTACTTAAGAAAATTATAACATACTGGCCATGTAATTTGATAAATTGCTTTTTCCCCCCTTTCTCAATAATATGTCTTGGAAGTATTTACATGTTAATGCATTTTTCATGATTGCATAATATTCCATAGATGACTACACCAGAGTTTGTTTAGTCAGTCCACTAGTACTAAATTTGGTTCCCAGGCTTTTGCCATGATGAACGCACTGTAGTGAACTTCTCATTATACACCTTCTTTTGTACCTGGGTGAGTGTCCTTTGGTATATTCTGAGAATAATAATTGCTGCATCACAGTAAATATGTGTCATAATTTTTAAAAGATAATGCCAAGGTGCTTCTCAAAGCAGTCAGTACAGTTTCTACTACTGCAATGTCCTCGCCAACTTTTGTTATCAACTACTTGATTTTTCTGTTCTGCAAGATTTATTCAGTCTGTGATACCACTGCAGTTGATTTTGGGATTGTAATGAAATGAGATCATATACCCTGGCACTCTACTTGCCTACTGCCCATTTTCCAAAACTCAGTTTCTCCATGTTGCCATAATGCCCATGTGTAACAACCCACCTTTCCATTCCACCTTCATTCAGATACAGGCTTCCATCTTCTGACCAAAATGAACCTAGCATATTGATCATTTATTGAATTCATTTATTCATTTCACAAATATTACATGATTGATAGATTCCCTTTTTTCCCTAGCACCCATTCAAAATGAAGTTATCATTCTGTCCTACCCATGGTCTCTTTTATTGCCAGATCCCAATTCCTAGTCACTTCCAAAGGAAATCCAGACAGTCTTTGCTTAATACTATGAAGGGGCTTAAACAGTATGTTCTGCCGCCAGCCACTCTTTCTGCTGTTCAAGAAACTCATTTCTTGTGCATCGATTTTGAAGGTGATGGTGTAGACAACCTGTCGAGAGAGTTTGCAACATCCAGATGTTTTCATCCTCTTCCAATTGCAGGAGGCTTTTGGATTGTAAAATTACAGTGCAGATGTTGAGGGACATGGGATGAACACCCATCACATAGATTGGCCATATTGCAGTGTGTTAAGGTCATATTTCCTGGTGGATAATAACAGATTGATAATGCATTCGCACCACACTGCTGCTTTGTGAGAGATCTGTCTTGGCAAAGTCTCAGAGAAATCAAGGGAGAGTTGAAAGGGCTGATGTAAGGAAGAGGGATTAGTTATGTTCTTGTGTGCTTTGGGCAACCAGAGTAATCCATTGTCTTCTCTGCTATCTAAGCTATCATCCCACAGCATTCTTTCACTCCACAGATTTCACTGAGCATCAGCAATGTGCCAGGGAGTGTGCAAATGCTGTGGATACAAAGACAAGGGGGAAAAAAGACCCTGTGGCTGCTCTCAGGAAGCAGACAAGTTAGTGGCAGACATGGACACAAATCAAATTTTATGCACAAATGTGAAATTGCAACTGCAATAAGTGAAATGTAACAGAAGTGCATGGTGCTAAGAGCATAGGGAACGGGGGCAATTTACCTAACCAAACAGATCAGGAAAGGCTTCTGGGAGGAAGTTACAATGCAAGTGAGAGGTAAGTAGGCAAAGAGATAGGGAAAAAAAACACTTCTAGCAGCAAGGAAGGCAGGTGCAAAAGTCTTGTGGCAAAAAAGTAGTGCACACTCAAGGAACTGAAGGGCAGTGTGATTGGGAGCAGCATGCAAGGGAAAGCATAACACCCAATGTCCCAATGTGGTTGGGGAGCTGAGCAGGGTCCAGACAGAAGGGCCTTGGATTATGTGAAGGGTTTGGGGTTTTGTCCTAAAAACAATGGAATACATTAGAAAGGTATTAAGCAAGTGTGTGTGTGTGGTGATGGGGAGTGGAGCTAGTGACTCCATTTATATTTTGAAAAGATGGCTCTGATCGCAATGTGGAAAATCAAAGGCATTTCATTTCATGGTTCTCCATAAAATCATTTGAAGACTCTCCATTGCTGTCAGGATGAAATTGAAAAACTTCAACATTGTTTTTAGGACATGACCCAATATGGCTAATGTTAACTTTAAATCCTCATCTCAGAAAATACTCCATTATCCATGTCACGCCCAGCAAGTCTAACAACTTGTTGTATTAGTCAGTGATTGCTGTGATAATGCTGTGTAACAACCCCCTCCGCAAAAACTCCAAATCTCAATGGCCCACAACAAGCATTCATTTTTCTCCTTCATGAGTCTGTGAGTTGGCTCAGGCAGTGCTGCCTCAGATTGTGGACTGCGTTCAGGTCTCATTTATTTGTTTCTTATTCTGCAATCCATGCGGTCACCCAGGTCATGCTTTATTTTTTTTTAATGCAAAATCACAAGTATAAGCAGCCAAGCCAAACCACAAACGCCCATTTATAGTCTCTGCTCATGTCATCTTTGTCAGCATTTCATTGGCTAAAGCAAGCCCAGTGTCAGTGCAGTGGGAAGTACAGCTTTTTTGGAACGAGAGAGGAAGGATGGAAGAATTTTGAATTAATAATGCAACCAATTGCACTTGCTCTTACTTACATCATAGTATATGTGGGTGGTCAAGTGTAATGTTTAGGAGTGCAGGCTTCGAGGCAATGCTTTGTGGCTTTGAGTCCTGGCTTTAAAACTTTCCAGCTGTGCAAGTGTGGGCAAATAATTAATTTCCTGGTACATCAGTTTCATGGTCTATGCAAAAAAAAAGATAACACCAGTGCCTACCTCCATCGGGAGGATCAACTTGGTTAAGTGCTTCGAGAAGTGCCTGGAATATAAGTGCTTAATAAATATTAGGTATTATTAATATATGTTCGTATCTTCTTATTTAAACCCAGACATATTTTGAAATTTAGAACTATTCTTACTTTAGAAAGGCAATGAGGTACGTACACCATATAATACAGAACAGCTCCGACAGTCTCAAGGTCTCAGACCTAAGTATTTATCCTTCTTCAGCTTGAGACGGTGCAACAGCTACTGACCTGATTCTGAGGCAACAGCCCATAACCAAACTCTTGTATATTCTGCCATGAAACGTGATCATTCAAAATGGGAAAATAGAATTTGTAGACATGTTTAAATCAGAGCAGCTCCAGTTTGGGACAAAAACTAGTTATATGCAATTTTTTTTTTCAGAGCATTTTGGATTTTAGGCTTCTGGATGAAGGTTGTTGGCTGGTGTTAGCTTTGCAATGTGATGGGGCCGTGCATCTTCCCCTGTGTGTGTTCTCCTCTTGAAATGCACTCGACCCCTCTTCATGTATAAATTCCAGTCATACATGGTCCCAGCATCACTGCTTTCTTTGACTATCTCTCATCCCCCAAGCTGGAAATAATTTCTCCTGTTGCTGCATTCTCACAATATTGCCCAGTCTGTACCCCTTTGTTCTAATCACTTGTATTGATTCTTGAGTTTAGGTATGGTGTAAAACTCCAGGCATTCCGTAAATGTTCTTTGATTCTGATGCTAAATGCCACTATCACCTAGTTTCTTTTCTTATGCCTAATGCTGATGGCTGCTGCAGTAGTCATCATCATGGTACCTACTGAGCACTTATAGTGACAAAACCACTCTACGGAGCACTTACACTCACCACCTGACGTGACCTCCGTGGCACTGTGCAGCAATGCCGTTGTTAAGCATATTTTACAGATGAGGAGACTGAAGCAAAGCAAGACTTAATATCTTGCCAATTCATAAATTCTGGGGTCTGAGGATGATAACATTGAACTAACAATCAGCCCAGAGACTTTGCAGATGATATTTATGACTCCCTCAGATGCAGAACAGCTGGGTCCCACTGCTTTTTGGAGCAAGTGTTATCTGGTAATTTTTTTTTTTAAAGTATTTTTAGTTTTCGTGGGTACATAGTAGGTGTATGTATTTATGGGGTAAAAGAGATTTTTTGATATAGGCGTGCAATGTGTTTATTACACATCGTGGAGAATGGGGTATCCAACCCCTCAAGCATTTATCCTTTGAGTTACAAACTATCCAGTTACACTCTTTAAGTTATTTTAAAATGTACAATTCATTTATCATGACTATAGTCATCCTATGGTGCTCTCAAATACTAGGTCTTATTCATTCTTTCTAACTATTTTTGGTACCCATTCACCGTCCCCACCTTACCTCCACAACAGCTCCACCACTGCCCTTCCCAGTCCCTGCTAACCATCCTTCTACTCTCTATGTTCATGATTTCTAGTGATGTTTTTGATTGAACAAGTGAATGTTCTTTTCCACTGGGACCTTTCTTTTATGGCATCTGTGTGTCAGAGGAAACCAGAGCTGGACAGAGGCTGAAGTGGTGAAGGTAGATTTGATTTGGGAACTACTGCAATAGGGGAAGAGAGACTTCAGTGTAGAATTAGGCTCTATTATGGCTACAGCATAGACAAGTGGAGATTTGTGGCCAAGGAGCAAGGTGAGGGGTCAGTGAATGAAAAATTACTAAGGAGAAATATCATGAATAAGGGGGATTCTGGCTAAATGGACTCAGCAGGATTCTTGTCGAAGGTGGGACAGGGTGATTGGTTATCAAGGATGGGGAATAAGGAATTTGATCACATATCAAGGGTGGAGGATTTTCACTAAACTGACCAAGCAGGATTCTTGCTAAAACTAGACTAAATGGGTCAAGGACAGAGCCCCAAGGGAAGCCTACTAAAAAATGGGTCCCAGAGGATGCTGGCCGAAGTTTGTTCAAGGAGAGAATCTTGTCCCTTGGGGAGGGTCATCAGGGTCTCCTTGAGCAGCCGCAGTGCGCCCAGTACCTCCTAGTGCACACCCCTTGCAGAAGGAATGTTCAGATTGAGAATTCCTCACAAATTCGCAAATTACCTGTGTCTTACCAGCTTGTGACATCTATTCCCTGACCTAAATTTTGGAGAATGACAGCTTTGGCATCAGTGAGGGCGGTGGGCTGGAGGAAAAAAAATGGAGGCTCTCAAGGGATACAGACTCAATCAATGCCCAGTTAGATGACCCATCTGCTCACTGGCCTTGAGTGGTCCTTTGGCCTGGGTCTTCATCTGCCTTCTTTTCCATAGCTTACTCCCATCAACACACTCAGAGACATCACATCACTCCAATGTAAACTGTAAATGAACAGAGACTGGATCTTAGTCATTTTTGTGCTTTCCCTCCCCAGAATTCTTATAGGGTCTGGCTAATAGGGTATACTCAGGCAATGTTGATTATTTGTTTAAATGAATAATTCATTAATTGGGTGGATGGATAGATCTTTGGATGAATGGATGGTCGGATGGATGAATGAATAAATGAATGAATGAATGGTTAAGTGTCAGACTGCTTGTTTAATGCCATACAGATCCAACTATTTTTTGCCTGAAATGTTTATTTTCAACCAGTTCTGTTGAGTCATTTCAAACACCTGAGACAGTAGCTGTTGCACCATCTCAAGCTGAAGAAGGATAAAGATCTAGGTTTGACACCTGGAGACTGCATTCCTGAGCCCAGGAGGTAAAAGAGCATCGACTTTGGAGTCCCACAGACTTGCACAGCATGTTGCATTGATCAGCTGAGCTTGAGTTCCTTCATCTGCAAAGTAAATGCAATAAGCCCCACCTCCGGGGGTTGTCATGAGGATTAAGTCAAATAACATATGTGATGCCCCTTGACCAAGGCTCAGCATGGGATAGGCACTCCAGGACGCCAGCTTTGATCACTCTTCCTATTATTATTGAAAACATAGTCTGTGGATGAACTCCTCAGTCCACACCCCACTGGGCACTCCTTGTCCTAAACAGCATGTAGACTCCCAGCTGTTTTTGTAGGAAGCAGGGATTATATCCAGGTGCACCCCACTGGGTCTTGAAATTAATCCCTCCTTCTGTAAACACTGACCTCCACCTGCTGCTAGGTCATAGGCCTCCTAGCATCATTTGGTGCTGGGTGGAACTGGAAGCTGAGAGGGGATTTAGATCAGAGGCTGAAGTCAGCAGCAGGCATTCCTACATGAGGCCCCAAGCAATGAATATGCAGCAGGCCAGCCTGCAGCCACTGCCAGTTTTTCCAGAGGGAAGCTGACCTTGGTTTGGTGTCTCTGCTCATCTTCTGCAGAATGCACAGTGCATAGAAACTGGAGTTAGGCAACCTTGGGTGTGAGTTCCTTCTACAATCGAGTTGATATTAGGCACATCACTTAACCTCTCTGAGTTTTGGTTTCCTTACCTATGAAATGGAGATAATAATACATTCCTAAATGTGTCTTGATGAGGATACAAGATAATAAAACACTAACATATTATACTAATTGCAGGAACTGTCACCTGGTACTATACACCCAAATGGCAATTTAAAGAATGTCCAACCTACTTAGCAAAGCTCAGGCATCCTATCTGTATCCCACTTTCTACTCTCTATGTTGCAGACATCAGTACTTCAGCTCTTGGGGTTAAGGTGCGCCAGCCCCAAACTATACTCCAATTCTCTAACTTCTTGCTGCTTTATAACAAAAACAATTCACTGCCATATCCTTTAGCATCTTTTTAAGTGGGAAAGAAAACCAGGGCTCCTAAGCACCAGTTTTCCCAGACACTTTTCTAGACCCTAGACCAAGAGTTGGCAAACTATAGCCTGTGAGTCACATTTAGTCTGCCACCTGACTTTGTACAGCCCACGAGCTAAGAATGATTTTTACATTTCTAAATGGTTGAAAACCACCATGGCACATATTTACCTATGTAACAAACCTGCACATCCTGCACATGTACCCTGGAACTTAAAAAAAAGAATTAAATAAAAAAGAAAAAGGAAAAAAAAAGAATAATATTTTGTAGTACATGAAAATCATATAGAATTCAGACTTCATTGTCCATAAGTGAAATATTATTAGAACACATTCATGCCCAACTGTTTATGTAGTGTCTATGGCTGCATTTGAGCCACAGTGACAGAGCTGAGTAGTTGTAGCAGAGACAGCATGAGTCATAAAGCTGGAAAGATTTATTGTCTGATCCTTTAAAGAAACAGTTTTCCAGGCTTGGTCCAAGGGCGAGCTTTCTTATGGGTCATTCAGTGTAAGTAATGGTCCTTCCCATGGGGTGCAACAGTCCTGGGCCTCAAAACAGTGACTGTTCAGTTGGCTTCCTCCAGGAAAGAAATGGAGTGATATAGGGGGGTATGCAGTCTCTGACCTTGAACACTTTTAGATCATGGCCCTGTGGCCACAGGTAGGCAACTCCATCAGGGGGATTCAAGCATCTGATTGGACAAGATCTTCTCTTAAATCCTGGTGTTATTCTTTACGAGCTCTTAACTTCTCTCAGTCTCAGTTTCTTCATTTGTAAGAAGGAAATTATAATAGTACTTACCTCAGGGGTTATTGTGAGGCTTGAATGGCTTAAGGATCACAGGCACTCAGCACAGGGCCTGGCACATAAAAAGAATTTAAATATGCATTATTAGTAGTATTGTTATTACTATCATTTTCAGTCTGTCTCCTACCTGCTGTGTGAGCAAGGGTGAGTTATCCTATCCACCAAAGCCTTAGTTTCTTCATCTTTAAAATGGTGCCAAACCCGCCTCATACAGGGCTTGGGAATTTTACATGTCTTCATGGATAGTGCATTTCTGCATGCAGTAAGCATTCGATGGATGTTCCTTAAACCTCCCCACTTCCCTGTGACCCTGAAATTCTATGAGTTTGCAGTGTCCTTGGAGCTTCCCAGTGTGGCTGTCACCTCTGGACCCCTCATTTGTTACAAGCCATGTGCCATCCTACATCTTTCCAATGCATCTGTCACGACTCTGTGTGAGTCATCTAGACCTTTTGAGGGCTAGGTTTCTGTATGGCCCTTCTTGGTTATCTAAAATTAAGGTGAAGTAACAGCCAGCTCCAGTGACTTTAATATACAAATTGCATCCTGGCACAGTTTGATGTAGCTGAGCCCTGGCTTGTCTCCCAGGATTGGAGAGAGTGAGTAAGTTATGCTTAGCTTGTGTCGAGGAGCAGGTGGGGAGGCAGGCACCAAGGTGTGATGGCTTCAGGGGCTGCCAGGGAAGATCTTTGTGAAATGCTATTTATGCTTCATCAGGAACCCAAACAACTGCTCGTAAGTCCTCAGCCTACTCCACAAAGCTTTGCTTTGCCTATTTCTTGAACAGTGACAAGCTGGCTTATTATAGCCATTATCCACTTCTTCCTTAGTACTAGAAAGCCTGACCTCACAGGGCATGTGACCATTCAGAATAAGAACTACATCTTCTAGCATCCTTTGCTACCCAGTGAGGCCATGTAAGTTCTGCCCAATAGGGTGTAAGCAAAGGTATCCTGGGAAACTCCCTAGAAATATTCTTTAAAGGGAGGGGACCCACCCCTTTTCATTGCTTTCTCTGTCCTCCTGGGTGAATGGGGATGAGATGGGTGGAGCATGAGTGGCCATCTTAGACCATGTCATAAATTGGATTCCCTCTGAAGAGCAGACTCTAGAGTTTGAGAGCAAGTGATTTATTTGCCAAGTGGTTCCGGGAAGCACTGGTAAGGTCAGGAGTGAGAAAGTGAGGCAGGAAGGGAAGGATGCCAATTCTGGGTGTGTTCATGAACAAATTATATTGGATCCATCCTGCTGGGGAACTCTGGTGAACTGTGCAGCACATACTTCAGAGTTGTCCACCTTGAAAGGTGAGGGAGCTGGGGTATTTATACACCCAGTTCTGTCTACCATTGATTGAGGGGTGCTCCTGCGGGTGCTACCTCTCTGGCACTTCCAGTTTCCTTTTCGTGGACTGAACACCCAGCTCAGCAGAGAAAGGGGAAGAGTCTCAGGTGCTTGCAAAAAGGAGCTATCTGAATGTTTAGAAATGGTGAATACTTAGGGGATATAGGAGAACTGGCAGCAATTGCTACAGACCAAGAGGTTGAGCATGCAGAGCAAAATGAAAGAAGTGCTTTGCTCCTTGCTGACTGTGAGACCATCAACCCAGGTTTGGATGGCTTATCTTTAGACTTTGTGTCAAAGAAAAAGAATTAACTTTTTAAAAGCCAGTGTTCAGTTTTCTGTCACTCAAAGCCAAACCTAATCCCAAATGCTGCATCACATAGTAATAATGATAGTAAAGGCAACTAGCTTGAATCTGCTTACCTGTTTATTATCCCTCTTCTCCTCCCTTTCTACCCCTGCCAAACATAAGCTTTACAACAGAAGAGACAGAACGGTTTCTAGCTGCTTGATCACACTGACCACTCCTTAATAGGGTGTCTGATACATAGAAATCACTCAGAAAATATTTATTGAATAAATGAATAAATAAACAACAAAAGAACAAAACATAAAAGAAAAAGAAGCCAAGATTTGAACACTGATGTCTGATTCCAGTTTCCCACCTCTTAATCACTATGTTATAGTGAAAATTTAGAAATCTTATTTTATAATTGGTTGAAAGAATCCAGTAAAATTAAGCATCCCAAATCCAAAAATCCAAAATCCAAAATGCTTCAAAATCTGAAACTTTTTGAGCACCAAGGTGACTCTCAAGGGAAGTGCTCTTTGGAGCATTTTGGAGTTCAGAATTTTGGATTTGGGATGCTTGGCTGGTAAGTATAATGGAAGTATTCCAAAATAAAAAAAAATCTGAAATATTTCTTGTCCCAATCATTTCATATAAGAGATTCTCAACCTGTCTAATGCCAGAGAGCCTGAGTCTTGGCAAAGACAGAAGCCTGGGATGAGAGAGACCAATGAATATGCTTATGAAATAATTTTTATAAAAATCAACATGAAGAGCTGAGTTAGAGGCTTGAAACAAAGGTCAGTGGCAGCTTTTCACCTAGAAGCTCTGTAAATGTCAATGCTAACTGAGAGAATGGGTGGTCCCATGCAGGGTGTTGGTGTCTAGCAGGGTGACTCTGGGAACAAGGTATTTCGGTAAACTCTGCTACATCCCTCCCTTGTCATTCAAAGCTCCTCTTGAGTTGCTGAACCTGTGACCAGAAAACCTTATAGGTACCCTGGACCTCTGGTGCAGTGGTATTTACCCTAGACTTGTTCAAAGAGAGGCTAGTTGGCAATGGGTCAGGGATGCTGTAGAGGGTTATGGCACTAGGCTAGGGGACAAGACAAGACAGCCTCTGCATAATGTCCTAAAGGTGCAATAAACCTCGTCAGTTGCTTTATAGCCTTCAGAATGAGTTTCTAATCCACAATTGGCAAGTACCTTTTTTCTTAGTGCAAGTTTTCATTCTTGACAGTTGGTCTCCTGGAAACCCATAAAAGTTAGAGTTTTAAGCAATTGCCTTTACTGCTAACACTTCCAATGAATTTCCCAGTAGGAACCTTTATGATAGTTCTGCAAATATATGAGTATGCAAATTATAGGGATCTGTGGGCATCATGCTAACCCCCATGCTCTGAGAACTTGACCACAAGTTTTTCAGTGGCATCTGTGTTCCCAGGGCACTTCAAATAATATAATATCATTCATGTATTCATTCAACAAGCATTTATAGGAGTGGTTGGTGTGTTTTAGGCACTAGATGGTAGAAAATGATACCAGTGTGAGTAAGACATGGTTCTGTAGCTTGCAGTGTTTTGGGAGAAATATACTCAATTATATTACAATGTGATGTATACTTTTTTTTTTTTTTTAAGTGGGAGTCTTGCTCTGTCTCCCAGGTTGGAGTGCAGTGGTGCGATCTCGGCTCACTGCAACCTCCACCTCCTGGGTTCAAGCAATTCTCCTGCCTCAGCCTCCCAAGTAGCTGGGATTACAAGTGCCTACCACCATGCCTGGCTAAGTGTTTTGTATTTTAGTTGAGATGGGGTTTCACTATATAGGTCAAGCTGGTCTTGAACTCCTAACCTCAAATGATCTGCTGGCCTCAGCCTCCCAAAGTGCTGGGATTACGGGTGTGAGCCACCATGCCCAGCCAATGTGTACTTTTTAAAGGTATGTAGAGAAAAGAGTGACTAAATTCACCTGAAATTTAGAGATGCATCCTCTCGTCTTATTCTTCAACAACATGAAACATTGTTTGCCATTTTTCAAATGCCTCCATGATTTCGTTCATATTGGTCCCTCGCCCTAGGCACCTTCTTTTCACTGCTGTCTTAGCAAAGTCTTATTCATACTTCAAGGCTATAGCAGCCCATGTTGGTAACCTACCCAGAAGTTGTTCTTGTTTGCTCTATGTTGATAGAATCTTATTTAGGGGACAAGACAAGGATGCCCCTTTTTACCACTTCTATTCAACCTAATACTCAAAGTCCTAGGCAGATCAGCTAGGCAAGAGAAAGAAATCTAGGGCATCCAAATTGGAAAAGAGGAAGTCAAACTACTCCTATTTCCAGTGATATGATCTTATACCTAGAAAACTCAAATACTCCTCCAAAAGATGTGTAGATTTGATAAATGAATTCAGTAAAGTCTAATGTTACAAATCATAACTTATGCTTTTATATGGCTGCATGTGGACAATAAATTCTCAGCTGGGGAAAAAGAAAGGAAAACCTGGTTTAAAAGCATGGGTTTTGGCTGGGCGTGGTGGCTCATGCCTGTAATCCCAGCACTTTGGGAGGCTGAGGCGGGCACATCATGAGGTCAGGAGATCAAGACCATCCTGGCTAACACGATGAAACCCCATCTCTACTAAAAATACAAAAAATTAGCCAGGTTTGGTGGTGGGCGCATGTAATCTCAGCTACTTGGGAGGCTCAGGCAGGAGAATGGTGTGAACCCGGGAGGTGGAGCTTGCAGTGAGCCAAGATTGAGCCACTGCACTCCAGCCTGGGCAACAGAGCGAGACTCCGTCTCAAAAAAAAAAAAAAAAAAAAGCATGGGTTTTGTGTTGAGTCTGGGTGGATCTGGAGACAAGGAGGCTACTACAATATTTCAGTGGAGAGACGATCAGAGCCCAAAGAGAGTGGTGAAGGCAGGAAGAGGCTGGAGAATGATGACTCCAGTGCTTTGCGGTCAGGGCTGGCCACAGTTGCTCACTGATGGCTTTTCCAAAGGCCCTCTGATTCCTCCTTTAGAAAAAACCTCCCCCATGTTTCAGCCACATAGCACAGCAGCAGCTTGAACCCCTTCCCCTGCCTCTTCTCTGGCAAAGGCCTGGAAAGGAAAATAGTTGCATGTGATTCAGAGCGGTGAGCACATTACTGCACAGATTTGTTTAATTAAATTTTATCTGCAGCAATGTAGCCTATGAAAGATCAGTGAACCTTCATAGCTCTCTCTCTCTCTTTTTTGAGATGGAGTTTTGCTCTTGTTGCCCAGGCTGGAGTGCAATGGCGCGATCTCCACTCACTGCAACCTCTGCCTCCTGGGTTCAAGCAATTCCCCTTCGTCAGCCTCCCGAGTAGCTGGGATTATAGGCATAGGCCACCACTCACCGCTAATTTTTTGTATTTTTAGTGGAGATGGGGTTTCACCATGTTGGCCAGGCTGGTCTTGAACTCCTGACCTCAGGTGATCTGCCCGCCTCGGCCTCCCAAAGTACTGGCATTACAGGTGTAAGCCACCGCACCCAGCCCTTCATAGCTCTCTTAATGCATGCACTTTAAATCACAAAACTTCTACCATGAATAAAGGAGACTTGTTGTTTGGCTCAGTTTGGTGTTTTCTGGGAGCCTGCTCTGAATTCTTGAGATACAGGTAGATGTGGAGACAGACAGTTGGCTGCTGGCTGGTGTGGGGATCAACAGGTGGCTGTTGGCTGGTGTGGGGATCAACAGGTGCTTGTGTTTCCTTAGACTCTTCTTGTAAGGAGGTCTCACACTACTCTCCAGCCAGGAAGGGTTGTTTCAGGTGTGTGTGCTACGGGTCAGGCAGAGTGAAGCTTGCTCAAGGTCACTGCATACTTCTTTCCACTAGGATTCTTTGCATACCTACTGTGTGCCAACCACTGTTCTAGACTCTGGGTACTCCACAGGGACTAAGCCCTGGGACTCGCATTAGGAAGAGAGAGAAATATTGCAGCAATAATAAATGTTCAGATAAATAACTGTTGTTATAAGGCAGATGCCATGGAAACTTTGGTTATCTTTGCTGCGTAAGAAATCACCCTGAAACTTAGTGTCTCAAATAATAACAGTCATATTTTTGTTGATGATTCTGCAATTAGAACAGAGTGAAGTTAGGAAGACTTTTTTCTTTTTTTCCTTGAGAAGGAGTCTTGCCCTGTCACCCAGGCTGGAGTGCAGTGGTGTGATCTCGGCTCACTGCAACCTCTGCCTCCTGAATTCAAGTGATTCTCCACCTCAGCCTCCCGAGTAGCTGGGACTACAGGCGTGCACCACCACACCCGGCTAATTTTTGTATTTTTAGTAGAGACGGGGTTTCACCATGTTGGCCAGGTTGGTCTCGAACTCCTGACCTCAGGTGATCCACCTTCCTTGGCCTCCCAGAGTGCTAGGATTACAGGCATGAGCCACTGCGCCTGGCCAGAAAGGCTTTTCTTTGTTCTATGTAGTGTCAATGGAAACAGTCCATCTGGGGCTGGAGGATCTACTTGTAAGGGTCTCATTCACAGGCTGACAAACCAGTACTGGCTTTCAGCTGGGAGCTCAGTTGTTGGAGGGTAGTTCTCTTCCACGGAGCTTCTCCTCATGGCTGGTGTTGGCTCCTCACAGCATGCTGGTTTCAGGGTCATCAGAAGTCTTACAAGGTGGCCGACTTCCCTCAAGGCACAAAAGCAGATGGTGCCAAGCCTTCAAAATGTGTGATCACTGACATCCCAGAATGTCACGTTCACCACATTGTATCGTAACCATAATAAGTTCATTGCACAATGCACACAGCAAGTCAATACACTGAGACATGGGTTGCAGTAGAGAAAGAGGTTTAATCATAAGGTCACCACATGAGGAGTTGGGAGTGAATCTCAAATTCATCTCCTCAAGGAATTTAGGGTTAGGATTTTTAAGGGTTTTGGAGTGGGCCGAAGTGTGGAGATTGTTATTTATTGAAGAGTGCCGGGTGAAGTCATGGGACAGGGTAAGGAAGAAGCTGTGTTCTCAACCTGATCCCGTTCCTCTTGAGGGGAGGAGGGCTTCAAACTGGTTGCCGAAAGTTGGGTCTGAAAAACATTTTAGACAATCCTTAAACAAAAGCCTTATGAGTCTAATGTCAGAAATCCTATCTATAGGAACAATGAGGATGCAATGTCAGTATCCAGTGCTATGTGACTTTTAGCAACAAGGAAGTGGGGCAGAGTGCAGCCTGATTAATGTTTAATCATAACTACATCTCTGTCCAGAACCCGGCATGCAATTCTTGTGAACCCCATAGGGGTGGTTTTACAAAGAAGTCACTGAGCCAGCACAGAGTCAAGGTGCAGGTAACTAAACTCTATCTCTTCATGGGGAAGTGGCCAGATCACATTGCAGAAAAGCCTGTGAAAAAGGGGCAATTTTTGTTGCCATCCTTGAAAATATAGTTGCCTACAGGAACACAGAAAGCGTACATCTCTAGGGAGGGTATCTAGACTAGGTATGATGTGGTTTGGATATTTGTCCCCTCCTAATCTCATCTTGAAATGTGATCCTCAATGTTGGGGATGGGGCCTGGTGGGAGGTGTTGGATCATGGGAGTGGCTCCCTCATTACCTTGGTAATGAGTGAGTTCTTGCTGTATTAGTTCATGCAAGATCTGGTTGTTGAGTCTGGGGTCGGGCGCAGTGGCTCACACCTGTAATCCCAGCACTTTGGGAGGCCGAGGTGTGTGGATCACCTGAGGTCAGGAGTTCCAGACCAGCCTGGCCAACATGGTGAAACTCCATCTCTACCAAAAATACAAAAAGTTAGTGGAGCATGGTGTTGGGTGCCTGTAATCCCAACTACTTGGGAAGCTGAGGCAGGAGAATCACTTGAACCCAGGAGGCAGAGGTTGCAGTAAGCCGAGATCATGCCATTGCACTCCAGCCTGGGCAACAAGAGTGAAACTCCGTCTCAAAAAAAAAGAATCTGGGACCTTCCCCATTTCTCCCTTGCTCACTCTCTGGCCATGTGACATACCTGCTCCCCCTTCTCCTTCCATCCTGAGTAAAAGCTTCCTGAGGCCTTACCGGAAGCTGAGCAGATGTGGGTACCATGCTTGTACAGTCTGCAGAACTGTGAGCCAAATAAACCTCTTTTCTTTATAAGTTACCCAGCCTCAGGTGTTTCTTTATAGCAACACAAAATGGACTAGTACAAGGTACCTTAAAGGAGAATAGAAAATATAAACACTGGGATTCAACCCAACTCCTAAAGTGGTTCTGCGTGATTCATCATCACAGTTGTTTCTCACATACTACTTTTCTCAATAAAACAAATGAGGAAGGAACCTCATTCTCTGGTGAGTCCAGAAGATGATTAGTTTGAGACCCAGTATCTGTCTCATCCTGGAAGAACTGTGCTACAAATTCTTTGGGGTTTGAAATTGGAAGGTCTAAGTTACATGTCCACTTTGGCTACAGACTTGCTCTATGATCTTGACTCAGTGGTTTTATATATCAGAGCCTGGGCTTCCAGATCTTGCAATAGAGACAATTTCAGTAATATTAGCAAAATGTAGAGTTTCTGGGGAGTTCAAAATGAGATAATAAATGTTAAAAATCAGAGTGATATTTTGTATGTTTGCCTTGCTTAGCCTGAAACCCTCTTTATGTGCTCTTGAAGGAGATATAAATAAAGGAAAATCTGTGCAAGGAAACATGGGTAGAAATTGCTAACTGGAGGTAGGAAGGTGAGAAGGCTCAATCCCCAAACTCACTGCTGAGAACCTCAGAGAATTAAGCTGGAGCATTTGAACTATTGCCTTCTCCTCATTCCCACTCCTACCTCTTCTGATAGTCCAAAGTATACTTATTTCGTTACATAGACTGGCATGTTCTGAAATAACTGGCCTCAATGCAGTCTCTGGGACAGTTTAATATATCTTCCATCTTCCATGTGTTTGGAAGAAAGGAGAGAGCAAGATCTGTTCTCTTCAGCTAATCTATTACGGTAGCCACAACCAACAGCAAAAGTGTCCCAATATGTATCCTGGGATCTGCTGAATGCATACTTACTCCTTCTGTGTGGAAGGCAGGAGAATGTTAAATGGAGGTAAGAAGAGAAGAGAAGTAGGAATGTTTCTCTTCCCCAGGCTAACCATGATATGAAAATGCTGAAAGATGTCCATTAGTACCTTATTGCATCTTTGGCATTTGCAACTCATGCCTTTTATGCATTTCCAAGTCATATTCCTTCTGTCTCCACTCATGTAGATTCACACTCATGTGATTTATTCATTCATTCCTTTCTAAAAAGTGTATTGAGCACTTACTTGGTGCCCTATCTCTTGCCAGACAATGGGCCTATGAACATGAACATAATGTGTTTTCTGCTTTCAAGGAATAATACCATGAGAATTACTAATAACTATACAGAGTGGGTTCCTTACTTGCAATAAGCAACAGTGTGTCGGAGGGTAACTCCAACTCATCCCAGTTCAAACATAGGAGTCCCAAGCATTATTTTATTCAAATATCAGAGAAACCTGGTGAGATAAATTCATTACTAAAAAGGAAAAAATTGATGCACAGGTAGATTGTGGAACTTGTTCTGGTCACACTACAAGCCAATGAAAGAGTTGGACAAAAAAAAATTAATGACCTAAAATCATAAAACTTACACTTAAAGTTTCTTACTTAGAAAGTTCATGTGATTAACCTCTATTTTATACTACTGTCTAGCTCCCAATTATGTATGCACATTTTCTCTGAAACTGTGAAGAACAAGTATGCTAGATAAGATGATACTGTTGATATTTAGATAATAAAAATCTTTAAGCTTTGAGATAATTTGCAAGCTTATTGGTTACTAATTCTCTTTTTAGCCAGGTTGTAGTATGTGGTTATAAAAAGAAGGAAATTGCAGACAAGTAGGCCTTGAACACACCCAGTAGCCTCTTTAGAAGAACTTTTGGTATGGGCAGCTCTTGTATACACCCAGGGAGAAAACAAGGTACGAAGTCATGGATCTCATTCCCAAATATCCAGGGAAAAGGAGGGTTTTTTTCTCGCTGTAGGGGTCACTTTAACTGTTGGAACTGATACATCAGGAAATCCATCTTGAAAAATCTTAAGAGAGCCACAGAAAGTATGAGCAAAGTGAAAGAAAAAAGAAAGAATATAAATTCTGGAGCTAGAGAGACCTGAGTTCAAATCCCATCTATGCCATTCACTGGTATGACCTGGGATACATTGCTTATCCACTTTTGCCTCAGTGTTCTCATCTTTAAAGTTGGCATAATGACTACATTTTAGTCAGGGTAATGAATTTGTGCCAGCTTCTGTAAAAAACAAGCCAACAATATTTGTGCCTAACCACAGTAACAATTTCTTGCTTATACTAACTGATGAGTGTCTCACATTTTTCCGGGGTGGCTCTCCTCCAAGCAGTAACTCAGGGATCCAGCCCCTTCATCATTTGGCTCCACTATTTTGGAATCTTTAGCCTTGAAGTCCAGCCTTGAAAATAGCATGAAGGTGAGGTGGATACTTAGCCCTCTCAGCCTGGAGTTACACACTTTATTCTGTTCCATTCGGAATAAGATACCTAACCAACCAAACCAAGGCAGGCTGGGAGATGTGGAGGTGTCATTTGCAAGCACCAAGAGTCTCTCATGTACTTTCTCATAAGTTTATTGTAACTAAATAAATTAATGCATGTACGATCACTTAGAACAGTGTCCAGCACCTAATAAGAATTCAACCAATCCTATTACTATGAGTGCCATTACTCCTCCTACTGCCACTACCTACTACCACCCAAGATGTAGAGGAAGGTGTATTTATATCAAAACGAAGAGAATGCCAGGGTTAAATTCTGAAGCAGGGGTAGCAGAAGAAAAAAATTAAATTAAATTAAATCCAGTCTAGAAAGCAATGGTGGACTTTTGAGCAAATGTAGAATCACTTACTTGATGTCACATTGACATCATCCCCGTATCCCAAATTGTAGGAAGAGAGATTTAACAGCCTGATTCTTGAACATCCAAACTCAACTCATGAACCCATGCTCTCCCCAATGCAAGGGTTAGCCACATCTGTCTTTTTTTTTCTTGACTAACTCTAGTTCGTCATGTTCCTGATAGCTGAATGTCAAGTCTGCAGTGATTTACTTTCTCCCCCAACTTCTACTTTTTTCATGCCCTCCTTCTTGTGTGTCTTAGACTGACTATCCAAATACTGCTCCCATTGTTAGTCTTGTCTGTATGGCTCTAGAATATTGGGAATATTCCCACTATAAGAAAGAAACTTCAGCCAGTTATTGGTACAGCTAAACCTCAAACTTGCCCTTCTGACTTCCTGTCCTGTTTTCACTCTCTTCCTGGCCTGAGTTTCCCATTCCTCGACAGAACAAATATCTTCAATGATTTTGACACAACAGCATGTACTCCCAAAGGCATTTCATCAGCATTTTACTCTCATCATCAAATAATTTAGTCTTGTAATGTTGGAGGCAAACGTTCTTCCTCTTAGCTCTACATTCTTGTCCTTTGCAGACCTGCAGGTATTTTAGCTGAATCAGGACAGCTTTGCTGAGGATTGACTAATCTTGTGGTGAGAGGGGACGAGCTGGCCAGGAGATGTGGTGTCCATTGTGGGCAGGATTTAATGAAACTGGACCATTCAATATAACAAAATCAAAGCACACATTTTTTAAAAAGTCCCTAAGGCTGGGCGAGGTGGCTCACACTGTAATCTCAGTGCTTTGGGAGGCCGAGGTGGGCAGATCACCTGAGGTCAGGAGTTCGAGACCAGCCTGGCCAACATGATGAAACCCCGTCTCTACTTTAAAAACGTACAAAAATTAGCTGGGCATGGTGGTGGATGCCTGTAATCCCAGCCACTTGGGAGGCTGAAACAGGAGAATCACTTGAACCCGGGAAGAGGAGGTGGCAGGGAGCCAAGACTGCACCATTGCACTCCAGCCTGAGTGACAAGATTGAAACTCCATCTCATAAAAAAAAAAAAAGGTCCCTAGAAATGGGAAAAATAGATACTGGGGCCTACAAGGGGAGGAGTGTGGGGGATGCAGTTTGAAAAACTACCGGTTGGGTACTGTGCTGACTGTCAGGGTGACGAGTTCAGTTGTACTCCAGACCTCAGCAACACACACTATACTCTGCACATGTACACCCAGAATCTAAGAGTTGAAATATAAATATATAGATATAAATAAGTAAATAATAAAAATATGTCCCAAACCCTCTCATCATGAAAGTGTACGTACCATTGAGTACTTACCATGTGAGATACTTGATGTGTTTCAACCTATATAATGCGCAGGGCAACCCTATAAGGTAGGTCCTATTGTTATTCTCATTTTGCAGAGGAGAAAACTGAGGCATCTTTAAATAACCTGCTCAAAGACCCCAGCTAGGAAATGATGGAGCTGGGTTTTGATCCCAGACAAGGCTGGCTCCAAAGCCTTTACGCTCAGTCCCTGTGAATCCTGCCGCTCAGTTAAGGACAATTAATCAGTACAATGATTCTTGTATATTTTTCTTCCAGTTCCGGCCCAGAAGTAAACATTTCCTCATCAGTTCAATCATAGTGTACACATCATTTTGTTTCCTGTAATTTTACTTAACATTATTTTATAAACATTATTTCATGTTGTTAATTATCTTGGTGATATAATGATTAAGTGATGTTCGAGTGTATTATATACATGTAATTTTACTGAACTGGTTACTTAGCCGTTTATTCATTTCATCCCATTTATTCTGCAAATATTTAATAAATACCTCCTATATGCCAGGCAATAGGCTGGGCACTAGGTACATAAAAATAAATTAGGCATATTCTCTTTTCTAAAGGCATTCACATGTTCACGCGAGACATTGTAACAGATAAAAAAGGGTGATGAGTTCAGTTCTGGAGATGCGCACCAAGTATTCTATGAAGAAAAGGAGCTCGGGAGGTGCGGGTGGGAGGATCCCTACCCTACAGTCTCTAAACATCTGGTTCCTTTCAGGGAAGGTGTAGGCAGAGTGAGTGGAACATTGGCCTCAGCATTCGGGATCCTTGGTAAGGCAAGTCCACTCATGAAGCCATGAGCAGAGGGGGCTCTGCTGTTCCTAGGGCCAGAACAGGACAGGAGAATCAATTGAACCTGGGAGGCGGAGGTTGCAGTAAGCCAAGATTGTGCCATTGGGTGACAAGAGTGAAATTTCTTGTCAAAAAAAAAAAAAAAAGTTCCTATAAATGGGAAAAATAGATCCTGGGGACTACAACGGGAGGAGTTTCCTCAGTCAGAACAGCTGAGGTTGTGTGAATTCTCAATGTTTGGTATTTTGTTCCCAAGAATTTATTGAGTCTGCAGCCTCATGCATTTCCTTCTGTGGGTAATGGACTCTTCTGCCTCTGATCTCCATCACTGTCTTCTGCAAAACTCGACCTTGCAAGTCCATTCCTTTTTATCATTCGTGTGTCTTCACACATCTTATGAACTGAAAAATTTCCTTCTCATGTCCCATGTCATGTTCACCTATCTGTACTGAGTTAAGACATTTTATTCTTTACCCAGAATCATAATGAACAAAATACTTACAAATATACTTGATTGCAACATTATGTCTTTTTACATATAGAACTCTTCACAAGGACCTCCTCTGTACATAATTAATTAATTAATGTTTTTGGAGACAGGGAATTGCTGTGTTTCCCAGGCTGGTCTCGAACTCCGTTGCTCAAGTGATCCTCCCACCTGGGCCTCCCAAAGTGCTGGGATTACAAGTGTGAACCATTGCACCTGGCCCCATGTTGTTTAATTTAACATTGTATCTCTACTTTGAAAAATGGTAACTAACATTTGTTGAGAGCCTTCATATACCATATCATGACACTATTCTAAATGCGTTATATGGAGTATCTCATTTAATTTTCATAGGAATCCACTAAGATGGCATGATCATTGCTTCTACTTCACAGGTGTAGCAACTGAGGCCCACAGAGATTAAGGGACATGGCCAAGGTCATATGGCTGGAAAACAATAGAGCTGGCTGTTTTAAACTCATGCAGTTCTGACTTCAGTGCCTGCACACTTGACCATTATGCTATGTCTGCCTCTACTAGGTAATGATATTACAGTTCTTCTCTATTTGAAGGTTGCTGGGGACCAGTATATACCCCAGGAATAAGCCCCTAGAAACCATACTCTGACTCCTGGTACAGCCCATTAGTGTGGCTGTGCCATGCCAAGCATCAAGCCTGCTCTCCTCCCTTGGAAGACTTTGCCTGGTATTCCCACCCACAGGCTGTGACCTGAAGCAACCTGAGGTGCTCTATTGCTTGCCACTGGATTCCTTCTTCTTCATAGGTACCATGAGCTCTTACAGATATTGGCCAGCAGCTGGGGCAGACTGACTTTTGACTAGGGAGTAAACAGGAAGATGAGCATCTGAAAGTTGCTCATCTCAAAGTTTCACTTTGAGTGGTGGTGAGAATTATATCACTGTTCTCTGTTTCTGCTCTCTGCATAGCTTGGTGGCAGGGAGATAGTCTTGCAACATACCTTTGCCCATTCCTACTTAATGTTTGATGGTCGTGGTGGGCAGTGGAGATGGGAGATATGCCTGGAATATGTTGTAGGGCCCTGTAGAAGCAGCAGCTCAGTAAAAGCTCCAGTTCTGAGATGAAGTGGCTGGGCAGACACTGGAGGCAGAAATGCCTCCACATCACTTGGATGGGTATATTTAAAATGTTCTAGAGCAGGAGGTCTCAGCACAGGGTACCCAGGCCTGCAGCATCAGCATCACCTGGAACCTGTTAGAAACACAATTTCTTGGGCCCCAGCCTGGACCTACAGATTGAGGAATTCTGAGGATGGGATCCAGCCCTCTGAGGTGTAAGAAACCCTCCAGGTGATTCTAGTGCAGACATATGTTTGAGAACCACTGATCCAATGCAAGACATGTATTCTATAATTCTTTGTTTTTTGTTTTTTTGAGACGGAATCTCGCTCGCTCTATTACCAGGCTGGAGTGCAGTGGTGCAATCTTGGCTCACTGCAACGTCCACCTCCTGGGTGCAAGTGGTTCTCCTGCCTCAGTCTCCCCAGTAGCTGGGACTACAGGTTCGAGCCACCACACCCACCTAATTTTTGCATTGTTTTAGTAGAGATGGAGTTTCAACATGTTGGCCAGGATGGTCTCATTCTCTTGACCTCGTGATCCGCCCACCTCAGTCTCCCCAAGTGTTGGAATTACAGGCGTGAGCCACCGCGCCTGGCCTAATTCTTATTTTAAATTCAGAAATCCAAAATATTTTGCTTTTTATTTTATAAATCATGCAATGTTCTAGAAAAATTAGGATCTGCGAAAAGAATTTTTTACAAAATTGTCCGCCAGTCTTATTTCTTAGAGGAAGGTATTCACAATTAGGTTTTTGGTATGTTTCTCTCTAGACCATTTCCTATTCAAATCATAATAAGGTTATCACTAGTTTGCCTTAATTTCAATGAGTTGATCTGAGAATCACCTCCTGGACTCAAGTGAGAAGAGAAGGAAGAGGGCAACGGTGAGGTACCTGCCTGGTGGTGGAGCTGGAACCTCTGGGAGAGGAGGGTGGAGTTTGTGACTCTGAGAGTTCCTGTGCCAGCTGTGGGCTTGTGGGTGGGAGAGGAATTGGATAGAGCCCTGGAGTCAGGAGGTGCTTGCAAAGCTGCCTTAAAGGCAGTGACCTCAGAAGCTCTAATCTGCCTGTGACTATGTTACCCTCTCTATCATTCTCATTAGATGGGATAAGACTAATGTCAGCTCAGAAATCATCCCAATGATCAAAATATGTGAAGGGTTGTCATGGGGGAGAGGGATTATTCTCTCAGTGATCACAGGAGAAGTGGGAGGCTCTTTCAGGGGAGGGAAGGGAGAGGGAAGGATGCTGGCTGGGGCAGATTTTAACTCAGGGCCAGAAAGAGTCCTTGCAATCAGAATGAACTGATGATGGAAGGACTGCGGGCGGAAGCGGATGGAGCCCCTGGCCTGAGACTTGTTCTTCCTGAGGATGAGTTGCAGATGGACATCATGCCAGCAAATGTGGCTGCAGGTGTGCTCTGTATGGCCAACACAGTGCGACATTTAAATCTGGAAATTTCACCTAAAATCCGGATGTCTGGTGTCTCTGGACGATCAGGACCTCTGGAAACCCAACTGTCATCTTTCCATGAGGCAATGCACCATGAGGGTTGAGCCGTGGTCGCCCCTTAGATGAGGCACGTGCACTCCAATTTGCTGCCCCCATCATTTGCTCTTATTTCTGTGATGCTGACACTGAGTGACAGGTGCCAATGATCATTTCCTGTGTGTTTCTATTTTCCTGCATTCAGCCTCCTTCATGTATCCGTATCAATAAGTAGCACAATGTAGTATTTAAGAGAATGGGTTCTAGATCCAGTTTGTCTGGGTTCACAGGCTGTCTCTGTCCCTTACAGGCTGTGTGACATTGGACTAATTAGTTAATCTCTCGCACATTGTATTTCTTCAACTTTAAAATTCATAAAATAAGCTTGCCAGGAGGAGGAGTTGATGTCTTAATACAGGTAAGGTGCACAGAACAGTGGTAGTCAGTTACCATCAACAAAATTTTTGTTTGTTTGTTTTGTTTTGTTTTTTCCCCAAGATGGAGTCTTGCTCTGTTGCCCAGGCTGGAGTGCAGTGGCATAATCTCAGCTCACTGCAACCTCTGCCTCCCGGGTTCAAGCAATTCTCCTGCGTCAACCTCCCGAGTAGCTGGGATTACAGGTGCATGCCAAGACATCAGGCTAATTTTTGTAATTTTAGCAGAGACGGGGGTTTCACCATGTTGGCCAAGCTGGTCTCAAACTCCTAACCTCTGGATCCACTGTCTCGGCCTCCCAAAGTGCTGGGATTACAGGCGTGAGCCACCATGCCCAACCCAACAAAGGTTTCAATTGTCACTACTAGTGATAGCTATTACTACTGCTATCCACTATGTATAATAGATTACATTATATCCCTTCTGTGTGAATGTTTGAGTTACTGACTACTGATTTAGTGTCCTTTAGTGTTTCTCTTTTGCTCTCATACTGTGGGCCCAGTGTTTTTGGAGCAAAACATGGGGCAGTTCCCTGGCTGGAATAGACATTTTATTCCTTGAGACAGACAGTTTTCTCAGATCCTGGCCACGTTGAGGATTTCAGCTTAACTGATTCAAGAATAGTGCTATCCAGCGCTGCTGGTGGCGGTCCTAGCAATCCGCTTGTACAGAGCTCGTGGGGGTGGAGGCACAGTCTGAAGTGTGCGTATAAAAGTTCATTGCGAAACAGTCAGTGAACATCACGGCATTGTGGTTAACTGGGCTGTAGACCTTTACTCAATTCCAGCTGCTCTTTGTCTGAGATATGGCCTGGGACAACTCTCTTAGCATCTCTGAGAGTCAGTTTTTTCATGAGTAAAATGAAGGCACTGGTACCTTACGGGCTCATGTCAGTGTTGAATAAGGTGCATGCATGTAGGAGGCTGGCATACTGCAGATGTGGCAGTTTTGTGCCCCTTTTCCTGTTTCCTAAGGGAAAATGAAGGGCCGCCCATGGCATGAACTTGGACTTGAGTTTGTCCTCTTCTGATAAGGAGCAGATGGTCCCCATTTCAGATCATCCAGGAGCCTGGGAAGATGAGCTGGTTATTCAGTGTGAGCTCTGTTATGGTCATGTGCCCTGAGTTCAGACAGCAGTCTGGGGCTTTCCCAGGTACAAAGCTTTGTCTCCAATCCTGGCCCCAAACACGAATGCTGCTCCTAGTGCCTAGAGCAGTGGCTGGCACAGTCAGTAATTGTGGACTAAATGAATGCATGGGGAAATAAATGGATAGTACTGTTAGTGTCAGCAGTAGACAGGACAAAACACCCTAATTCTAAATGTGAGCACAACTCCCTTCTCCAATCATTTATACAGCAGGTGCGAATGCAAGGACAGGCCAAGAAACGGCCTTTGGAGTCTAAAGCGATGAATTCTGCAGTTTGCACTCTGTGTGAATTGCATGGGCTGCATTACCTGTCCAAGCCTGACTTTGTTTTGCAAGATGGAAATGGGACAACCAAACTGTTGTGGGGATTAAACGTGATTTTAGGACAAGACCTTGAACATAATAAGTGCTCAATAAATATTGGTTTCCTTTGCCCCTCCATTATTTTAAAGTGAAAGGAGAGTTGTGGCCTATGAATAATCATTTTTATACATGAATTAGTAAAGAACTCATGGTTAAATATATCCCTGTGATAATCCTCATAAACTTATTTCATTCAATCATTCACTCATTCATCCATTATTTTTTCTCTCTCTCTTTTTTTTTCAGGGTCTAGCTCTGTTGCCCAGGCTGGTATGCAGTGATGTGATTATAACTCACTGTAGCCTCAACCCCCTGGACTCAGGCAATCCCCTTGTCTTAACCTCCTAGTTGCTAGGGCTATGGGAACATGCCACCATGCCTGGCTAAGTTTTTAATTTAAAAATATTTTTGGTAGAGATGGACACTTGCTTGTTGTCTAGGTTGGTCTCGAACTCCTGGCCTCAAGTGATCCTCCTGCCTTCACCCATTTTTTTCTTTCATTTATTCATTCATTCATTCCTTTCACAGGGGCACCCTTTACATGACACCTTTTGTACAAGCATCCTTTCTTTCTTTTTTTGAGATGGAGTCTCACTCTGTCGCTCAGGCTGGAGTGCAATGGCGTGATCTCGGCTCACTGCAACCTCTGCCTCCTGGGTTCCAGTGATTCTCCTGTCTCAGCCTCCTGAGTAGCTGGGATTACAGGTGTGTGTCACCATGCCTGTCTATTTTTTGTATTTTTAGTAGAGACGGGGTTTCACCATGTTGGCCAGGCTGGTCTTGAACTCCTGACCTCAAGTGATTTGCCCACCTCGGTCTCCCAGAGTGCTGGGATTACAGGTGTGAGCCATTGCGTTCAGCCACAAGCATCCTTTCTATGACAAACAATCCCTCTTTGAGGTGCTGGAGATATGAAAATAAATAATACCAACATTTGTTACTTGAGGACTTTACATTCTTTTGAGCCATAAAGAAAACAGTCACCTGCAACATAACTTGATAAGGTGATGTATCTGATGGAAGCCTGCTTCAACCTTGCAGCTGGCACATAATTGCATCATTTCTCAACTCATGCAATCTGTTTTTCACTCACTGTTTATCCTCCTCCCACCCAAACATCGACTTCAGCAAGACAACAGACATTCTTGCAGAGGCTACTTTTTAGTAAAATGCTCTGTCTGGGGCTGATGGTTCAACTGGTGAGATTAATAGTGAGCTCACCATGTTTCTTGGCTCCCTCAGGGCTCAGCAATAGACCCCTTCAGTGAGGGAAGAGAGAAAACTATTCATTCATCAACCTTTCCATCCATCCTTTGTTATTATTGTAGCATTAATAGTCAAGAGTACAGATTCTGGGCAGGGCGTGGTGGCTCATGCCTGTAATCCCAGAACTTTGGGAGGTCGAGGCAGGCTAATCACGAGGTCAGGAGTTCGAGACCAGCCTGGCCAACATGGTGAAACCCCGTCTCTACTAAAAATACAAAAAATTAGCTGAGTATAGTGGCAGGCCAGTGGGCCTGTAATCCCAGCTACTTGGGAGGCTGAGGTGTGAGAATCGCTTGAACCTGGGAGGCAGAGGTTGCAGTGAGCCAAGATCGTGCCACTGGACTCCAGCCTGGGCTACAGAGTGAGACTCCATCTCAAAAAAGAAAGAAAGAAAAAAAAGAGTCGAGATTCTGGACCTGGACTGCTGGGGTTCAAATCCTGGCTCTGCCACTTACTAGCTAGCTACAGGACTTTTCATGAAATTCCTGAGCTGGGCCTTGGTTCCTAGTCTACAAAATGAGGTGGTAAGAGTGGTTGTATTAGCTATTGTTGCTCTATAACAGGTGGCTTTATTAGTTAACTATTGTTTTGTAACAGGTGGTTGTAGTAGCTATTATTGCTGTTTAACGGGTGGCTGTATTAGCTAGCTATTGCTCTGTAACAGGCGGTTGTATGGGCTAGCTATTGCCGCATAACAGGTGGTTGTATTACACAGCTACTGCTGTGTAACAAATTACCCCAAAACTTGGTGGGTTGAAAGAACAACATTTATTATCACACAGTTTCTGTGGGTCAGGAAGCCAGGCACTACTTGTAGGCCTCCCTTAAGGCTGCATTCAAGGTGCTAACCAGTGCAGTTATTTTAGAGCTTGAAGCAGAGCAGCTTCCAAGCTCACTCAAGAGGGTGTTGTCAAGATTCCCTTCCTTGTGGGTTGTTGGACTAAGGGTCTCAGTTACTCCCAAGCTGTTGGCTGGAGACTTTACCTGGTGTCTTTCCACATGAATATCTGCATAGGGCAGCTCCCAACATGTCAGCTTGATTCATCAGAGCAAGTGAGAGGACTTGAGAGAGCGCCAGAAAGACAGAAGGCCCAGGCTTTTGTTACCTAATCTTGGGGATGACATCCCATCATTTTTGCATATTCTATTTATTAGAAGGAAGTCTTTAGGTCCAGCCCACACTCAAGAAGAGGGGATTATGCAGGGTGTGAATGCGAAGAGGGAGGGGGATCCTTAGGAGCCATCAGTGCTGCCAGCCACAGTGGCTGTGAGGATCAAATGAGTTCTGTATGGAATGCATTTAGAAGAGTGTCAGGAACATAGTTTGCACTCAATAACTCTATTAGCTATTATTATTACTACTACTCTGATTATTATTTATGCCATTTTTCCCAGCAAATATTTATTGAGTTTCCTACTGGATCAAATACACCCTTCTCATTGCTGTTGGGGATTATTAGAGGAATGACTGGGAACAGGTGAATTATAAATGGGTTCTTCCTCAAAGAGCTCCCTATGCACTGGGGGATGGATGTTTGTTTAAAAAATAGAGACCACAGAGTTGGAAATGATTGTTGTGCTGTCGGGGGAAGGCAGAGATGCAGAGCTCTAAGGTCCTGGATGTGCACAGGGATTAGCAATTGTTCAACTGGGCTGGAAAGCAGGACACTTGAAGGTTGGAAAATTAGGTTAGTGCCAGATTGTGACAGGAGTTTGGAGTTCATCTCCTATGAAGTGGGAAGCCAGGAAGGATTTTTATGATGAGAAATGCCGTAGGCATAGATGTATGACATAGAAGAAAGGGGACAAGATGGGAGGCTCTAAAGCCACATATTAAAGCTCAGAAAAGAAGACATCTTTCCTGCTCATAACAATGTGGCAGAAGAAAATCCAGTGTGAGAAACCCAACCGTTTCTCCTTCAAGACCCTTCTCCAAGATGTGCCCATGAAGAGTTCACTATTCTTTCCTTCCCAGTCTGTTTCTTTGCCACTGGAAAATAATCACAAGAACTCGGAGCTAATGTTAATAAGCCCTATCCTAGCACTTAGTTCTGTGACCTTGGGCGTGTGGTTTAACCTTTTGCATCTCAATTTCCTCATCTGAAAACGAAATGATTTTTTCCGACCTTGAATACTTTGACAATTACACACATGTGCCCACACCCCCACACAAATGCTGCTATTAATTCGGGACTTTTAAAGAACTTAACAGTTTTATGAGCTTTTCTTACCCCTATTGTATAGGTGAGGAAACTGAGACTCAGGTTATTTGACTTGCTAATAATTGGCAGAGTGCAACCCCAAGCTATTTGACTTTATAGTCCGTGTGCCTAAACACTCTGCTATAGTGTCCAATGTCTAAATACTTAATAAATGGCCCCTCTCCCTCTGCAAACAAGCTATCAGAGTAAAATAAATGTCTGTACGTCTGCATGAGAATTATACATACAAGACACATGCTCGTAAGCAGGGGCAGGTCACACTTAGCCCAGCTTCCTGCCCAACTCTTACCAGAGACAAGGCTCTTACATACGCTTCTTACACGATTGAAAGAATTTCAGATTTATACATTATCCCTAGTTCTTCATAATCTGCCAGCCTCTCTTTCTGAGAACTCACCTTTACATTTCTCTTAGCTGTATTTATCTAATATGCTTTTATCAGCTATCAAGCCATTTGTAACTCTTTTATCCAACACTAGATTTTGCAAATCATCAGAAAGCCCTCCATAGTCTCCAGGATCATTTGTCTCTGAAGCTATTTTTAACGTCCCCTCTGTGACATCTTAGATAGTATTATGGGACATGGAGGTGCTAAGCCGCTTAGCCATTTTTCAACACCATATCCTGGGAAGACCTCTGTTTTGAAAATTGTGTTGAAATTGAGGCTTAAAAACTAAATGATGCAAATTCCCCCAAAGAGGTCCTTTAATCTGGATTTGAGGATGGTAAACATGTCCTGGTTGAGAAGCCAGCAAAGGAAGACACTAGATCCTTAAAGCTCATGACAACAAAGAAACTCTCCCCTTTAGAGGGTGCTTGAGTGCCTTTGAACACAATATTCCAGAAGCATAGCATGGAATGTATCCTCCAAGGGTAGGAAATAACAGGAGTTATCTGTGAGACCAAGCATGATAAGCAATTTTAATTTTCTTTGTATATTTTTCTTTATTTTCTGAATTTTCTATAATGAAAGTATCATTTTTATAAGAACGCATATTTAGAAAAACATGTCATTTTAAGAAATGACACACTTCTGGTTCTTAAATAACTCATAATAGGAGAGCATTGACATATTCCAAATTACAGAATGACATGAAAGTGCCATAATATTTGGACTTAGTGTATGCAAGCCAGACACTTATTTTCTTTTGCTCTTCCAAAACTTTCTCTAATGCTGACTTCCCCATCTCAGTAAATAGCTAATCCAGTCATCCAGTTGCTCTGGTTAAATTCCTTAAAATCATCTTCCACTTCTGCTCTTACCATTTACATCCAGTGATACATCAGCAATCCTGATATTTTGAAAAATATCACCCTGGAATACTACAAAGCTGTAAAAAAGAATGAAATCTTATCCTATGCAGTGATATGGATGCAGCTGGAGGCCACGATCCCATGCAAATTCATGCAGAAACAGAAGATCAAATACAGCATGTTCTTACTTACAAGCAGGAGCTAAACATTGGGTATACATGGACACAAAGAAGGGAACAATGGACACTGGAGCCTATTAGAGGGGGAAGGGAGGGAGGGAGGGGGTTAAGGATGGAAAAATTACTTATTGGGTACCATACTGACTACCTGGGTAGCAGGATCACTCATACCCCAGACCTCAGTGTCACACAATATACCCATATATTCGGCATATTGGTAAGTTTGGGAAGAGCAAAAGAAAATAAGTGTCTGGCATGGCTACATTAAGTCCAAACATTATGGCACTTTCATGTCATTCTGTAATTTGAAAAACCTGCACATTTATGCCACAAATCTAAAGGAAAGGTTGAAATTAAAAAAAGAAAAGAAAAATATCCAGATGACGTCTTTCCATCATAACCTCACTGGTCTGAGCCAGCATCATTTCTTGCCTAGAATATTGCAGTTGCCTCTTCATTGGTCATCTTGCCCCTCCTCCAATTCACTCTTCTCATGGGAAGAGAAATCCTCTTAAAATGTTAAGTCCAAGCATGCCACTTCTCTGTCAAATCTCTTCAAGAGCTTCTCATCTCCCTCAGAATAAAATTCACACATTAAGTATTCTTCAAAAGTGTGATTCTTGCAAATGGCTACAGTGGCTAAATTGCATGATACGCCATAATTTATTTAATTATTTACCAATTGTTGGACCCCCCTGTTCCCATTTATTAATAGTACGCTGGGATGCACAGAAACATGGGTCCCTCTCTGCATCTCAGATGATTTATCTAAGATGGATCCTTAGAGGTACAATTAATGTTATTTTAGGAAGGAAATAAGTTGAATAATGTTGCCAGCTTAATTTCTTCAAAGTTTGTCCCGGTTCACAGTTCCACCAAATATTTCTGAGAGTATATGTAAAACTGTACCCTCAACAGCAATGAATTTTAAACATTTGTCCAGTATTAATTAGGTTAAAAACGTGATCCCGTATATGACTTTTTAATTTGAATTTCTTTTATTACAAGTGTCTCATATTCCTTGCTTTAAAATTCTCATTGGTCATTCATGGATTGTTGGTTGTTATCTGCTCATATTTCTCCAGGGATGTCAGTTTATTTCTTTTCTTTTTTTGAGACAGGGTCTCACTCTGTCACCCAGACTGGAGTGTAATGGTGCCATCATGGCTCACTGCAGCCTCAAATTCCAGGGCTCAGGCAACCTTTTCACCTCTGCTTCCCTAGTAGCTGGGACTACAGATGCGTACCACCATGCCCATCTCAGTTTATTTCTTGACTGTCCCCATCATGGAATCTTCAGAAGATCTTTGATGCTTCCTGCAAACACGTTTGTGGAAGGCGTGGTTGGTGTATGGCGGTGGGGGTTTTATTTAGGCATGCAATGTCTGGAATAGAGTGACAGCTTCTATCCACAGCTCTGCTGCATACCAGCTGGGTAAACTAGGCCACAGAGGGCACTGTCTAAAGTTTTGCTTCCATACCAGTAAAATGAGTCTGGGAACAGTACCTACTTATCTTCTGGAGTCAGAATTGGCAAAATCTTTTTGTAAATGACCAGAGATAATACATATTATTGGCTTTGACGGCTACACAGCTACCATTCCAACAACTCAACTCTGCTCCGGCAGTGCAAGAGGAGTGGTAGACGGCATGTAAATGAGGGGGTGTAGCTGTGTTTCAAGAAACTATTCTCTGAAATGTAAATTGCATGTAATTTTCACGTCGCAAAATATTTGTGTTTTACAAAATGTTTAAACTATTTAATAATGTAAAAACCACCCTGAGTCCACAGGTAGGATTTGGCCCATGGGCTACAGTTTGTGGACCCCTCACCCAATGTCTTTCTTGGGTTGAAATGAGAAGATATTTGTAAGTAAGTTGACTGTTATGTGGCACAGACTAAGTGCTTAGCATATGTCATTATTGTTCTTATTATATTATTATAATTTTTAAATATATTACCAGAGTTGTCATTTTTAAAATGAGGACTAATTCTCGCTTTGCATGCTCGCTGGAGCATGACTTGAATGATGTAATTTGTGTGGACATCCTCGGTCCATCACAGGCATTTAATGCTTTTGCTTCCCTTGCCTTGTGTAAATGGGGATAATAGGCCTCATATCTCATTCTTCCCACCTTCATTCTCTGCTCCAGTTGCACTGAAACCCTTTTAGTTCTCTGAGCACATCATGCCCTCTTTTCCCTCTAAATTCTCATCACACCTATGTCTTAATTCTTTAAACATGTCCCGATCTGTTTCCTATCAATGCTGAAACAGTGAATAATACAGACCCCTAGGACCTCAAAGGTCTGTACACATCTATCATTGTAATATCCAATCCAAAGTTTCTTTTTAAGTGGTTTCCCCCATAGAATCACATCCAAGTTTTCTGAACTTGCCCTTGAATGATTTTGAAAACCCTGTTCCCAAACATAACACTATTAACACTACAGCAAGTTGGTGGTTTCTTTGGAATTCAAATCCCCAGTCCCAAGATACTTGGCCTATAAAAGGAAAGTGGAAGGACATTGTTTATTCTTTAATTAAAGCCGTAGCAACCACAGCTGTTGACAGCCTGATTTAAGCTCCTGTGTGGGGACGAAGTGGAACACCAAGCACTTCTGAGTGGGTGCCCTGCTGTGTCCAGTACTGTCAGGTACAGATTGCCGCCCCCTGCCTAGAGCCCTCAGCTGGAGATCTTTCTTGGAGATGGGCAAGTTGTAATGGAAAAAAAGAAATCAAGGCTTTTGGAGAGAGGCTGACCCAAGTGTGCCATCGGCCCTAACCTCAAGCAAGTATCATCACATTTTTGAATCTCTATTTCTTCATCTGCAAAATGGAGATAAAAATGTCTACCATGCAGGAACGTGGTAGAGGAGAACAATGCTACCTTCAACGTTTTTGACACAAAATGGGTACTAAGCCTGGTAGCTACTAACTGTACTGTTTCAGCCAAAGATGTTTTTGCATTAAAGATGGGAGTGTGGGTTGCCATATAATATGCAGTGACCTAGGACAGTGACACATGGTTCTCCCAGTCTCAGAAATCCCAGCCATTAGAAGAAAGAATGGTGTCATTTTCTAGAGCAAGGGCCAGCAAACTTACTTTCTGTAAAGGATCCAAGAGTAAACATTTTAGTCTTGGCAGGCCCTACAGTCTCTGTTGTAACTACTCAGCTCTGTCCTTGAAGTGGAAAATAGCCATAGACAACACCAAATGTGCATGTCTGTGTTACAATAAAACTGTATGACAAAGACAGATGGTGACTGGATTTGGCCAGGGGCCATAGCTCACCAACCTCTGGTCTAGACCATGTGGCATGTGGAATAGTAACCAAAGTCCAGAACCCAGTGTGAATAGAACACTGTCTACATCTCTTGTGCTTTGTTGGCCAAGTAGGTGATCTGGAGCAAGTCAAACCTCAATTTTCTCATCTGAAAATCAGCATAAAAGTTACTGTCTTCTTTATGAACACTCAGCCAAAATTCAGATTGACACAGCCACCAAGTCACAGCATTCTTTTTATGGCTTGCATGGCTGACTTCCTATCGATCAGAAACAGAAAATGCAGAGAAAGGCAGAAAAACCATAGCAAGGCTCAGGCAAAGTGAGGAGGAAGCCCTGAATGAGAGAAGCTATTACCTGAAGACATAACTAGCCACGGGGACAGTGATGACGTGGGAGCTACAACTTGACCAAATGCCATCTTTGACTTGTTCTTTCTCTTTTTGTTTTTTTTTTTTTTTGAGACGAGTTTCTCTCTGCAACCTCCACCTCCCGGGTTCAAGCGATTCTCCTGCTTCAGCTTCCCAAGTAGCTGGGATTACAGGCATGCACCATCATGCCCGGCTAATTTTGTATTTTCAGTAGAGATGGGGTTTCTCCATTTTGGTCAGGCTGGTCTCGAACTCCGGACCTCAGGTGATCCGCCTGCCTCGGCCTCCCAAGTGCTGTGATTACAGACATGAGCCACTGCGTCTGGCCGACTTGTTCTCTCTCTTAAGCTCTTGATCTTGCTTCTAGCTTTGCACTGGATGTCTCTTCTTGGATATTCTATAACAGGGGTCTCCAACCCTCAGGCCATGGACCCAACCCAGTACCATTCCATGGCCTGTTAGGAGCCGGGCCACACCACAGGAGGTGAGTGGCTGGTGAGCAAGTGATGCTTCATTTGTATTTACAGCCACCCCCTATTGTTCACATTACCACCTGAGCTCTGCCTCCTGTCAGATCAGCAGAGGCATTAGATTCTCATAGAAGCATGAACACTATTGTGAACTTTGCATGCAAGGGATCTAGGTTACAGGCTCCTTATGAGAATCAGATGCCCCATGATCTGTCACTGTCTCCTATCATCCCCAGATGGGACCGTCTAGTTGCAGGAAAGCAAACTCAGGGCTCCCACTGATTCTACATTACAGTGAGTTGTATAATTATTTCATTATATATTACAACGTAAAATAGAAATAAAGTGTACAATCAGTGTAATGCGCTTGAATCATCCCGAAACCATTCCTCAACATCAAAAAAATTGTCTTCTACAAAACAAGTCTCTAGTGCCAAAAAGTTTGGGAACTGCTGTCCTGTTAGACTCTTAAACTGACCTGGGCACTTCTCCTCTCCTTGCCTAGAAGTGGCTGCTTCTCTTCCTCAGTGAATGGTAATGCCACCTACCCTGCTATGCGAATCATAAACCTAATGTCACCCTTGACCCTTCACCCTTTGTCCATGCCTCTCTCTCAACTCTGCTACCTCCATTCCATTTTCATTGCAACCACTTCGGATCCTATCACCTCTCCCTCAGATCATCTCACTACCTCCGTCCTGGTCTTCCTGCCTCTGGTCATGTCCTCCTCCAATCTGTTCTTCACATGGCAAGTGTGGCCATGTTTCTAAAATTTGTGACCTGGAGCTCCTAACTTAAGACTCTTCAATGGCTCTAGGTTGTCTCTAGGATGAAGTCTGAACCTCCTAGGAGTGACTTTCCAGGCCCTGTGTGCAGCTTCATCTGGGTCATTCCTAACATGTACTGTGAATAATAGTTTCCTAATCACAACGTGCTCTCAGCCCTCTTCCTGGGACACACCTGTTCCCTATCATTCCCTGCTTCTCCTGGATAATGTCTCCTTATCCTTCAGAACTCACTGTGGATGTCATTTCAGCTGGGAAACTTTCTCTCACACTCTTTTTCCCTCTAAGGCAGGGTCAAGTTTTCCTCTTTTTGATCTCTTGACACCCTGTACTCCCTGACCACAGCGTTTATCACCATGTATCGAGTTCCACAAAGCCAGCTACGGCTGTATTCTCCATATGCTTGGCATGGTCACCATCTCCTGTGGTTCCTGGAAACCGAAATTTAGTAGAATGGACAGAACCAGCCAGGAAGGTTATGACAAAGGCTTCTTGTTCTCTGCCATCCCATGGTATCTCTCTACTTTTGCACTTGCCCATGTAGCAAAACTCCTACTGCCTTAAAATGCACCCAGATTTGTTTTAATCAGGTATGATAAAACACAGACAAGGAAATGACTGTCATGAAGGCAGATGCTTACACTCACAGATCCCTAGACACAGGAAGCACACCACGCCACTCAGGGCCATATGGGGAAGAACTAGGGTCAGGCAGGAGGTGGACAGAGCAAGAGGAAAACATGAGTGAGTGCCTTTATTGTGGTTTTCATGGGAAAGAATGGGCGAGGCAGTGCAGGCAGCTCAGCAAGTTTAGGATTGGCTAACTTAAATACTTTCAGCAGGCTCTGGGTCATAAGGGTTATTCCTAGTTATCTGGTATCTGGCTCTAGGATGATTAGGATAGAGGAATAGTGGCTTGGCATGTGAGGGTTCCATAAAGAAGGTAGTTTAGAGGCTGGGCACGGTGCCTCAGGCCTGTAATCCTAGCATTTTGGGAGGCTGAGACAGGCAGATCACTTGAGGTCAGGAGTTTGAGACCAGCCTGGCCAACATGGTGAAACCCCATCTCTACAAAAATACAAAAATTAGCCAGGCGTGGTGACGCTTGCCTGTAATCTCACAGGAAATCGCTTGAACCCAGGAGGCGGAGGTTGCAGTGAGCTGAGATCGTGCCATTGCACTCCAGCCTGGGGGACAAGAGCAAAACTCCGTCTAAAAAAAAAAAAGAAGGTAGGTAGTTCAGGGATTTGGGTTTGGAATTGGTTGGTTTCCATATGAAAGGTGCGAGTTATTTGCTCTCTTTAGGAACTAGCTTACTCTTGGAGAGTCAAGGCCCCAAGATGACAAAGCATCAAAATAGAAAGACACGCTTAATACACCTGCCCTCATTTCACACCTGAGCTCAGATCTCTTCCTCGGGCTAGATTATTAATCACACCTGGAACAGTATACCTTTCCATCATACTGCTGATGTAATGGTGGAGTTCTTTTTTTTTTTTTTTTTAGACGGAATCTAGCTCTGTCGCCCAGGCAATGGTGGAGTACTTAGATAAACATTTGTATCCCACAAACCTTTGGACTATATAAGCCCAAGTGGACAGAGACATGAGTATTTCTCTTCATTGTATTCCCAGCCTAGCACATGATAGTCACTCAATAAAGACTTGTTAAATGAACTGCTTGATCTTGGAGACTCAATCTCTTATTGGTAGAATGGGAATAACAAGAATACCTACATTTCAGATCACAAATGGAACACACTCTGCATGGCTGTAACATGGAGTTGGTGCTCAACAAATGGCCTCGGCCTCATGAAACCTCCTTAACAGCTGCAGTCACTTTCCATGGGGAATCTAGGAGATTGTGCATGCGTGTGCAGCAGCATGTGTGTGTATATTCACATACTGAGACACACAGACACACACACAGACACACACATATGCACAGGGTTTCTGTCCACGTGCCCAGTGGCCCTCATTTACACCAACAGGTTCCACCTTTAGGAAAGCTTCTCCAGGAGAATAGAGAGCATCCAGCTTGGCCTGGGATGCACCCCCGGCTGCTGAAGGACGGCGAGAGAGACGAACTGCTGGTTCCATCTTCATTGTGTTCTCTGCCCTTCACTCACCCAGCTGGGTTTTGAATTCTTTGACGTTCTAATAGTTACTCTTTGACAAATAGCCACGCCCATGCCTTCCAAAAGACCCAGGAAGAAAGTTGGACCATGTTTGTTAAAATGCCTTGAGTCAGTGCACCATCTGGCAACCTGTGTAGGATCATCCCGACTCTTTTGCCTCAGTCTCTCTTCCTTTGTCACAAGCAGGTGTCTGGATTTACTTTTTGGGGCCAAATGCCTCCCCAGCCACAGCTCTCTTAATAAAATAGAACAGACCATGGTGCTTCCCTGTTTAAAAGCTTCAATGTTGTCAGGCACGGTGGCTTAGGCTGTAATGCCAACACTTTGGAAGGTCGAGACAAGGAGATCACTTGAGGCCTGGAGTTTGAGACCAGCCTCGTCAACATAGTGAGACCACATCTCTACGAAATTTTTTTTTAAACCGGTAGGGTATGGTGGTGTGTGCCTGTAGTCCTAGCTACTTGGGAAGCCGAGGCAGGAGGATCACTTGAGGCCAGGATTTCAAGGCTGCCGTGAGCCAAGATCACACCACTGCACTCCAGCCAGGGCCACAGAGCAAGATCCTGTTTCAAACAACAGAAAGAAAAAAATCTCTTCAACTCTTCTTTAAAAACCTGTGTCTCCAGGCTAAAGTCCTAGTCCGCAGTCTGAAACAACCTCTTACTTATTTAGCAAATATTTATTGAACATTAGCTGGGTGGCAGGCACTGTTCTGGGCACTGAAGGTATAAGAGTGAAGAAAACAGGTAGCATCCCTACCCTCATGGAGCTTACATTCCTGTGGAGGGAGATATGTGATGTCCAATAAATAAGTAAATATTTACTGTGTGTATGGTGGTAAGTGCTAGGAGGAGAATGAGTGGAATGAAGGGAGAGTGATGGGGTAGGGAATGAGGTCGCTTTCAGATCCTTCCACTAGAGAAGCCCAGCCTTTTTCTTCTGGCTCACTTTCCACCCCAACCCACTTCTATTCCAGATCTAGCAACTTTTTCACTCTTGCCTAAGTGTGTCCAGGTTCCAGATTGAGGTAGAAGAGCCCCCCTTGCTGAATATGACCTTAGGCTTAATCTCAGCTATAAAATGAAAATAATAACACCTACATCTCAGGATTTTTGTGTGGACATCAAATGGGATGACGTGCATATGACCCTTAGGGCAAGGCTTGCCCTGTGGTTTGCACACAGTATTCATGTTCCCTGTGCCTGGGATCCTCCTCTCTCCTGTTCTGCTTCCTTTTGTAGCAACCCCATCTTCCTTGGGTAGTCATTCTCTCCTGTGAAGCTTCTAAGCATCCTTTTACTATTTTTCTGGCCACACTTACCTCTGTGTGTTATCATTCGTGGTGGATGCTTGAGTCCCTGGAGGCCAGATTCAACTGTGTCTTACTCAGCTGTGATTCTCCAGCCCATGGTAGATTCTAAGCCATACATAGTCTTGGCTCTAAGTGAGTTGAATGAATGAATGAAAGTGTGAAGTGTGTGTTGTGAAATGTACATCATTCACCAGCCTGTGAGTCAGGTTTCTGAAAACCCAGAATCATGGACTCACACAGATAGTAATTTCAGGGTTGGTGGTTTATTAAAGGACAGCGTGGGGCTGTGGGGGTTGCATGGCAGCTTCTTTTACCTTTTCTTGTGTCTGTGTTTGTGTGTGTGTGTGTCTATTTCAGTTTATTTTTATTTTTATTTCTTTAAATTGACTAATGATAATTGTACAGATTCATGGGGCAGTGATGTTTTGATACATACAATGTACCAGATCAGGGTAATTTGCATATCCATCATCTCCAGCATGTGTCATTTCTTCCTGTTGGGAATGTTCAGGGTCCTCCTTGTAGCTATGTGAAATGATGTACTTACTATTGTTAACTGTAGTAGTCATCCTGCAGTGCTATAGAACACTAGAACTTATTCCTCCTATCTCACTATAATTTTGTATCTTTTAACACAGTGGTCCCCAACCTTTTTGGAACCTGGGACTGGTGGAAGACAATTTTTCCATGGCCAGGGATGGGGGACGGTTTCGGGATGAAACTGTTCTACCTCAGATCATCAGGCATTAGATTCTCATAAGGAGCAGGCAACCTAGATCCCTCTCATGCACAGTTCACAACAGGGTCCATGCTCCTATGAGAATCTAATGCCATTGCTGATCTAACAGGAGGTGGAGCTCAGGGGATAATGCCCACTTGTCTGCGGCTGACCTTGTGCTGTGTAACCAGGTTTCTAATAGGCCACTGGCAGGTACCAGCCTATGGCCTGGGGGTTTGGCACCCCTGCTTTAAGAAATCTCTCCCTAACTCTCCTTCCTCCTTGCCCTTCCATCCTCTAATATCCTCTGTCCTACTTTTTACTTCTAGGAGATCACCTATTTTTAGCTTTCTTGTATAAGTGAAAACATGCAGGAACTTTCTGTTCCTGGTTTATTTCACTAAACATAATGCCCTCCAGTTCCATCCACATTACCATGAATGACAGGACTTCATACTTTTTTACAGCTGCATAGTATTCCATTGTGTATATACACCACATTTTCTTGACCCATTCATCTATTCTCTTATCTTTAGTCCTGCAGTGGTTCTTGATCCAAGGGAGACATGCAACATGTTTCATAAAGAACTGTCGCAGCAGCTCAGATCCTTCCAAGATGGCAAGGTGTGGCAGGCAAACTCCTCTAACCTCTTGGCCTGGTCCCTGGAGAGAGAAACTCTGAGCCTCAGGCTTGGTGGTCTTAGCACCATGTAGGCCATCTTATGGTAGAAGTAGAACATAGTTATCGAGAGTGCTGGCTCTGAAATTAGCCTACTGAGTTTACATTTCCAGTTCACCAATTACTAATTTTACAACATTGGACAAGTTACTTGAATGTTCTCTGCATCTGTTTCCTTATTTAAATAGGATGGTATCTCTGGCTTACCTTACAGGGTTGCATTGGGAACTGTATGACACCTGACACATGAAAATACCCAGTTCAGTGCCTGGCATTGGAGAGTTGTTCAATGCAGGTGAATTGAGACAATGTGAAGGATGAGTTTCAGAGAAGCTAGGAGATGGTCAGTAGTTGTGGAAGGCTGGGAGAATGAGAGGCAATTTGGGCATTTAGGTGGTTGCTTGCAGTTCTGTAGAGAGTGAGTCCAGTGAAGTGGTAGGGTACAAAAATATCCCAGAGATGCAAAGCAGCTTGCTTGAGATCACAAACTTGGTAATGGTGGAAGACGGAGCTTGGGTGGAAAGAGGGTTCTCTTAACATTAAGTGCATTTTCACCCTTAAGCTTCCATAATACAATACAGCTCTTGACTATTTCCCTTCCTACTCTCTGGCTATTCTTTGTGTCCACTTATTTCTCCTCCCCCCCTTTAAAAATTTACTACTTATTTTACTTATTACTTATTTTTTATTTTTATCATTATTTTTCAAATTTTATTTCTGTTTATTTATTTATTTTTAGCGACAGGGTCTTGCTCTGTTGCCCAAGGTGGAGTGCAGTGGTGATAATGGTTCACTACAGCCTCAACCGCTGGGCTCAAGTGATCCTCCCACCTCTGCCTCTCAATTACCTGGGACTACAGGTGCACGTCAGCATGCCAGGCAATTTTTAAATATTTTGTAGAAACGGAGTCTCACTGTGTTGCCCATGCTGGTCTCAAACTCCTGTCCTCATGGTATCTTCCTGCCTTGGCCTCCCAAAGTTCCGGGATTACAGGCACGGCCCACCATAACTGGCCCTTCCTTTCCCCTTAAAGCCTACATTAATTAAAGCCCAGTTCTTGGCTTTCATTCTTTTCTTTCTTTTTCATAAATTCTACCCATCCTCTTGGTTTTACTCTCTGCTCTGACCACACTATTTAAAATTGCCAGCATCCTCTATCACCCAGTCTCCTTCTAATTTATTTTTCTCATTAATAATTATCTCTACCTAACAAAATGTATGGTATACTTATTCATTCTCTACCTTCTCCTACTAGAATGTGAGTTCCAGGAGAGTAGGTTGCTTCTGTTTTTATTACTGCCATATCCCCAGAACCAGGCATTGAAACTGGCCTTATGGATGGATTAATCAATGAGCTTAATATTTGCAACACTTCTATTAGGTTGGCTTTCTTGTTACCCCCACTTTATAGGTGATAAGACTGAGAATCAGGGGAGTGTTTTATTTTCATTGGAGGTTTTAGCTAATTTGCCCTCAATATCACAAAACAGGGAAGGCCTGAAGCGTGACCTAAGCCCAAATTCTCTTGTGTCCAGTCCTCTGCTAGCTAAGCAGCTACATCCAGGGGAAACAAGTCAATTCAGTAGCAGCCCTCGTTGACTTTGCACTGCTGTTTATGCTCGCAGTGTCCATAAAAATGTTATTTTAGTCCTGACACTGATGCTTATGAATAAAATTTAGTCCTCATTCAAAAGCAAATTAGCCGAGGCCATTTGGCATTCTGTTACGGCGTTAATTTTTATGGAGAAGAATTCACTGGCAAGGAGCTCCTTCTCCACCTTCAAACAGACCAAGATTCTCAAAGGGAGGCATGGTGGCGCTTGACTCTGATCATTAGGTGTTCCAGCCTGTGGCTGTAGCTTTTCTTATGGGACCTAGGATGTAATTTTCAGATGGCAGTTTGTTTTGCCACTGCGCTACATCTCAGGCTTGGCAATTACATTTCATTAACAGGGAAACATAAGCCATAAATCATTGATCAGAAACAGGTTGTTAATCGGTCTGGTTAAAATGTCTGCCGGCTGGCAGGGCATGGACTTCACATTGATGGATGTCTGGGCCCACAACTTGCCCAGGTAGCCCATTAAAGCAATACTGCTGAATGGGCTCTGTGGCTCACGCCTGTAATCCCAGCACTTTGGGAGGCCGAGGTGGGTGGATCACCTGAGGTCGGGAGTTCGAAACCAGCCTGACCAACATAGAGAAACCCCGTCTCTACTAAAAATACAAAATTAGCCAGGTGTGGTGGCACATGCCTGTAATCCCAGCTACTTGGGAAGCTGAGGCAGGAGAATCGCTTGAACCGGGAGGCAGAGGTTGCAGTGAGCTGAGATCACGCCATTGCAGTCCAGCCTGGGCAACAAGAGCAAAACTCCAACTCAAAAAAAAAAAAAGCAATACTTCTAATAATTTTTACTATTTATGGAGTTAGTTTTCTTTGTGCCTGTAAGTACTTTATCCTCACAGCAACCCTAAAAGGGACTGTTCCCATATTACAGATGAGAAAATTGAATTCCAAAACGGATAAATGGCTGGCTGAAGTTTGCATAATTTGAACATGGCAGAGATGGGATCCAAACTCAAGGATATGGCCTCTGAAGCTGGTGCTCTTTGCTGGCCACATGCATTCCTGTCTTTTGAACTTCACCCTTGGGAGTCTAAGGGGACAGTGCTCAGAGCCAGTGGCCAAGTGTCTGATGTGGCCGCCAGTGTTCCCATGGCAGTGTCATTCTGTGGAGTCCTACCTGGACCTTGAGGAGGTTTTGGGAGAAACTTAGATCTGCAAGATTGATTGATTGATTAATTGATTTTTTTTTTTGAGGCGGAGTCTTGCTCTGCCCCCATGGGCTGGAGTGCAGTGACACAATCCCGGCTCACTGCAACTTCTGCCTCCTGGGTTCGGGAGATTCTTCTGCATCAGCCTCTCAAGTAGCTGGGACTACAGGCATGCGCCACCATGCCTGGCTAATTTTTGCACTTTTAATAGAGACGGGGTTTCACCATATTGGCCAGGCTGGTCTCAAATTCCTGACCTTGTGATCCACCCGCCTCAGCCTCCCAAAGTGCTGGGATTACAGAAGTGAGCCACCGCTCCTGGCCAAGATTGAATTTTAACCTGTGTCTCCAGACATCTGAAGTTGACCAGCATGACCAGGCTGCCGGCTAATTCATCTGACTTCGTCTGCACGCCTGTCTTCCATGAGCAGAGAGGTGGCAGCTGGGCCCGCTCACATCCTATTAACCTTGTCTGTTGGAATGACACCTGGCTGTGCTGAAGCCTTGCTTCCTGTAATTAGGAATGTAAACATCTCCGGCTTCCTCCCATGGGTGCTGGCTCAGTGCCTGCCTCCAGATCCCACCTCCTCCTAGGCTGTACCTCCTGAAACAGATGCCCTCCCCCAAGCTGAGGCCAGGTGGGACTGTGGATGTTTTTTGGTCCTGGGCGGATCCCTTATTCTGAGCCAGAGGCTTTCTACTGCATAGACTCATTTAAATTCATGGTGACCTCACCTGGGCTGTGTATTCCTATCTTCTGGGTGAAAACACAGGCCTTTGGAGAGATTGAACACATGATCTAAGGTGATACAGCTAAGTTATCTCTAGGATAGTTTTTTATTTTGTTTTTGTTGTTAAAGGCAGGAACAGAACACCAAATACCACATGTTCTCACTTATGAGTGGGAGCTAAATGATGAGAACACATGGACATAGAGGGGAACAACACACACTGGGGACCGTCGGAGAGTGGAGGGTGGAGGGAGGGAGAGAATCAGGAAAAATAACAAATGGGTACTAGGCTTAATACCTGAGTGATGAAATAATCTGTACATCAAACCCTCATGACACAAGTTTACCTAGGTAACAAACCTGCACATGTACCCCTGAACTTAATAAAAGTAAAAAAAAAACAAAACTCAAAAAAAAATTTAAAAATTAAAAGTTAAAATTTTTAAAAAGCGTTAGAAGAAAAACCTCAGACAAGTTAAATTTCACAGAGTTTAACTGAGCAAAGAACAATTTGCAAATCAGGCAGCTCCCAGAATGAAAGCTCCACTGGTATGGTGTGGTTGAAGATTTGCGGGCAGAGAAAGGAGAGTCACAGACAGAAAACGGAAGCAAGGTACAGAAACAGCCGGAATGGTTACAGCTCAGCGTTTGGCTTATTTGAATCTGGCTTGAACAGTGGGCCGCTTTTGATTTGCCAAAACTCCGTGATTGGTGTAAGAGTAGGTTACAGTCTGTTTACACCTCCAGTTAAGTTGCAGTTCACTGTGTATGGAGAAACCTTTAAAATACATAAAGAGGCAGCTTTAGGCTAAGCTTAATGTAACAAAAGTAAAGTGAGGCACAATACAAGGTTAAGGAGTTTCTTTGAGCAAACAGTGATTTATGAAGTGAATCTATTAATATGAGTGATCTGGGGACACCACTGCGGTGACATACATGGGAAGACCTTTATGGGCAAACAGAGGTAAAGCAAAGGAAAGGTCCGATGGATTTCCATGGCATGGTTGCCTCGTTTGGTCCATCCTGCTGGAAAGTCCTCAGCTATATAAATTAGTTGGTGGCTTCTGATTAGTTAGCCTTAAATTTTATTTTTCTTTAACATAGGCATTTACAAGCAATAGCTCAACATAAGTTTCGTATGTTTGCAAATCAAGCAAAGTTAAGGTCCCGTATGAGGCCTAACTGACTTCGTCTGCTCAGGGGTTCTTCAGGTCCAGTCTCCATTTTAATTTCCTTTTGTTTGTTTGTTTTCACACCCAAAGACCATATATTAATAGATGGTCAATTAAAAAACAAAACCAAACTGTTCTACCCCAGGCACATAAGAGAGCAGTTTGCATTCAGTTCAGCAAAGACGCATTATGATGCCAGGGTCGCTATAAAGTAGTCAGTTTGTTAAAACTGTTTAATCACCGGAAGTCCATAGTTTACCTTAGGGCTAATTCTTGGTGTTTGTACGTGCCATGGGTTTTGACAAATATGTAATGATATATACCTGCCATTGTTTCCATAGTTTTACCTTTTTCAGAATGACATATAGTTGGAATCATAGAGTATATAGCACTTTCAGATTGGCATCTTTTACTTGGTTATATACACGTAAGGTTTCTCCATGTCTTCTCAGCTCATTTCTTTTTAGTGCTGAATAATATTCCATCTTCTGAATGTATCACATTCACCTACTGAAGGACATCCTCGTTGCTTCCAAATTTTGGCAATTAGTGCTTTAGCTGCTATAAACATCTGTTTGCAGGTTTTTGTGTGGACATACGTTTTCAGCTCCTTTGGGTATATATCAAACAGTGTGATTGCTGGGTTATATGGTAAGGGTATGATGAGCTTTGTGAGAAACTGCCAAACTGTCTTCCAAAGTGACTCCACCATTTTGCATTCCCACCAGCAGTGAATGAGAGTGGTTGTTGCTCCACATCCTTGCCAACTTTGAGTGTTGTCAATGTTTTGGATTTTGACCATTTTAAAGAGCTTTAGAACCCAGATGTTTCGGCTCAGGGAGCCTTCTAGTAGGATTATAATGCATATCCAAAGAGACGAGTGTGAAGATTAAATGACATCATGCACATATTCCAACAGTGCTAATATCTAACTTGGCATGTGCCAGGCACAGTGCTAAGTGACTTGGGAGGAATTAATCTTCACTGTAACCCATGATTCAGGGGCTATTATTATTCCCATTTTGCAGATAAAGAAATAGAGATCAGAGTGAATAAGAGCTATGTCCAAGGATATGCAGGGTGTGTCAGAACTCAATTCAAACCCAAATCTGCCTGACTCTGAGGCCACTGTCTCATGTATAATCAATGGTCAATTTTAAAAAAATGATCTTCTGCCCTAGACACACAAGAGGGCAGTTTCCATTCATTTCAGCAAAGGCATTCATTGTGATGACAGCGTCTCTATAAAGTAGTGTGACTTTTTGTCTGTCACCACAAGGCTTGTTGTCTTCCTTCTTATAGCTTTTGTTACAAAACCTGCAGTCAGCTCACCCCCAGTCCTCAACAGAGCCCTGATTCGATGCTTGTTGGAGAATACAGAAACCCAGAGCGTCACCGGCCTCACCAGGACCTCAGCATGCTCTCCAAGTCCTCTTATCATCAATAACATTGATACACCGGCCTCACCAGGACCTCAGCATGCTCTCCAAGTCCTCTTATCATCAATAACATTGATAGCAACTAATTTAAACCCACTGAACCAGGGAACTCGGGCAGCAGATGTGTTTATATGCAGGATACTAAATAGATATTTTAACTAAGTGGAACATTTCTTGCTTCAATTAATGCAAAAGGTAGCAACTCAAAGGAAATATTAGGAGCATTAAGTTTTATATTGGTGCCATTTATTATATATGATATTTAACACGTTTAATCACTTTATTTCTGTGTTGACACCTACTGAAAGAAAAAAAGAGAGTTCCTCATCGTGATTGTGAGCCAAATATTTCTGTCAAACTGAGACAGAGTACCATTAACCCCTGAGTTGTCATAGTCTCTTGAGGAAATAGTGAGGATTTTATTAGCTTTATTAATGGTAATCAGGAAGATTAAGTTAGTGATTAGCAAAGAATATACTTCAAATTTCTTGGAAAAGGTGAATGAAGTAGAAGGGAATTAATATTTATGGAGCACCAAGTGGGCACTAGGAATGTGCTGGGCTATCTACATGCAGAATTAAATCTCCAGGCAATCTCATGAGACTGGCTAAAATTATGTCCATTATGCAGATTAGAAAATGGCAAGGTTTGGGGGCCGGGTGCGGTGGCTCACGCCTGTAATCCCAGCACTTTGGGAGGCTGGGGCGGGTGGATCACAAGGTCAGGAGATCAAGACCATCCTGGCTAACACGGTGAAACCCCGTCTCTACTAAAAATACAAAAAATTAGCCGGGCGTGGTGGTGGGTGCCTGTAGTCCCAGCTACTCGGGAGGCTGAGGCAGGAGAATGGCGTGAACCCGGGAGGCAGAGCTTATAGTGAGCCGAGATGGCACCACTGCACTCCGGCCTGGGCGACAGAGCGAGACTCCGTCTCAAAAACAAACAAACAAACAAACAAAACAAAAAGAAGAAAATGGCAAGGTTTGTAAAGTATCTACCAAGTGCATGGTGCTAAGTCCTAGGGCTTTGTAGTTGAATACTCTGACACATTCCCTGTCCTCATGGAGTTTGTATTCTGGTGGACAAACGAGATATTTATGACTACCCTTTGATTATGATTCGTATGATTATGACAGTGAGATCAATGTTAGGACAAGGGAGGAATGGAAGTTATTCGGAAACTTGGAAAAGATGAAACCGATTTAGACCTTAGGGTGAGAAAGAGGACTTCCTAGAGAAATTGATGTTCTAAGCTGAGACATGGATGATGTCCAGCAATTAGCCAGGTAAATGGGAGAGATGGAAGAGTATTCCAGGTAGAGGAAACAGTATATATCATGGTACAGAGGTAGAGGAAAGCCACTAACTTCCCAAGGATGTTGTGTCTAAGATATGACAAAGCTAATATTTGCATCCAGGCTTATCAGACTCTTTGTACTGAAACCCAACACAGAAGAGTATCTTTGACCTTCTTCTGCACATATTCAAAATATACAGTCTTCAAAGGAAATGCCCAAATGGTTTGAGGTATGCTGGGAGCTCCCAGCAAGGGCTGTCCGGGTCTTCTGACAGTGCCACCTGTGGGTGCCACGTTGAAGGCAAAGCCCCTTGGCGAAACTTTGAGGCTAAGGGTGAAAAGCATTGTTGGCTTTCTCCAGGGCTCACTTGAATAGGGATATAAGGCTTCAAGTTTGTGTCTCAGTTTATAAATTCGAGGCTGTGAGGAAAAAATAACCCCAAGCCACACTTGCTCCAGCACTTGTATGGTGCAGGGAGTAATTTTGCTCCAGCTTTGGCTTGATTGAGGGTGAAGCGATGCCAGATGCCACCAGGACATGATTGTTCTTTCCTCTGTGCACAGCTCTGCCTTGCTTGCGTTAGGGGGCCCATTCTTAGGCAGGGTCTCTGCTTCATAGTGGACTGCCACCATTGTGAAACTGCCTCCTTTCAGTTTGGGTCCAGCTGGATGGATGTGGGATGGAGAGGGATGGGGTGAGAATCTAATTGGGAGTTCAGACCAAAGCCCCACAATCTAGAACTGCTGACTCTGACTGGCAGGCTTGGGTCATCTGCTCACCCAGGATTCTATCACAATCATTGCTGTCATGGAATGCCATAAGCTGAGGGGTTGAGTCTGGGTTCTGTGCTCCACCCCAGAGCTGGGGATGAGGTGTTATTCAGGGTTTCTGGGCTGAGAGTATAGTAGGGGTTGATTTCCAAGGAGAAATGGAACTACTAGTGAAATAATGTGGAGTGGACCCTGTGCTCCATCTAGCTTTTACTTCACATCCAAAGATACCAGTCCTGTCTTGAAATTCCTATGACCCTCAGAGAAAGCACTGGACTTTGGAGGTGCGGAAGTGTGACAGCTGTGGGGCATCCCTAGTTCTTTTTAGAAGAGGTGTAGGGGAAAGCAGGTAAGCTTTGGGAACCAAAAGACTGGAATTCCTATCTAAGCTCCACTTTTACTTACTGTGAGACCTGGGACTTGTCATTTAACCACTCTGGGACTCAGCTTCCTTGTTTACAAAATGGGAATGTTAATACCAAGCTCATACTATGATTATTAGGATCCAATGAGATACTAGATATAAAACACCTAGCACTTGGCACATGCTATGCACTCGATAAATGTCAGGAGTGGGTTGCTGACTGACAACCTGGAATCTCTCTTGTCTTAGTCAACTCAGGCTGCTATAACCAAATACTGTAAACTAAGTGGCTTAAATAGGAGCCATTTATTTCTCACAGCTGTAGAGACTGGGAAGTCCAAGATCAAGGTGCTGGCAGATTCAGTTCTTGGTGAGGGTCCATCTTTCTGGTTTGCAGACTGCTTCCATCTTGCCTATGCTCACATAACCTCGTGTGTGTGTGTGTGTGTGTGTGTGTGTGTGTGTGTGTGTGTGTGTGTGTGTGTGTGTGGTGGAGAGAGAGAGAGAGAGAGAATCTGTCTTCCCCTTCTTAGAAGAACACTTATCCCATCATGGGTAACCATCCCTCATGACCTTATCTAAATCTAATTACCTCCCAAAGGCTCCATCTCCAAATACCATCACATTTGGGGGCTAGGGCTTCAAATTTGAATCATGGGGAGACAGGCACAAATATTCAGTCCATAACATCCCCATTGCTCTTAGTACCTTATTTTATTTAACTCTCTCAGCTTTATAATACGTTTTTCTTTTCCTTACTATTTGCTTCTCACACTTTTATTTTTATTTTGTTCTGTATAGTCTTGTTTGGTATTTTTAATCCTTTAGATTTATTTTTTCTATCTGATAATAACTTATTTATTCTCTTTATTTTCCCATTTCATCTTATTTATATTGGCTACATTTCCTACCATTTCATACAGTACTGTAAAGAGCACATAATATATACTGTTTATTTATGAGTCACCATTTTTATCTTTCCCATACTGCCTTTTGGCTAATTTTTGATATTGGTAAATGCAATTAACTTGATCCCACTTATTTATTTTTTAAGAAGTATTTATGTCTTTAAATATGTTATTTGTTTTTAATGCTGAGTCTAAAGGCTCACCTTTTATATGTTGTTAATAAAGGCACAGAAAATCTAAACTGTACCAAAATACCTTGGCAACATTTAATAATACTATATTATGCCCTTTGTAACTAAAAAAAATATATAAGTACTTTAGCAGCCACAATCTCATTTGTATCTCACGAAAGCTCTTCTATCTCTCAAGAGTAAGAGAAAGAAAGCTCAGAGAATTATGCTTTCTTGCCTGAAAACATGCAGCTGAATGGTGGAACCAGAACTGTCTTTCTGCTCTTTTAACTCCGATGGATTTTTCTTTTCACTTCAATATGTCAATTTCCCTGAATACCATGTACCTACTGAATAAAACCAAATCCCTGGGAACTGGATTTCTTTTTTTTCCCAATACAATTTAAAACTTATTTCCATCAATGTCCCCAGCATGTTCTTCCCTAATCCCATTCATGAAAGACATAAAGTTCATAGCAGGCTGAGAATGTGTCAGGAATCACAGCAGGTTCTTTTGTGAATTGTACTATTCCTCTGGCTGATAAATGGTCGTTTTCCAGAAAGTATGGCCTTCATCTTGGCTTTATCACTTCTTATCTCTGTGAAACATTAATCAAGATGTTTCCTGTGCAGAGGGTAGCAGCCCAACATGAAGTGATTTAAGTAAATAAGAGAATGTATTGGTCCATATATCTGCAAATTCCAAAGGTAGCATTTGCTGCAGGTATGGCTGTATCTAGGGACTCAACCTATGCAGTTAAGATTCTGTCTCTTGTCCCAGCTCTTGGTTATGCTTTTTATCTATTCTGCGTAATTCTCAGGTTGGCTCTGTGCACAAGATGGCCTCTGGCAGCCCTAGGCTTCCAGGTTAGCTAACAAGTGGAAAAACATTGGTTTCCCAACAATTCCACTGAAAACTTAAAATGGACTGTACTAGGAGCAACCAGAGTTTCATGCCTATCCCTGAACCAACCAGGAGATGAAACAGTGATTGGTTGTGTCTCAATCGTGTGCCCATCCTGAATGCACAAGAACTGTGAATGGGGGTGGAGTGGTTTCCCAAGATGAAATCTGAGTGTGGAAGGTAAAGAACAGGCAGGAAAATGCATCAGGATACCTACTACAGTGATCTTGAGGAAGTTATTTAGCCTTGCTGAACCTTAGTCTCCTCATTTGTAAGGGAGAAATAAAAACACATACTTACTCTGGTTGTCTTTTAGAAGAGATGTTGAAAATACTTTGCACATAGTAGGTGAACAATAAATGTGAGTTATTATCCCTGTCTTTCTCTGATGCTTTCACTTCCATTTCCTCCAAACTCTACCAGGGCTGTGTATTGGAACAGCGATTGTGTGTCACCTTGCTAAGAAGTACATTTGCTTCAGTTATTTTGTTCTTCCTCCTTGAAAAAAAAAAAAAAAAGATAGCATTTGTAGATAAGATGGACCAGGAGATAATCAGTACAAATAATAATACAGGAAATTCTTTCCTTGGCTTAGAACTAGCAAAGAAACGATGAGAGACCAGATAAGATTTGGGACCAAAGCACCTTCTAATTGTTGGTTGTAGCAATTCTCTGCAGGCATTGGTGGTGACAGCCCTATACCTGATATCTTCTTAGACTCAAAGAAGTATCCGCCATTTGTTAAATGTGATTTCTATGTACCCTTCCTCCTCCACCAGAGGGCCAGGGTAAAACTGAGGACAAGTTAGATTGCTAGGAGAAAAGTTTAGAGCTTTTGGGTATTTTGCATACTTTACATATCTAGACAAATGCATATAATTTTAAATTATAACCTAGGATTTTAACTGTCTCATTTTTCCTTTACATTTAGATTTTAATCTGCCTGAAATTTAATATATAGTATAAGTTAATGGACTCCATTTTATTATTTTTTTACCAAATGATAGGCAATTGTGCCAGCACCATTTATTAAATAAAACTATGCTCTAGTTACTGTCATTTTATTATATACACAATTGTCTTATATTATGCAACTTATCTCAAGGTTAATTTTCCCCCAATCTATTTATTCACTTGTATCGATGTCCACTGTTTTATGGTAATTTCATAGTATGTTTTAGTATCTGCCAAGGCAAGTCATTTTTCACTACTATTCTCTATTTGGCTATTTGGGGAAACTTATTCTTTTACATTAAAATTGGCATTATTTTATAAAATTAACAAAAATTTGGGATCCTATTTAAAATTACATTCCATTAATATAATTTTGATGCAATTGATATTTTAAGCCATTAAATTATCCCATACATAGACATAATAGATCTTCCATTTATTGATATCTTGGTTGGTACTGTTAACACAGTTTTATAGGTTTCTTTATATAAGTCCCATGTCTTTGTGGTTTAATGCATTTTAAGTATTTTTAGCTTTTATCATGTTTATGAATAAAATATTTCTTTTCCTTTTCTAGCTAGTGAGTGCTTGATTTAAAAAATATATTGATTTTTGTACATTTATCTCACATCCAGACACTTTGTCAAAATAAAATGGGTTTTAACTGGAGCCTCTTGTACTTTCTAGATTTACAATAATATCAGCAAAGAGAAAAAAGTTTTCTCCTTTTCTTGTCTTATTGTATTTTATAAAACTTCCAGAAAAATGCAAAATAATACCATTGATGCAGGTCAACCTTTGCTTTGTTTCTGATTTCAATGAAATGATGTTTAAGAGTTTAAAGAGAGCTGTCAGGATCCCCATGTGTCATTTTAATTTCAAAATCAACAGTTCTTTTAATCATTTTTCATACAGCATGTTTTTGATACTGAATTAGGTAGAAATCTTTTCGTGGGCAAATGGCAGAAACTGAACTCAAATGAGTTAAAGAGCATTTATAGATTCACGTAACTGAAAAGTTCAGACTGACTTCAGGAAAGACTGAACCAAGGCTCTCATTCAATGGCATCAACAACCTATATCTCTTCATCTCTTAATTGTGATAATTTTTCACTGGCTTCATGGTCATGATGTCCCTAGTAACCCTAGATTTACCATCTATCAACTCAGCAACCTCAGCAGAAAGTGTTTCTATTCCCAATAGTTCCAACTGAAGTCCTAACTTGATTTGGTGATCATGAACCTAAAATCAAATTAGTCAACTTTTCCCAGGAGGATTAAAGACTGTGATTGGACCTTCCTGGATCAAGTGCCCCATGCTCTGGCTGATTTTGAGACCCAAGATGGGCTTAGAATGGGGAGTAATTGCTCCCTTAAGGATAAATAAATTATTCCCTAAAGAATAGGGATAGGCAAAAGAGCAGAATCCACCAAGTGGCTCTTCATTATCCTAGTCTTCCTCCAGATATCTTTTCTGTCTTTTCAAATAATGAATATTCAGCCAGGCATGGTGATTCATGCCAGTAATCCCAGCATGTTGTGATGCCGATGAGGGTGGATCCATTGAGGCCAGGAGTTCCAGACTAGCCTGGGCAACATAGTGAAACCACATTCCTAGAAAAAGCAAAACAAACAAACAAACAAAAACACCTTAAAACATTAGCCAGGTATGGTAGCATGCACCTGTAGTCCTTGTAGTCCCTGTAGTCCCAGTTACTCGGGAGGCTGAAGTGGGAGGATCACTTGAGCCTGGGAAGTGAAGGATACAGTGAGCTGAGGTTGCACCACTGCACTCCAGCCTGGGCAACAAAGCAAGACCCTGTCTCGAAAAAAATATATAATATTCTTATAAAACTGAGCACTGTATCAAAGTACATTTGGATACGGTAGTGCAGAGAGAGATTATCATCTTAATTCTAGATAGTATACTTCTGTTACTAAGGATTGCTTCACATTTTTGCTAACCACATCACACTTTGGAGTCATATTGAGTTAGTCGTTGAATAGCTGTTATCACAGGTGTGACTACTTTCCTGGCCTTAACTATGAAACTTTAGTGCTATATTTAGGTATTTTTAGAATTAGCTCCATCATTGCAGATTATCAGAGTATTTTCCATTCTTGATCTTGTCATTTATTTCTTTTTTCACTTTTCCCAGGCTTATGACATTTGATGAAGATTTTATCTGTGTATTCATACTTCTAAGACTTGCCAAAAAATTCTCACTTCCTGGGATGAATTTTCCTCTTTTCTGCATTTGATGAATTCATAGTCAAAATTTGAGAACTAGCAAAAAATCCTTACTTCCTGGGATGAATTTTCCTCTTTTCTGCATTTGATGAATTCATAGTCAAAATTTGAGAACTAGCAAAATGTCCCTGTTAAAGTGTCCATATAAGTTTTTAATATTTCTCTCTGAGCAATTATTATGCTGTGCTTTGAAAGAATGCCATATAACAGGTTAAATGACATAAGCATTTTCTGTTCCTGAAAGGTTTGATAGAATTCACTTCTGAAGCTTTCTGAGAAGGTATGTTTTTTTAAGTTTTAAAATCCTTTCTCATTTTTTTGTAATAAATAATGTATTTAGACTGTAAAATATCTCTTCTTCTGTCAGTTCTGATTATTTATATTTTTACTAGCTAATTCATTTCGTCTAGAGTTTTATATTAATTTACATAAAATTGAGCAGTATTCTTAGAACCTATGCAAAAGGTGTAGGTTCACCTTAGGCAGGTGAGGCAGGTTGTACACTAATTCTAAAGGACACCATTTATATTTGTAGTGATTTTGTACATGGTAGTACTAATTTCATCATTGTATTTTTTAGCATTTGGCAGTAAAATGACTTGAGAATGGGGTGGGTTTTTCTTCACTGCACATGGTGCTGCTAGGGTTAGCTGTGGGATTGCTTCTGCATCTGAGATTATTTCTCCATTTTCATTTCAATGTTACACATTTGAATTTTGCTCTTCTTTTCTTGATTAGATGCGCAGATGTTTTTTCAGAAAATATAACCATCTATGTGTGGGATTGTACTGATCACTTCAGCCACTTTTTTTCTATTCCGTAATCTAGTAATTTTTGTTTTTATCTTTGTAAATTGCCATGTATCTTGTTCTTTTTTGTAGGTCCTCAAGTTAAACATAATTTATTTATTTTCCTTTATGTAATTTAAAATCCATAATATTTAGAACTATGAGTTTTCCTCTGAGGACTACTTTAGACACATACTATGGGTTCTCAAAAATTCACATTGTACTTTCTATTTAAAGTACAATTTAAATAATTATATATGTATATTTTATATATATATTTATATATATTATATATATTTTATATATATTATATGTATATTTTATATATATATTTATATATTATATATATTTTATATATATTATATATATATTATATATTTTATATATATTATATATATATATTTTATATATATATATATATCTGTTTTTCTGTTAGACCACTCATGAGCAAGGTTTAATGGTCTGTACTGCAATGTATGAGTTTAGAATCCAAGAAATGTTTATCTATTCTGTAGATAAATGTGTACATGTTGAAAAGTAATTATCTGTATTATTGCCCAATCTGTTATCATGCTGAGCCTTCAGCAACACAGATCAGTATAAAAGAGATGAAAGTTAAGCTCTTGCAATTTGTGATACGTAGACACTCCATTTTAGCTTAAGTAACAGAAGAATTTACCAGCTTATGCAACTAAGAAGCCCTGAACAATGAAGGCTTCAGGCATGGCTGGAATCAGGTGCTTAAATGACATCATCACCTATCTCTTCCTCTCTTTCTCTCTGTCACATACACTTCAAATTATAGCTAGATTTTTCCACATTCTCAAAATGATCTCTCTACTTTTTGACAAAATGCCCTTCCTCCACAGATTCAAATATATATGCTCTTCATAATTAACAGAGCTCAAAGAAAAGTGATATATCTTGAGAGGACCAAAGAAAGTCCAGGATGGCCAAACTTGGAATACGTATGTATCCTTGATTGCATTTCTGTGACTAAGGAGACAAAGGACTTGTATTGGCCAGCCCTGGTCCTTAATGATATCCGTGGAACCAGAGAAGTGGGATCTGCTCCATGCAAGCCACTAGGATTGAGTAGCATTAGTAAGGAAGGGAGAAAGGTATGTCCTTCATAGGAATGGTTATTGGACAGGTAAACAGCTTTTACAGAGGCTGGTCCCTGGGAGGTCAGACAGTCAAGGTTCAATGAGGAATATCAAAAGGCGAGTGTGTACTCTAGGAAGAGTCAAAATTTAAGGGCATTGAATGCCACATTGTAAATATGTGAACTTCATAAATGTCTTACTCTGAGAAGGACAGGGTATTGCTTATGTGGTATTCCTTCCACTGGGTAACCATTAATTTGAATCTAATCGTGAGAAAACATCAGATGAACCCCAGCTGGGGAAAGTTTTGTTTTTAAAAAAAATTACTGTATTTTTCAAAAATGTCAAAGTCATAAAAGATAAAGAAAGATTGTGGAAATGTTCCAGATTAAAGGAGACTGAAGAGGCATAGCAATGAAGTGCAATCTCTGATTCTCAATGGATCCTGTACTAGAGGGGAAAAAAAGCAATAAAAGACATTATTTTATGTCAATTTTTATGACATAATTTTTATGACAAATTTATGTCATATTTTAAGTCAATTTACAATATTGGAATTTGGACAGTAAATTAGACAAAAATTTGAATCAATATTAAATTCAACAAAGAGGATAACTACTGTGGTTATATAAAAGCATCTCATTCTTAGCAATACCTACAAGTATTTCGGGGTAAAAGGTCATGATATATGCAGTGTACTCTACAATGGCTCTGAAAAATAAATGCATGCATGTCTATGTGAATATACATAAAGGGCAAATGATAAAGTATTTTGCTTTAATGAAATGCTAATAATAGGTAAATCTAGATAAAACATATACAGGGTTTTTTTTGTATTATGTTTATTCTTGCAACCTTTCTGTAAGTTTGAAATTATTTATGAATACAAAGTTTAAAAAATATTTGGGTTTATCTTGTAGGCCATAACAAGGTAATTGATGTTTTGATGTTTTTCAACAAGCTTGTGATAAATAATATGTTTTTAAGTCTGTTTTGAAAGACACTGCAATTAATATAAGTCGTCCCTGATTCAGAAAGAATTGAATTTATCCTGTTAGCAGAGATTTCACGTCATTCTTTCATTGGTTGTTTGAGGGCATTTTAAAGGAAAGTTGAGAAAGGGTTTCCTCAGTGCTTGCACCTACTGTAACATTTTCTCCGAGGCTCTGAAGTTTCAGTGTCTTTTGAAGAAAGATCTCACTGGTTACAATGGAGAGGGCAGTTTGGGAGGGAGACAACCTGGAAGGGGGAAGAATATTTAGGGGGGTATTGCAATAGCTCAACCAAGAAATAATGAGGAGAAGAGAAGAAAGGATGTATCTGAGAGGTGTTTAAAGAGGGAGTTTTCAGGACTTGGTAACTAATTGAACATGAGGGCCAGGGCAAGGAAAATGAACAAGCCACGTTGTCTGCTTTAGAACCCTGAGTGGATGATAATGCCTTCTGTGAAAATAAAACATAGATACTATGAGGAGGAGGTGAATAGGGAACTCTGGAGAAACATGGAAGAGAATGAATTGTTTGGCCATTGATGGTTCTGTAGGATTTTCAGCTTCACATATCTGGCAGGAAATTGGAATTACAGAGATGGTATTCAGAAGAAGAGTCAAATCTCCCTATGAAATCTGAGGATCATTTTTTATGGAGGTGGTCATTAATGTTTTGGGAATGGCTGGTATTACTCAGGAAATGTAAGGGCGTACAAAGAGAGGGATACTGACTTAAGATTGTGGGAACACTTTTTTTAATGGATTACCCCAGAGCACCTGAGACAATAGATATTCACAGTGGAAATATATGTCATGAGGCCAAGTGGGGCGTAGTTGGACCAAGTTCTAGTTTGTTTCTTATAGAGGAAATAAACCAGAAATAGTGGAAGAGGTTGACATTCAAATTCCTTGCTGACTGGAAATCTGACTAGCTGACAAATCCAGATAAATGGTGGAAGGATGTGTCTATGATTGTGCCACTCATTCCAGCCTGGGTGGCGGAGCGAGACACTGCCAAATAGTAAAAAGAAAGAGAGAAAGAGAGAGAAAGGGAGGAAAGGGAAGAAAGAGAGAGAGGGAAAGAGAAAGAGATAGAGAAAAAAGAAGGAAGGAAGAAGGGAAGGAAGGAAGGGAGGGAGGGAGGGAGAGAGGGAAAGAGAGAAAGAAAGAAAGAGAGAGAAAAAGAAGGAAAGAAAGAAAGAAAAAGAAAGAAGGAAAGAAAGAAAAAAGAAAGAAAGAAAATGTAGATTTTAGAAAGAGCACAAAGTTTGAGTTATTCAATATTTGATATTTGTCATCCTCTCCAGAAGTTTCAAGAGAAAAAAACTTTAGCTTCCTAGATGCATTCTTACATTTTTTTTTTTTTTTTTGCCTGAAAACAAGTCACAGGAGAAGGGCTTGTAAAGGCACCAATTTCTGCCTTATCCTCAAATAGTTTTGACACGCTTGGCAGGTTCCCATCAGTAATGTTGGGTAGACAAGAAATAGATTGGTTAAATCTCTGTCAGATAGAAGGGATGGAAATCTAGCTCCAATTGACTTGAATGAATATATTGGCTGACAGAACTAACAACCAGAGATTATATAACATAATGTTTCAACTTGCAGGTTGTAGAGCTAGACCTGAGTTAGAATCCTGGTTTCACCACTTACTTAGCTTGTTCAGTTTTCTCATCAGTAAACAGAGATAATTATAATACCTACATCATAGGGCTGCAATGAGGGTTAATTGATTTAATTTAAGTAAATCTCTTAGAACAGGGTCTGACACATAGTCACTGCTCAAGAAGTGTTAGCTAATTTTCTCCAGGGATAATGAGTTCCAGGGATGGTTGGATCCTGGTACTCGAGGAATGTCTATCACAAATCTGCCTCTCTCATATTTTGGACTGTCTTTCCTGTTGACTTTATTCTCAGGCAGTCTCTCCCCTGGGGAAAGATGACCACCAGAAACTGAAGACTTGGATGCCCCCAGTTTAGCAATCTTAGCAGGACTATGTCTTTTGCCTAATATTTGCAGCAAAAGTTCCAAGTGTGACTTTTGGCAGAACAACTAAGTTAAAGAGCTACCCCTGAACTGGCCACTATGGTCAGTGGATAAACTGGAGTGATCATTTTCCTGTTCTGAAGCCAAGAGTTGTGTTTGTTTCCATCTCTTTCGTGTTGGGGTGTTTCAGCATGGCACTTTGAGAAGGTGGGCTGGAGTCGGGGAAGTAGGAATTTCTTGGCAGTGCAGGGTGGGAAAAGTAGACTTCAACCAACACCATGCCATGTGCCTACCCCTGTGTGCTGGTGCCTGGTGCCTCCAAGTCCTGGGTCTTCCATGTTTCTTTGGAACAAATTTGCATTCCTCATTTTGGTGTCCATCACTGTGAGCTCCTAATCCCAATTTCTCCCATCCTGCCAAGTCCATTTCCTCACCTACTCTTGTCCCCTCTCTACTTCTGTTTGTTCATGTGTATTTCTACTGTTTGACATATATTTACAGTCGTTTCAGTGATCTTTTTGGAGGGAAAGGAGATAAATGCACGTGTTCATGCCACCTTGTAGTCCTAAGTCCCTGAAAAAGGTTTTCTTAAGGCAGTTGTTCTTGCCATCCTGACAAATAATATTCTCGAGTATAACAGATATCCAGCAGTAAGGGGTGTTGGATAAATAGAAAGTATTATGGATTGTATGCACTTCTCTCTCTGAGCAACAGGTACACTTTTTTTCTCTAACATTGATCTATAACACACCAGAACCGTGTTTTAATAGCTGCTGATAAATGAACCTATTTTTAAGTACTCTACCAAGATGCTGTGGTAAGGTTAGCATTTGGTGGAGAGATTTACAAGGTTAAGATCATGTGTCCATCAAAGTGCAATCCTATCAATCAGAAATAAAGGTAAAAGGGCCCTCAAATGAAATCTACGGAAAAACATAACACAAGAAGCAGGCACTTAAATGCTATGGACGTTTCTAGAAGCAAGCATTTCATAAGACAGCTAGAGGCCAATGTCTCTGTGATACACATATACAATAGTGTCATCTCCATGCCAATATCCTGGACTGGCTTATGGAAGTATGAAGTTAAATAAGATAAAGTCTTCACTGGGGCTCAGTTTCCAACTGGGGAAACTTAAATCATTTTGGTTAAATATGATGGCTGCCATCATGGTAGCATGGGCAATGTATGATGTGGCACATCATGATACCTCATGAAGAATAAAATTAAACACCCATTTGAAGTGGTTTTTATGATTTCATTTTTTCAGACTCCTTGGTCACTTGTTTATGCCTGAACTGGGAAGATATTTCTGGATTTTGTCTCCATATGCATTGAATCAGTGTCTATGCTTAATGTTCAGAGTTAACCCATTTTTATTACATTGCCTGTGGTTTTTGTACTTGTTGTTTTTTTAATATCCCAGTTCACCTTTCCATTTAATAACCTTTCTTCCAAGCATAAAATTTCCTCTTCTAAGCTAAAATAGCATCTTAAAGAAAAAGGATTCTCATATATGTGTGCACTTTTAGCACTAAAAGCAAAGATCATGTTAAAGTGAATGCAAAATGCTTACTTTCTGAATTTGTCCTAGAGCTAGCAAAAATCCACAGTAGGAGGAGATACTCAGGCCAGTTTGGGAAATCAATGGAAAAGTGTAAAAGTGAAATTTTTAAATAATATAGCCCATCCTGAAAACGAAGGTGACTTTGTTTTTGCCCAATAATATAATGAGTTTTATTTTGAGTGATGCTGGATTTAATGGCTAAATCAATATGTGTATTTAGCGCTGGGCTTTATTTCCACACTAAGTGACGGGAGATAAGCAGCCTTAGAGTGTGTTAATTGGTTTGTGTTTAGCATTTACGCTAATCAGCAGTAGCAGAGGTGCCCTGGGCCACTTCAGCCTGGTAATAGGGCTTATCTAAACCAGGATTTGTTTACATTATTGACTGGAGTTGAATTGTTTCTGTTTCTTATACACTTGAACGTTAAGCTGGATTTGCAAGTGTAACTCAAGACCTTCAGCATTAGTAAGAATTAGCCAGGTCTGGAACAAGGCAAACCAAATGAGAAGCAAATAAACACCATCATGGTGTCCCTGGCAGAGGATAGCCACGAGGGGATAATAAGATCTAGAGAAGATTTTACTGTGTGAAAAAAAAAAAAAAACCTTTGAAGCAGAGATCAGAGCTTGAGAGACCACTAGTTAGACCAGGATTTCTCAACTCTGGCACTATTACCATTTGGGGCTGGATAATTCTTCATTGTGGGGGCTGTCCTGTCCATCGTAGGATATTTAGAAGCATCCCTGGCCAGATTATAGTAGCATCCCCTGCTCCCAATTGTGACAAACAAGCAAGTTTCCAAACATCCCCAAATGTCTCTTTAGAGGAAAATCACAACTGGTTGAGAATCACTGGGTTAAATGAGGCTCAAGTGGCCGGGCATGGTGGCTCACACCTGTAATCCCAGTACTTTGGGAGGCTGAGGTATGTGAATCACCTGAGGTTAGGAGTTCAAGACCAGCCTGGACAACATGGTAAAACCCCATCTCTACTAAAAATATGAAAATTAGCCAGGTGTGGTGGTGCACACCTGTAGTCCCAGCTACTTGGGAGGCTGAGGCAGGAGAATTGCTTGAACCCAGGAGGCAGAGGTTGCAGTGAGGCAGGATTGCACCATTGCACTCCAGCCTAGGTGACAAAGTGAGACTCTGTTTCAGAAAAAAAAAAAAAAAAAAAAAAAAAGAGGCTCAAGTACAGTTTTGTTTGGTGTTTGCAGATATTGTTTTTCAGTTTGTTTGTTTGTTGGCTTTTTTTAAGGTGAGAGTGTAAACTGCCCAAAGGGTTCATTTTTCCTGCTGCCCAGATAGAGCCAATTTATCAAGACAGGGGGACTGCAATAGAGAATGAGTTTAACTCATGCAGAGCCAGCTGAATGAGAGGCCAGAGTTTTGCTATTATTCAAATAAGCCTTCCTGAAAATTTCAAGGATAGTTTGGCAGGCAAGGGAATGGGTGCTGCTGGTTGGATGGGCATGCAATCATAGTGGTGTAGAAAATGGTACTTGGTGCACCATTGGTGGTCAGAAGTGCAAAAACCTGAAAAGACATCTCAAAAAGCCAATTTTAGGTTTTACAATAGTGATTTCATCTACAGGAGTAATTGGAGAAGTTGCAAATCTTGTAAGCTCCAGAATAATGGCTGGTAATTATTTATATCTACACCTTGGCAGAATTCAGGCTCCTCTCATCCTCCTAACCTGGAAGTCTTTCGTTAACTTTACAAACGTGGTTCAGTTTTGGGGAAGGGCTATTATCATTTAAACTACAAATTAAATTTCTTCCAAAGTTAGCTTGGCCCAAGCCCAGAAATGCCTAAGGGCAGCTTGGAGGTTAAAGGCACGATGAGGGTTGGTTAGATCAGATCTCTTTCACTGTCATCATTTTCTCACTGTTATAATTTTTGCAAAGGCGGTTTCAAGAGCATTTTAATAGCTTGGAGATTTCATATGCTATGTGGATTTGGGGATTCTCTTGAACTATCGGAAGATCTGACAAATATGTCCTCACTGACATGTGACAATTACCAGTAGGAACTAATTAGTAGTTGCCCCTTTACAGAAAGGCACATGCTCTTCAGGTCCCCTTGGTCTTCACCCCTCATTACTGTGTTTTTCTCAGTTGGCTTTCTCCATCTACCCTGCACAGGCTTCTGGAGGTATCTGCTGTTATAAATCCTGCTTTAAATTTTGCAAAACAGGAAGCTTACCCCTTAGCACCAGGAAGGCAAAAGAGGATTCAGGATCATACGGAAGTGGATTCAGGTCTTGGCTGCACCAGTTATCAACTTTGTAACAGCCCTGTGCCTCAGTTTCCTTATCCATTCGTGAAATGGGAATGTTAACGTCTGCATTTCAGGGAAGTTAGGGGATTAAAAGGAACACTATCTGAAAGTGTCCCGGAATTCAGTACTTATTGCTGCTCCCTCCTGTTTGTTTCACATCCACCTTCATCCTCAGCTTCCGTTCAGTTACCTGCTTACAAAGTGCACAGGCTCACAAGATGAGGCCATTTCCTCCCTTCCTGATTTGTGCTTTCAGGCATTGAAGACAGAAGCCTTCACTCATCAGATGCCGTTGTCCTTCAGGGGACATTATGCTCTGTTTTCCTGAACTATTTTAGTAGAACTTTCATTTCTACTAAATGGGGGGTTATGAGGCAGTATCAAGGGAAGCTGCTTCACCATACAGCCTTTCTTCCCCCGCCCACCACCTATCCCCCTACAATCCAAGGACATAAACTTCTGGGGCCCAAGGCAGTTAGACACATGGCCACTTTTTTTTTTTTTTAAAGCAGGAATTCGGTACATGCAGCCATAGATTCAGGCTCATCTGGCATTTATTAAGCACCCACTAGGTTCTAGTATAAGGGAGCCAGAGATCACCTCCAATTCCCCTTTAGCTCTTAGTGAGCTCTTTGGCTGGATCCAGAAACCAAACAGACATCAGGCAGATTAACAAGAGAAAGGCATATCTATTTTATTAGCTATACATGTACACAGGAATCTTCAAAAGAGAGTGAAGTCTGAAGTGGCCAAAGCAAGACGCTTTTATACTTTTTAGACAAAGAATGAAAACTTTGAGAAGAAATGACACGACAAAGGAGATCTGGCTAGGAATAATACATTTCTAGGGGAGTTACTTGGAGATTTATTGGGGGGTGTAAAACAGGTAGAAGATAAGGCTTACTTCATTATGTCTGTTTATTCACATCCACTGAGGCTCCCAATTCCTAGTCTCTGGTGATAAAGGCTGTTTTTTCACCCTGACACAGGAAGGGTACCCCTCCCAGAGGGATATTTTTGGCTTGCCATATGCAGGAAGATATAGGTCAGCCAGCACTTTTTGAAACTACAACTTCTCCAATGATTTCAACTTGAAGTAAGATACCAATCCAGGGCCAGGCACGTTGGCTTATGCCTGTAATCCCAGCACTTTGGGAGGCCAAGGTAGGTGGATCACTTGAGGTCAGGAGTTCAAGACCAGCCTGACCAACATGGTGAAAGCCTGTCTCTACTAAAAATATAAAAAATAGCCAGGTGTGGTGGTGCCTGCCTGTAATCCCAGCTACTTGGGAGGCTGAGGCACGAGAATCACTAGAACCCAGGAGGCGGAGGCTGCAGTGATCCAAGATCACATCACTACACTCCAGCCTGGGCGATAGAGTGAGACCATGTCTCTAGAAAAAAACAAAACAAAACCCAAGATACCAAGAGAGCATATTTTTGGATGGCATGTCTTCACTCCTTCACTAGTCAGCTTCAGGGTCTAAGTCATTTCACATTTGCCATCTTAGCAGCACCCACGCCTAGCATGCTGGTGCTTCCATCCTGCTGGAGGTCAGAGAAACTAGGGAAGTTCCAAGCTGGTCTCATCAGAGCGACACAGGCCTTCATTCACTTCCCTAAACCCACTGCGTTATTGTCATGTGGTCTTAGTACCTGTTGTTTCCTTGACCTTACATGTTCTTCTTTCCTTCCCCAAACCCTTTGCTTAATTAATATTTCCCTTTCTTTGCTTTCTGCTCTGTAGGAATTCCTCAGGGAAGTCTTCTCTGATCCCTGATCACATGATTCCATCAGTTAATTTCATTACACCAGATTCCTCATCTCAAAGCATTTGTCACTGTTAGAAATTTAAGTGTATGTCTTTCTTAATAAATATTTGTCTTTCCCAATAGATTCTGCTTTCTACAAAGTCAAGGACCATATCTGATTTTACTCATTGTTCTATCTCTAGCCCCTAGCATTGCTCCTGAAACATGTTGATGGCTCAGTAAATATTTGTGAAGTGAGTGAGTTAATGGGTGCATATTGGTTTTTGTATCAGTCAGGATAGGCTAGCCTTTGCTGCAGTAAGATCCTCAAATACCAGTGACTTAACACAGTAAAGAGGCACTGCCTATCCATGCTTCCTGTCCACAGCAATAAGCTCGAGCTTCTGCCCCACCTTACTCGGGTGTGCAGGTGGATGCAAGCACTGCCATGTGGAATGTTGCATGGAGACTGTGGTCAAGCGAAGGAAAACGGCCAGTTGTACACAAGCTCTTATAGTCTTACACCCAGAAATAACCTATTTCACTCCCACTCACATTTTATGAGCTAAAGCAGTTCACGTGCTTATTAGCTAAAGCAGTTCACGTGCTCTCGCCTAACCTCAATGGAGCTGGAAAGTACAATTATCCTATGTTGCAGGAGAACTGCAGGTATGACTTAAAGCTCATTCCACTGTCTCAACTCTAAGACCTGAATGAACTGCAGTCACCGACCTTGGGGAATCAGCTCTGCAAAGCCAGCTTTTCACTGTAGCCTAAGTTTTCCTAGCAACACGGGCCGTATCTCCTTTATTCTTAGGGACCAGATTATCATTCATTCATTCAACTAACATTTTAAGAATCTGTGATCTGGGCCAGGCCTAAGTCTAAGCAATAAGGATCCAAGATGAGTTACAGGTCTTTAAGAGGTCTATAGACTAGAATGGGTGTGGGCTTTCAATGTTTCTGTAGTCTAAGTGGCATTAAAATGTGAAAATGTGGCCCGGCGCGGTGACTCATGCCTGTAATCCCAGCACTATGGGAGGCCAAGGAGGGTGGATCACCTGAGGTCAGGAGTTTGAGACCAGTCGGGCCAACATGGCAAAAGCCCGTCTCTACTGAAAATACAAAAATTAGCTGGGTACAGTGGCGTGCTCCTGTAATCCCAGCTCCTGGGGAGGCTGAGGTAGGAGAATGGCTTGAACCCTGGAGGCAGAGGTTACGGTGAGCCGAGATCACGCCGCTGCACTCTAGCCTGGGAGACAGAGTGAGACTCCATCTCAAAAAAAGAAAAAAAAGGAAAAAGAAAAAAAAAATGAAAATGTAATTTTTAAATACATTTTTGTTTGTTAAGATAGAGATTTTAAATTGAGGCTTAAGGAAACCTGGGAACCTATGCATATATTTTTGGGTGTCTATAATTTTCAAGTCAGAGGAATACTGTTCTAGAAGGATTTTACCTGGAATCAAATAAATGCAAAGTTATCAAATTGATAACTTTGCAAAGAGATGTTCTGCGTAGCACTTAGAGAATCATCAAGAGAAAAATAGCTAATACCGCTTGTGGCGACTCAAAGAAGGCTTCACAGAGGAGGCCATGTCTCAATTGAGCATTGAAGAATAAGGGAAAATTATTGCGATAACTTATTAGAAAAGAAAGTATGTTTTAAAGCTAATGGCTTGATTTCAAATCTGAGATTTACTATATTATATGAAACAATTATCTTAATTTCTCTAAGCCTCAGTTTTCTCTTCTCTAAAATAGGAATGACAATAGCTACTCTCTCCTAAGGGTAGTTTTGAGGAATAAATGAGCTAACGTATGAGAGTGCTCCACACAGTGTTCTGCCTATACCTTAAGCTCAGCTATTGTTAATAGCTCAGGAAGGAAAACAAGTCCAGGCCTGGATAGCAGCACGTGCACTTACATAAACCCAGGACACAGCTTGGCATGGTTAGGAAATTGGACTAGAGAGAGGGATTGCAAATTCAAGTTCCTCCAGGGGCCAAGCCAGTAAGATAAATACATGAAATTAGAGAATAAAGACTGATGGGGATTATGGCAAAATTGGAACTCTCAGATATTACTTAAAAGCATTCAATTTTGGCCAGGCGTGGTGGCTCACGCCTGTAATCCCAGCACTTCGGGTGGCCAAGGCAGGCAGATCACCTGAGGTCAGGCGTTTGAGACCAGCCTGACCAACATGGTGAAACCCCGTCTCTACTAAAAATACACAAATTAGCCAGGCGTGGTGGCACACATCTGTAATCCTGGCTATTCGGGAGGCTGAGACACTAGAAGTGCTTGAACGCAGGATGCAGAAGTTGCAGTGAGCTGAGATCGTGCCACTGCATGCCAGCCTGGGTGACAGAGCAAGACTCTGTCTCAAAAAAAAGCATTCAATTTTAACTGTTTAAAATACATGACCACGTACAATAAAACACAACCTCAGCCTGCGTTTGGTTGATGAGCTGCCAGTGACAATGTCATAACAGGTATATGTTTGTGTGTGTGTGTGTGTGTGTGTGTGTGAGAGAGAGACAGAGAGAGGTGTGTGTGTGTGTGTGCATGTGTGTAGGAAATGGGGTTAGAATGAAGACACTGTTGTGGTTATAACAGCAAGAGAAAAGACATCCCTGTTTCATTAATCTATTAGGAATACTAGGAAGGATATATGAGGTTGAGATCTATGTCACAGAAATGAGGATATGAAGTCTACAGATTGTAGGCTTGCCTTCCTAAGTATTACCCAAGCCAAGATTAATGAAAGCCAGGTTAGGGCCAAATGGCCTTTGCAGTTTCTGGAAAAGATTGAGAGGACTATAAAGTTGGGAAACAGAATAGATTCTACACCTGAATAATCGATTAATGCTCCTTTAATGATTGTGAAGGCAATATGCACAAATTCCAAATCTATCTCAAGAATTCATCAACCAGGCAACAGGGCCCTGTGCCTCAGTAGATAAGTCAGCAGGGTGTGGTTTGCAGGCGATCCTGTTTTACCATAAAACAAGGAAACAGTGATCCATGTTTTATCTCCACACATGTGGCATATGGGAAAAGGGCTCAATAGAGCTTCCTGTCAAAGTGTATCAGCTTGAGGATCGGAGAAAGGGGAAATTATATGCAATAATATCAAAAAGAAAGGGAAGGTTTGTCCCTCAATCAATCAGCCAAATATTCTGATAAAGAGGAAAGGTCAAGAGAGTAAAATCAAGATTTAGGCAGCTGAGAAGACCCGATCAGTAGAGCCTCTTCTATGTGGAACTGAAGATTTCCTGAAATTTGTAATTCTGCTTCTGTAGCTTTTGTTTCTCAGAAGCCACTAATATTTTTCCATTGTTTATGAAAATGTCCAGATATATCAGCAATAATTTTTACACATCACAACCTCTGCTGACATATACCTCTTGGGAAGATGAGCTGAAGACACATGAGACAGTTAAATGGTGTTTCAAGGCTTAAAATAGTGCATTATAATTTTGTAGCTGTCTCTACCCCCACATTTCAGAATGTATAGAAGCTGGGCCACATTCTTTATATTCTCAGTGCCTGTTCAGGGACCAGGAACTTGGCAGGTGTTTGATAAATGCTCATTGAATAAATAGATTTATTAAATAAGAAATTCACAGTAAAAGTTCAGTTGTATTTTGAGAGGTCAGAAAAAGGGGACTGAACAATGAGCTGGAGCCATTATTGTTAAAACATGAGGCCAGGCGCAGTGGCTCACGCCTGTAATCCCAGCACTTTGGGAGGCCGAGGCGGGCAGATCACGAGGTCAAGAGATTGAGACCATCCTGGCCAACATGGTGAAACCCCATCTCTACTAAAAATACAAAAATTAGCTGGGTGTGGTGGCGCGTGCCTGTAATCCCAGCTACTCGGGAGGCTGAGGCAAGAGAATCGCTTGAACTCAAGAGGCAAGAGGTTGCACTGAGCTGAGATCGTGCCACTGTACTCTAGCCTGGTGACAGAGCAAGACTCTGTCAAAAATAAATAAATACATACATAAAATAAAAACAAAAAAAACACCAAAAAAACAAAACAAACAGAAGAACACATGGTGTGGCAGAGTAGTTAGGGACAAGGTGCTCAAAAAACAACTGCCCAGGTACCATTCCTGGTTTTACCACTTAAGAGCTGTGTGAATTTGAGCAATTTACTTAATGCCTTTGCCTTAATTTCCTCATCATCTATAAAAATGGTGAAGACAATATTATCTAGCTCAAGAGGTTGTTATGAGGAGCAAATAAAGCAATTAATATAAAATATATGGTCAGCACACATAGAATTCCACCGTAATTACTCCTAGGGATGTTTTCCAAAAACACTCAGCATGCATTTATACAGATTCACCCAATAGATGCTTAAATTTTTATTTAAGTGCCAGGGACTAAGCTCATCAATTTCATAGGCTTCATTTCATTTAATCCTGGATGACTATTTTTTAAATATTTCAAATATGTCGAAAGTGTTCTCACCTCAGGGCCTTCGCATAAATGCTTCCTTCTCAGAGAGATGTTCTCAAACTACACTGTTAAAAAGCACCCACTCTGGCCGGGAGCGGTGGCTCATGCCTGTAATCCCAGCACTGTGGGAGGCTAAGGTGGGCAGATCATGAGGTCAGGAGATCGAGACCATCCTGGCCAACATGGTGAAACCCCATCTCTACTAAAAATACAAAAAAATTAGCTGGGTGTGGTGGCATGCCCGTAGTCCCAGCTACTCTGGTGGCCGAGGCAGGAGAATCTTTTGAACCTGGGAGGCAGAGGTTGCAGTAAGCTGAGATCGCGCCACCGCATTCCAGGCTGGCGACAGATAGCAACTCTGTCTCAAAATAAATAAATAAATAAATAAATAAATAAATAAAACAAAAATTAAAAAATTTTAAAAACACCCACTCCTACTCCTACTCTCCCTTTCTCTTCCGCTATTTTGCTTTATTTTCCTTTGTGGCAATTCTCATCTGAAATAATATGAAATAGTGGCATGATTGTTGTCTGTCTATCCTACTAGTATGTAAACTCTATGAGGACAGGGACCTCATCTTGTTCACTGTTGTGTCCCTGGGGCTAGATCAGTGCCTGACACATTGTGGACATTCCATGAATACTTAACAAATGAATGAATGAAAGTTCTATCGTCACCATTTTACTTTATTTATTTTTAAATTTTTAACTTTTATTTTAGGTTCAAGGTACATGTGCAGGTTTGTTATATAGGTAAATTGAGTGTTAGGAGGTTTGGTGTTCGAATTATTTCATCACCCAGGTTATAAGCATAGTACCCTATAGGTGGTTTCTCATTTCACACCCTCCTCTGACTCTCCATCCTCACATAGGTCCTGGTGTCTGTTGTTCCCTTCTTTGTGTCCATGTGTATTCAGTGTTTCACTCCCACTTATTAGCGAGAGCACACTGTATTTCATTTTCTGCTCCTACTTTAGTTCACCTAGGATAATGGCCTTCAGCTCCATCCATGTGGCTGTAAAGAACACGATCTTGATCTTTTTTATGGCTGCATAGTATTCCATGGTGTATATGTGTCATATTTTCTTTATCCAGTCCATCACTGATGAGTTTTTAAGTAGATTCTATGTCTTTGCTATTGTATCATCACCATTTTACACTTCTCAAAAGACTGAAGTGACTTTACCATCATAATATACAAGCAAAAGGGGTTGAATTAGGATTTGAACTCATGATTGAGAGGTCCAGAGCTCTTTCCACCACACCTTTGTGGTTAAATATTTAGAGACTTCTTCTGGCTAATATGGTGAACTAGAGCTAATTGAATACAGACCTTTTGCATAAGGAGCTGTGGCAAATTGTTGAAGAAAAGATTTTAAAGGCAGAATTAATGAAATTGATAGTAAAAATGGATGACCTTGTTAGAGTCGTATTTGGAGTTAGCCAAGCTAGAGGTTAAGAATATAATCTTTTAGGCTGCCAAGTCGACCTAAGACTTCTGACACCAGCAACAAGTGTGGGGGCCCTCAACCCCATCCTCATTTCAGATCAGCTGTCTGCAAATTCGGGAGCTCACAAGGTCACCGTCAGGTGCAATACCAGAGGGACTTGCAAAACTCAGGAAAGAGTAATACTTACAATTATGTTTAATTATAGTGAAACGATACGTATTACAACCAACCAAGGAAGAAATGCAGAAGCAGAATCTGGTGGGGAATGGGGGTCCCAAATGCAGAGCTTCTGTCATTTTTAGAGATGTCTTATCCTCCCAACATCAATATATGCCAATATGTGTGTAGTGTTGCCAATCCAGGAAGCTCACCCAAGTCTCTATGTCCAGAGTTTTTATTGGGACTTTTATTGGAGTCAATAACTTAATCATGACTGATTGAATTAATGCCCACATGACTGAACTCAAATTCTGGTTTTCCTTTCCTCCCTAGAGGTTAGACTAACATGGGAGTCAAAGCTCCAGCCCTCTGATTGCATGGTTGGTCTTTGTGGCATAGCCAATTCCCACCTTGAACCGTCTTGTTAAGATGAACTACTAAGTGTCATCTGAGGGTCCAAGCACAAATTCCTATCATTCAGGAAATTCTAAGGATCTAGGTGTTACTTCCCAGGAGCCAGAAGAAAAGTTAGGCCTCCTTTCTTTAGAGGCCAAATTCCTTACTTCACAAGATGTCTTTCCAATTTGGGGGGATTTAAGTTAAACTCATACTTTTTAACTAGGAGTGATTATAACTCCCACCCAGAGGCATTTATCAAGGTATAGAGACATTTTTAGTTGTCACAGCTGGGGGTGGGGTGTGCTACTGAAATCTAGTGGATGACGTCAGAGATGCTGCTAGATATTATACAATGCACAAGGCAGCCTCCTTCCTCCAACAGCAAAGAGATAGCTGCCCCAAAGTATCTGTACTGGTGAGGCCGAAAAACTCTCTGTTAGAGTAAATCCAGAAATCAGCATAGACATGTATGGCTTGCATAGATCAGAATGTATGCAGATGAATTTTATCGTCTTGCATGCTGTTTTGTTCCTGTAAACTAAGTGTGCTCTGATGAGGCTGTTCTTATGGATAAAGTATCCAATAATCTGCTTATAAATGTGGTTGTCACTCCAGGCTCCAAATATCTAATGTTGTCTACCCTGACACAGTCTAGGTCAGAGTAACTCATAGGTATAAAAGTGCTACTGGTGTATACTCAGTTATTTTAGAAGCTACGTGAACAGGGCATTGAGTAACACTGAATCACGTAGTAAAGAAGCTTTTCACATGTTACTTCTCTTTCTGTCTGATTATACCAAGGAGAATGTTTCCATTTGGCTAATATAGCTTGAATACTTCTCTATCATTAGCATATCATCCTCTTTTTTATAAAGGGAAAGTGAGTCTCAGACTTAGGCCCTTCATCCACAATAATATCTGCATTAAATTTTTTAAAATGTGTTTTGTTTCTGTTTCTGACACAATTTGTACTTACCATCTGTTTATGGCAGGGGTACCAGTGAAGATATAGCAAGTCTTCTTTATGGAAGATATAGCAAGTCTCCTTATGCAAATAATTTTTCTCAGGGAGTATATACTCTACTTTAAATGAGAATTTTTTATATAAAAATCATTCAATTTGAAGAAGATATTAAGTGAGTGTGATAGAAATGTCTAGTGCTCACTCATATTTGGTTCTTTCCTTCCTTCTGGGCACTCAAGAGGACTGTATTTCTCATATTCCTTAGAGTTAGACAGAGCCTTGACATTATCCCTGGCTAAGAGGCTGCAGGCAAGAGAAAGCCCATATTACCTCCCAACTATTTATTATTCAGCCACAGTCAATCAAGAAGTTGTGTGTTGAGATAATTGCTTCCCATTCTGGTAGAGTTTCCTCAAGGGACTATACACAGCAGAGCCTCCTGCCAACCAAGAGTGGACATGTGGCACGAACAATAAACAAACACTTGCATTCAGCAACTGACACTTACGCACTAATTTGTTATCCCAGAGTAATCTAGCCTTCTTTGTAACACAGAAATTAGTACCATGAGTGGGGTGATTTTATAACAAAATCCTAAAACATTTAGCATTCACTTAGCAGGGTAGGTGAGGAGAAAGGAAACTTCTGCTAAAGGCTACTAACATGGTGATCTCTGTTTAGCAAATGCTTGGTAAAACTGTCCCTTGTGATAACTTTGGAGGCAGGCCACATGTCTGATTAACTTGGAGCTCTAGGGGAAAAGTTGGAAAATGCGACATTAGGAGTGTGTGTTGGTTGATATTGGCTGCGTGTGGCAATACATTACATGAAAGCAATGAGCTAGGAAAAAAATTGGCCAGTTTGCAGTCAGAAATGAAAGAAAAGAGAGAGCTTCCAGAAATTGTTTGCATAGTGATGGAACAGGAGATATCTAGATCTGGCAAAAAATGAAACACTTTCATGGTAGCACTGTACCAAAGCAGCACTTTCTAATGAGGATTTACTGTTAAATGAGAATCCTCCCGTATCAGAAAGGTATTTCTTCAATATCAGTCATTAATGTCTTCCTGGAGTTCATCTTGAATCAGAATTATGGGATCTTCAAGAGAGAAAAAGTCCTCAAGGGACTGATTTTGCAGTCCCCTGATGAATAGGGATAGAACATAGGGTTAGGATGTTTAGCCATGAGAGCTAAGAGAAGAGCCTGGGAACAAATTTGGAAGGAAAGGCAGACCCCACAAATGGTACCAATGGGAGATTTGGGACAGCCAGCGTTATGACAAGGACTGTCTGTACAGGGCAGAGAGGAACTTCCTACATGAATTTTCATAATTCAGGTAACAGCAACAGGATTCTAGAATCTGTTTCATTAGGAAGGATTATAGGTGAGTTGGATGCATGGGTCAAAGAAATAAGCCAAGATGGCCCGTCGCACATGTCTCCAGTAGAGAGCTGATTATCACACTGCATCCCATGTCTGTGCTCACTTGTTGTTCAACCTCACTAGTTTGGATGTCACTTGAAAGCAGGGCTACTGCCTTTTTATCTCTGTGTGGCCAGTTCCCAGCACAGGACCTCATCCAGCATAGTGGGGCTGCATTATAGTTCCAAAGATGAATAACTAAATGAATGGAAGTGAATGAAAGAAGTATAAATTGAGCAAGTGGCTGAGTCAGGGACCAGGGTTTATATCTTGTCAACAGGAAGGGGAGTTGTTGGGGGGCACAGGATTGGTCGGAACTAACAGTAAGAAACCAGGAGACTGGTTGTGGGAATTCAGAGGACTTTCATTTATTCTTCCGTTGTTTTCAGTCATGCAACGAACATTTTTTCTCGGCATTTACTGTGTACCAGGCATTGTCCTACATTCTGGGGATATCGTGATGAACCAAAGAGACATCATGGTTGCCCTTATAGCACTTGCAGCCTAGAAGACTTTGTTTTACACATGAGAAAACTGAATCCCAGAGAGGCTATGAGATTTTTCCAGGTCAACAGAGTCAAATATTGACAAAGTCAGGAAAGGAGACAATATCCTGACTCCCTACTTTTGAGCATTTAACATTACACCAAGGATCACAAGCAGTGATCCTGGAGGCAAATTGGGTCCTCACAACATCGTGTTTGGCTTACAGTATTTTAAAAATTGGGAAACCTCAAACATCAACTTTAGTTTCTGAAAATCACCAGAAGATCTGGCAACCAAGCCTCCTCATGGAAAAAAAAAAAAAAATCACTACCAAACAAAACAAAACAAACTGGCTGAAGCTAAGTAGCAGGCAGTGGTTTAGTTTCAATACAGTCACCCTGTTCTTGATCATCTTTCAGTTGGCCCAGCTCATTTGTTTTTGTTACCTGCCTGGCTCCTGCCACTATGTGACTTTGCAATCCCTGCTCTATACTCTGTTACCTCTAATTTCCTCATCTTGATGCTGAGGATTCTTCAAGCCTTCTAACAAACGATAAAAAACATCATATTCCCGTCCTGCAAGTGGATGCTGCCAGTTACTCGTCTTTTCTCTCTCATCTGCTACCCCCCGATCCACCCCCTCAATCAATCCCTGCTTCCAAACAGTGATATGAATGTCCAGGGGGGCAGTGGGGTTCATGCATCCCTGCACCCCTAGACCTCAAGTAGCAGCATTGACTTATAAGGAAGGGCACCATCATTTAGTATTTTCACGTCCCAATCATTCTGGTCTCTAAGTTCATTCATTATGTATGCAAAAATGGTAATATGCTGGTATTTTAATGCTCTTAAGCATACAATATTCTTATTAATCCAAGTGCCTTTTTTACATCCGTAATTGAATGGTTTACTTTATTATTGCTTTATGGTAACGACTCTGCATTTTCATTTTTCTATAGGGTGCCTAATTTTAACAGGAGGGCAATCAGAGTAAGAGGGCTGGCTGTACTAATTGCCTTCATTATAAGAACAGCTAGCATTCTGGCAACAGAGTGATGGGGACTGGCAATGGATTGGAAACACACAGGGAGGGCGGCGGGTCCGTCTGGCTCCTGGGATCTAGAACACCACTTCTTATCAAAACAGATCCCAGATCTGCACAACGTTGCCTCTTTCCCTCAGTGGTGATGGTTTGAACATTAACATGGATCGAGGGCTATTTATATCAGTTTGTATATTTAATCAGTTTTTTTGCAGTTTTCAGTGAGATGTGAACTCTATCCCTGTCCAAGCCGTTTGGTTCAAATCAGCTGAGACAGAGAATAATCAAGATTTATGATTCTCATTCTGACTCGCATCACACAGCCACCACAATTGCTACTTGCCAGCTGCCTACCCCATCCCCAGCCTGACTGACACCCACTTCACTTTCTCTCCAGCGAGTGATTTAATGTCCATCTTGAAAACTGTCAAAACACTTCTGGTGCTCCAGATAACAGCTGTGTGGTTTCTGTGCTTCCCCTAAACACCGCCCCCCCTACCAAATACACTCGGATCCCACCTGTCTTGCCTTCCAAAGGATTTGCATGTCTAAAGCCCAGGGCATGCAGAGCTTCTGGAAAAAGGTGTCAAAAGCCCAGAGAACACAGTGGCAGTCACCTTTGACAGTTGACAGTGGGAACAGAGAGATGACTTGAGTCAAACTGGGATAATTTTATATTGCTTGATCTTGGCCTCAGTGGAAGGTAAATGTGCAAAAAGGAGAGTGTCTAGGGCCACAGCTCTTGCATCTATTTAAAGAAGTGCTGTTGTCTGTGGGGCACGAGAATTATAGATATACGAAGAGGCATTAGTACATTGTGTCTCCCCTCCCTAAGCAAAAATCAATGTCCTAAGAGAAAAAGCTCTGACCATTCCCACAGCCAAACGAGAGATGATCAGAAAGAGCAGCGCTGTGACAGCCGGAGGACTGAGGCTTTGCATTTCTAAGAACTTGAACCTGCATCAGAATCATCTGCAGGGCTTCACAAACACAGTTTGTTGAAACTGCATGTTGAAAGCACCCCTAGGTGATGCTGGTGCTGCTGCTCTGGGAAACACACTTTGAGAACCTCTCATGTCATGATTAAGAGCTTTGCTACTCTCAAGGTGTGGTTCATGAACCAGCAACATCAGCATCACCTGGGAGCTTGCTGGAAATGAATCTCAAGCCTCATCCCAGACCTTCTAAACCAGAATCTGCCTTCAAGTAGATCTTTAGGTGATCCGTGTGCAGGTTCAAGTGTGAGAAGCCCGGGCTGAGAACACAAACTCCAGGACCCACATTGTTTAGGTTCAAGCCCAATCTCTACATGTATTAGTTTTGCAAATTTTGGTGAATTAATGATCTATGCCTCAGTTTCCATATATGTAAAATGGGGATGGTTGGTAAGAATGGTTCTTGCCTCATAAAGGAATAGATGCATCCATGCATATAAGGCCCTTTCCACAGTTCCTGTCATGCTGTAAGCACTTCTTAAATGTGATTGTTAATATTTGAACATTTGGAGTTTGAAACATCAAAACAGCCCCGAGTGAGGTAATGATCACTGCAAACACATACATGGTGAATTTAATTTTAGTAGAGTTGCACCATAGTCAGCTATGGGCCAAATTTGTCTGGCAGATTTATTTTATGTGGTGATTTTTAAAAAGGAGTTTGTTGTCAATTTTTATATATGGGCGATTTTACATACATGTCTGATTTTCATCTTCCTTCGAAAAGTTAAAAGATCTGTCCACACTGGACCTGCATTCCTGCCCAGCGGTGATCAGCCTGCATCATTAGATGGATGAGATGGGACAGACATTCTTTCCTGTTGACTTCTGTCCTCCCCATTCCCTATTATCTTACACTCAACCCACTTTACTCATTTGTGTTACCTGTCCGCCATTGTAGATATTTGAGGTAGCAATTACTGCATCCTATTATTTAGTTTCACTGAAAAAGATAGGATGTGGTCATTCATGAATACAACAGAGACCCACAGAGATGTGAGGCTGTGAGGATGCCCAGCAGCGTACGAGGCTCACACATCAGACATGCGGCCCCTTCCCATACAAACACAACCTCTAAGCACTTCCAATCTAAGTTCTATTATTATTATTATTATTATTTTTGAGACAGAGTCTAGTTCCGTCACCAGGCTGGAGTGCAGTGGTGCGATCTCAGCTCACTGCAACCTCCGCCTCCTGAGTTCAAGTGATTCTCCTGCCTCAGCCTCCTGAGTAGCTGGGATTGCAGGCACGTGCTGCCACAACCAGCTAATTTTTGTATTTTTAGTAGCGACGGGGTTTCACCATGTTGGCCAGGCTGGTATTGATCTCCTGACCTCGTGATCTGCCCACCTTGGCTTCCCAAAGTGCTGGAATTACAGGTGTGAGCCATCACACCCAGCCTACTATTATTATTTTTTGGGGGACAGGGTCTTGCTACATCACCCAGGCTGGAGTGCAGTGGCACTTTCTTAGTCCACTGCAGCCTTGAACTTCTGGGCTCCAGTGATCTTCCTGCCTCAGCCTCCCAAGTAGCTGGGACTACAGGCACATGTCACCATGCCTGGCTAGTTTTTTAAAATTATTTTTTTGTAGCTATGGGGTCTCACTGTGTTGCCCAGGCTGATCTCAAAATCCTGGCCTCAAGCTACCCTCCTGCCTCGTCCTCCCAAAGTGTTAGGATTCTATGCATTAGCCATGGCAACCAGCTAAGTTCTCTTCTCAGCAAAATTGTAAATACCTTTTGGGTGAATCTCAGTGGAAATTAAGGAAATCTAAATCTAAAATGTTAGTGGTGGGTGATTTGTATTGGTTCACTCTTCATCTGCAATTACATAGTGGACACTTACTGAAAATTGGGGGAGGGGACATATTCATAATCCCATGCTCTAAATCAAGGGCCCACAGTCTTTTTCTATAAGAGCAGATAGCAAACATTTTAAGCTTTGTGGTCCAGGAGGCCACCTGCTCTACCTTTGTAGCATGAAAGTAGTCCCAGACTATGTGGAAATGGAGGAGTGTGTCTGTATTTACAGGCTGTACAGACAGGCAGCAGGTCAAAATCTGGCTTGTGGTTGTTAGTCAATTCAAAGGTCCATTTTTTGCACACAGAATTTTCTTCCTTTTTTTTTTTTTTTAAGAGAGTCTTGCTATGTTGCCCAGGCTGGTCTCAAACTCCTGGGCTGCTCAAGTAATCCTCCTGCCTTGGCCTCCCGATGTGCTGAGATTATACCACACCTGGCCTACAGCGCTTTTTATTCTGTGAAAACACTGTTTTAACAACTTTAATAACTGTATTTTTAGTAGAGATGGGGTTTCATCATGTTGGCCAGGCTTAGCTGGGTGTGGTGGCGCATGCCTGTAATCCCAGCTACTGGGGAGGCTGAGGCAGGAGAATCTCTTGAATCCAGGAGGCGGAGGTTGCAATGAGCCGAGGTCATGCCATTGCACTCCAGGTGGGGAAACAAGAGTGAAACTCCATCTCAAAAAAAAGAAGAAGAAAAAAAACCAACTGTATTCACTTCAGTGTACATACCATTTGCTATTTCTTTTTTTTCCTTACCTCACTGGATTTCTTAAGCATTTTTTCATGTTTTTAAAGCATCGTAATGATTTTCATTGTTAATGGCTGCAGATTATGTCATCTTGATGCACCATTTGTACCACTTACTTTCCCATAAAACTATTTTTATCTGTAGGTATAAGTATGGTGACTATATATACATAAATATATGTTTTATATATATATATATATTTCTGCCTCAAACATTGGCACAACTGCTCTGATAAGAAGAAGGTTATTCAAATAGATAGAAGAATAGAATTAAAACAATTTTTTACTGTCTTAAATTTTTTTTTTAAGACAGGGTCTCACTCTGTCACCCAGGCTAGAGTGCAATGGCATGATCATAGCCCACTGCAACCTCAAACTCCTGAGCTCAAATGATCCTCCCACCTCTACCTCCCAAGTAGCTAGTACTAGAGGCACACACCACCAGGCCTGGCTAATTTTTTTATTTTATTTTTTTGTAGAGATGGGGCCTTGTTATGTTGGCCAGGCTGGTCTCAAACTCCCGGCCTCAAGTGTTCCTCTTGTCTCAGCCTCCTAATGTGCTGGGATTTATAGACATGAGCCATCCCACCTGGCCAATAATTTAATGTGCATAAAGGAGCTCTCCTACCTAGTCTTTATCTCTGATTTTCTGGTTGATATAGCAGAGTGGGGTAGAATGCACATGATGTTTGCTGCAAGACAGAGAGGAGTTTGCACCCTGGCTTGTCACTTATAAGTTGTGTGACCTCAAGAATTATTGAGATTGAGTCTCAGTGTCCTCATCAGAAAATGCTTCCTCTGTGAGGTCATTCTGGGTATTAAAGACAATGTCAATGGGTGCGGTGGCTCACGCCTGTAATCCCAGCACTTTGGGAGGCTGAGGCAGGTGTATCACTTGAGATCGGGAGTTTGAGACCAGCCTGGCCAACATGTTGAAACCCTATCTCTACTAAAAATACAAAAATTAGCTGATGTGGTGGCACATGCCTGTAATCCCAGCTACTTGGGAGGCTGAAGCAGGAGAATCGCTTGAACCCGGAGGTGGAGGTTGCAGTGAGCAGAGATCACACCACTGCACTCCAGCCCAGGCAACAGAGAGAGACTCCGTCTCAAAAGGAAAAAAAAAAAAAAAAGGCAATGTCTGTAAAGCACTTAGCTCAGTGCATGGTATCCAGGACATGTCAGTAAGTGAGATCTCTGCTTATCATAATAGTTCATTAGTTATGCTGCCTCATGGCCCAGTTTGATAATCCATCTTCCCTTTAGAACTGTGGCATAAGAGTCCATGTAGGAAGAGCACCCTCTGGCCACTTCATTTGCTTTTAAAACAAGTCTCAGGGCTGGGCGCAGTAGCTTACACCTGTAATCCCATCACTTTAGGAGGCTGAGGCAGGCAGATCCTCTGAGGTCAGGAGTTCAAGACCAGCCTGGCCAATATGGTGAAACCCTGTCTCTACTAAAAATACAAAAACTAGCAGGGCATGGTGGTAGGTGCCTGTAATCCCAGCTACTCGGGAGGCTGAGGCAGGAGAATCGCATGAACCCAGGAGGCAGAGACTGCAGTGAGCCAAGATCGTGCCACTGCCCTCCAGCCTGGGCGACAAAAGCAAGACTCCATCTCAAAAAAAAGTCTCATTTACGTAGTGCTTTATGGTTTATAGAACACTTTTAATGATCTTTATCCTTTGTGTAATTCCAGCCTTAGCCAAATTGACAGAGTGTAATCTAGCACAGGCTGTGGGTCAAGTCCAGCACCCCCATGCTAGGTGAGTAAACCAAAAGCTGGATTATCTAAGTGACCTGCTAACAGTTGCATGGCCAGCAAAGCACTTGTTTGTGGAATATGACTTATCTTTATTCTGTGGACCTCCCCTCTCCCATTTCATTCTTAGTAAAGTTACTAATGGGTAAAGTTCCAACTTTTTTTTTTTACTAAATTTCATCCTATCCCCTTAAGACCATGTTGGGTACATGTTGCTTTTATATAGATTTGCAGAGAATAAAAAATTACATTCCTAAGATACCTCTAATGTATGAGAAGCCATGCCACTTTTTAATAAAAGGACAAATTTTTCCAAGAGGAAAGGACTGTAACATCACCTGATGTTAAGATAGGGCCTAGTTAGGTTGGTGCAAAAGTAACTGCGGTTTTTGCCTTTCAACATAATGGCAAAACCCACAATTACTTTTGCACCAATCTAATAGGTTGATTGCCAAGTCTCCTTGCACTTTCCATCATCTATTACCGTTTCATTCGTACGCTGGGTCTCACATCTGATATCCAACATGCTCCTCAGAACACTCGTGCTCTTCTTTTGAAGGGATATTTTATGGGATTATTCAGATCTACAGGCCACAAAAGCCAGCAATCCCAGAAACTCCAGCCACTTTGTTTGAAACAGAGTTTAGGTCTCAGAAGAACTGGAACGCTGCCACGCAAAGGAGTTTTTGATTGGCTTGTGATGTGCCACTGGTTCTTTATTAGAGGGTACAGAGGGCTGATGAAGTCAACTATTTGGCAAATGCTAAAGGCTAGGGCAGGCTCCTATGCCTCTGCAACATTGATTGATGTCACATCATGGGATCGTAGGCAATAACAGGGAATTCAGTTTACCAAGGAACTTCTGGAAGGCTTAGCAACAACACCACCCTTTTTTTGTTCCTTTGTTTTTGCTTTTGTTTTGAGATGGAGTCTCATTCTGTCGCCAGGCTGGAGTGCAGTGGTGTGATCTTGGCTCACTGTAACCTCTGCCTCCCGGATTTAAACAATTCTCCTGCCTCAGCCTCCCAAGTAGCTGGGACTACATGCACGTGCCACCATGCCCAGCTAATTTTTGTATTTTTAGTAGAGACAGCGTTTTACCATGTTGGCCAGGCTGGTCTCGATCTCTTGATCTCGTGGTCTGCCTGCTTCAGCCTCCTAAGTAGCTGGGACTACAGGCGTGTGCCACCATGCCCAGCTAATTTTTGTATTTTTAGTACAGACAGGGTTTTACCATGTTGGCCAAGCTGGTCTTGATCTCTTGACCTCGTGATCTGCCTGCCTCAGCCTCCCAAAGTGCTGGGATTACAGGCGTGAGCCACCGCACCCGGCCGGAAACAACATCGTTTTTGAGAAACCTCCCTAGTTTCTCCTTAGGGTGATAACCAGGACCAATGCTTGGATTTCAAAAGCCAATATACTAGGGCTTAGTCAGAAAGGATGCATTTGGTCACAACAGAAAGCTCTGGTGCATCAGTTTACACCATAAGAATAGTTCGTTATTGCACCTAGGAGGAAGTTTGGAAGGTAGAGTGGCTCCAAGGTTGGGTAATTCAGTAGCTCAATGATGTCACCAATGATCTGGTTATTCCTATCTTTCTCCTTTGCTATTATCTTATGTCAGTTTTCCATGCAGGCTAGCTTTGCCCCATAGTCATGAAACAGATACAGCAATATTAGGCATCACCTCCAGAATCAACTCTCTCCAGAAGAACAAGAATATGGAAAAACAAGATATGACATCACTTTTTGGTACCCCTGTGTCTGAGAAAGGAAACCTTTCCCAGAAGCTCCCCAGCTGATTTCTGCTCATGTCATTTCTCCAGAATTTGATTACACGTCCAGCCCCGCATGAAACACTGGCAAGAGAAGTGGGGTCGTCATAATTGTTTTGGACCAATCAGATGTACGCTCTGAGTCTGATATGAGAAATGGCACTGGTGCTCAAGCTATCAAAGAAGAAAGAGCCACCAGGAACTTCCGCTGTGTAGGGCAAAGTGGAAGGGAGATGTCCTCATGGGACATTTAAATGATAAATGCTAAACCTTTTGCGTGCACATGAATCCGTAGGCTAAGCATTTGGAAAATCCCATAGGACTCATGATAGACCTCTGAAGCAATGAATCTTTATTCATAAGGCAGTACTTTCTGTTTCTTCAGAGTACCCCTGCTTATAAATATCTACTGCCGAAGTCCCAACTGCAGACCTTTGGACTATGAAGAAATATTTATTTTACTTCTTAAAATAAAACTTAAAGTAAAATCTGTTTCACTTGTCAAAAACAAAAGTAAAACTCTGAACTGGGGATTACTTTGGACTGTAGCCATGCTGTCAGGAAACTACAGATAGTTCCATTCATAAGAAATTTCTATGGTTCTCATTGGCCAGTAGCCATCAGGAAACTACAGACAGTTCCATTCATAAGAAATTTCTGTGGTTCTCATTGGCCAGTAGTTGAAACATGACCCAGGGAACTACTTACATTCCATCTTAAAAGCCCAGGGATGCTTCCTCTTCTAAGAAGCCTTCCTTGACTCCCCCAGCCCGAGTTCCTATCTCCATATTCTCTGTGAACATTGTCTACTTTGTCATGTCATTATTTAGGTCCACATTTACTTCTCCTTCTTGAACTCCTCTAGATTTATGCCCCTATCTCATTTTGCTTCTCCAAATTATGGTATGGATCTGGCACAGTGTTTATTTATGTTGAATAAATGAATGAATGAGTGAATGAGACAGCAGAAGAATTTGGTGAGAACAGCTTCCTAGGACCACTGCCAATTATACAACTACTAACTGTTAACATTCATGAAGCACATTATAAATATGCTAGGACCATAATAATCACAGCAACTATACACAGTAGGCATTCTCTTATTAATCCTGATGTAACAGAAGAAGAAACTGAGGCTTAGGAGAAGTTTAATACTTGTTCGAGTTCACACATCTAGTGATACAAGGGGGTGGGCCTAAACTCAGTAATGGCTGACTCCATGGTCTTAACCCTTTGCAAAACTAAGGATGTGGCTGGATTGCAGTCCATCTCCCAGGAAAGAAACAATCTGGAAAACAAAGAGTCTTTTTAATTCAGAATAAAGATTAAAAAGAATAAGAGAGGGCTGGGAGCGGGGCTCATGCCTGTAATCCCAGCACTTTGGGAGGCCGAGGTGGGTGGATCACCTGAGGTCAGGAGTTCGAGACCAGCCTGACCAACATGGTGAAACCCTGTCTCTACTGAAAATACAAAAATTAGCTGGGTGTAGTAGCAGGCGCCTGTAATCTCAGCTACCTGGGAGGCTGAGGCAAGAGAATTGCTTGAACGTGGGAAGCAGAGGTTGCAGTGAGCCAAGATGGCTCAGGTGCACTCTAGCCTGGGTGACAGAGTGAGACACCGTCTCAAAAAAAAAAAAAAAAAAAAAAAGAATAAGAAAGTAAGCAAAGATGAGGTAGGGACTGTATTTTTAATCCACTTTAAAAATTGTGAAAATTAAAGATGATCATAAAGATAAAGATAACTTATTCTCTTGTGTGGGTATGACTAGTTATCAAGAAGAGAGACTTTTTAAAACAAAACTATTTATTTTGTAGAGATGGTTTATCACTGTGTTGCCCAGGTTGGTCTCCAACTCCTGGTCTGAGGCGATCCTCCTGCGTCCCAAAGTGTTGGAGTTACAAGCATGAGCCACTGTGCCCAGCCTGAGAGAGGCTTCTTGATCAGCTTGCTGAGTGCAATGTGATGGGCTAGTTTCTGTGCCAACCAGAGATGAGGGTGACGTGGCAGCAACAATGCAGTTTATAAAAAGCCCAAACTATCCCACATCTCCATGTGCACTTCTTCTCTAGGTGTTGGGGAAGATATTCATGATATTGAACAGTTGTTGACATATATATTGATTGTATCTCTGGGCGGAGCCTAGCTACTCCAGGCCACTTTTTATATTCCAGTTATGAAACCATCTACGTTTTGGATTAAACACAGAGCCCTGACCTACAGGCAGGAGGCAGAGTGGCAAAGTGTGTAAGAACGTGGGTCTTTTGTCTATGGCCATACTACCCTGAACATACCCGATCTCGTCTGATCTTGGAAACTAAGCAGGGTCAGGCCTGGTTAGTACTTGGATGGGAGAATATGGGTTTTGGTGTCAGAAAATTTTAGGTTTCGGTCGTGGGACTCCACACACATCAACTATTACTTGTTGTTTTATTTTTATTCCTATCCTGACACAGTCATTCATGAATTCTGAGAATTTGGTCAAGTCATTCTTTACCACAGAGTTTTTGTAACTGGAACTTGGATTTGATAATACTCAGTTTCCAGAATGGTCACTAGAAAAAAATGAGCTAAGAGTTATGATGCTGTGGTAGCTCAGGGAAACCTGGGGGCAGGACTGGTTTCATGGTCACATGGCCTGAACAGCCACAGGGGCCCTGCACTTGGACGGTCCCATCCCATACTTGGTTTAATGGTCCGCTATTGCCATCTTAAAATTCTTAATAATTTTTGAACAAGGGTCCCCACACTTCATTTTGCAAGGGGTAGTTCTTTTTTTTTTTTTGAGACAAAGTCTCACTCTGTCGCCCAGGCTGGAGTGCAATGGCACAATCTAGGCTCACTGCAACCTCCGATTCCTGGGTTCAAGTGATTCTCCTGCCTCAGCCTCCTGAGTAGCTGGGGTTACAGGCATGCGCCACCATGCCCGGCTAATTTTTGAATTTTTAGTAGAGATGGGGTTTCACCATGTTGGCCAGGCTGGTCTCAAACTCTTGACCTTTTGATCCACACGCCTCGGCCTCCCAAAGTGCTGGGATTATAGGCGTGAGCCACTGCGCCTGGCAATTATGTAGTTCTTTCTACCTGGGAGAGCTGCTGGGTTTATTGAAGCATCAGTTCCAGGAGAAGGGTGCTGGCCTGAAGGAGCTGACCCATGAGGGACTGTTTCCTGGTCATTCACCACCATTTCCACACGCAGTGTCAAAAGAAGTGAGTTATCCACTGGTTCGATTTTTGAGAAACCAGGATATGTCCTTTCTTAACCCCACACCTCTGCACACACTGACCTCTTTGCTGAAAAACACCCGTCCCCTGAGCACCTGTCAATACCAAATTCTTAGTCCCCCCATCGTTCGCTCTTTGTGAGAGCAAGACCTGTCCAACTTGTGAGTGCACCGCATGGCAGCATGGGTCTAGGGACATTTGGAGGTCCAGGCTTCCTCCTTTCATGTGAGATAGATTTTTGTCTCATCTTCATGTGATCACTGGGTATGGTGGTGAAGAATAGACCAGCCTGCCTAGGTTCACATCTTAGCTCTGCTCATCTCTAGCTCCATGATTTTGTGAGTTACATAAATACACAATCCCTTGTCTCTTCACCTGTAAAAAGGAAATAGCTGGGTGTGGTGGTGCACACCTGTAGTCTCAGCTACTCTGGAGGCTGTTAGGAAGATCACTTAAGCTCAGAAGTTAGAGGCTGCAGTGAGCTATGATTGTGCCGTTGCACTCTAGCCTAGGCACCGGGTGAGACGCCGTCTCTAAAAAAGAGAAAGAAATAATGCTGAAATTGTTTATATTTCTAGGTTAATGATGAGGTGCAAATAAATCAACGCAAAGCACCTGAAGCCATGGCTGGTGCATAGTAGGCAGTCATATTTGTAATTACTAGAAATATTACACTTTTTCTCCTTCTATAACCCAATTAAGTAAGACCTGTAGAGCCCATCAGAACCAGTTTTGTACTTCTCCTGGGAGCTTGCTGGCTATACATACCTAGGCACCATACACCCACTCACCTAGGTTGAGTCTCATTCCCTTCAACCATAAGAATTCTAGGAGTGAGACCTGGCATCTGCTGGAAATGGTATCATTTCATAGAATAAATATGGTCTTGGGTCCTAGAAACCCATGCTTGAAATTCATCTCTTCTACATACAAGCTATGTCAGATTCCAAGTTATGAAAACTCTTTAAGCCTTATTTTTCCCCTTTAAAAAGAAGATAATAGTGCCTGTTTAAAGAGGTGCTTTCTCCACCAAAGAACATGAACTCCATAAAAGCAGGGGGTTTTGCCTGCTTTATTCACTGCTGCATTCCTCAGACAGTGCCTAGCACGTAGGACATGCAAAAGAAGTATTTGTGAAGGATAGAATTGTTGAGAGAATGAAAGTATTAGATTTATGTAAAGTACCTAGTGTGGCGATGAGTATCTACAGAGCAGACACTGGGTAAAACCATGGCTATGGATGTTATTGAGGTAGCTGTGGGTCCAGCCAAACCAGTCCCATTCAGAGCGGGACTACCTGCCTTGGGCATGTTGCTGGGATTGGGAAGTGATTTTAGATAGCAAGAGTGAGCAGAGGAGCTGAAGCGGAAACCCAGGCACAGGGCCCCGCCACTCCCCGCCCCGGGAAGAACCAGAGAAAGAGATGGATACAGATCATTCAGCAGCTCCCAGAAATGTGGCACCAGGGATGGTCCCAGCTCACCCTCCTGTGGGCCGGGACGAGGCTCCCGAATCTGACTCATTTCTATTGGAATAAGCTTAAAATCCTTGTATAACTTAGCTTGTTCTAGGAGGACATTTGTATTCCAGCCAGGGAGGGAGCTGGGAAAAGCTGGCACACACTGAAACACACTCCACTCCACTCCAAAGGCAAGCTTGATTATCGTTGCACTTATTTTGACTAGGCGAGTGTTAGATCCTAATCAAGCAGAGAGGCGCAAATTGGCCCCAAATTAAAAACCAAAAGGGAAGAAGGATCATTTAGAAAGCATGTCAATAGGAGCCTCTGGCCCGACGCACCGGCCACAGGGCCCAGCAGAAAGATGGAGGCGTGTTTTTTTTTTTTTTCCAAGCCAAACTGTATCCAGCTTTATTAAAGATACTTTCCATAAACAATCATGGTATTTCAGGCAGGACATGGGCAGACAATCGTTAACAGTATACAACAACTTTCAAACTCCCTTCTTCAATGGACTACCAAAAATCAGAAAGCCACTATAAAACCCAATGAAGTCTTCATCTGATGCTCTGAACAGGGAAAGTTTAGAGTGAGGGTTGACATTTCACATTTAGCATGGTGTTTAACAACTTTTCACAAGCCATCTCTGACTTTCAGGAAGTGAAATGAAAATGGCAGAATTTATCTGAAGATCCACAATCTAGAAATGGAACCACTGCTCTTTTGACAGGTGCCATCTCAGTGGCATCACTGGAAAGTCCAGATTGCCTGACACACTGGTAACCAATGACTAGGGGTCAGGTCCCAACAGATGTCTGGGCTTAAGGGAGTTAAGTCTATGCTGAAAGATGGAAAGGGAGAAGAGGACATAAAAACAAATTTGTCTTTCTATACCACAAGGCTTTTGTGCCAAGGTGGCCATGTGTGTCAAAGTCAGGGAATCCCTCCTCCTGGGAGCCAAGAGGAAGTCTCTCAAAACTAGAAGGGAAAGGTGTTTTCTCCACATCAATCCAGCTTTGGAGACATTCTATTAGTGACATATGCCCCTTCCCCCAAAAACAACAATGAAGTGTTCTGTGTGCTAACAACATAGCTTTAAAAAAAAAAAAAAGTAAAACAAAATTCCACATTTTTATAAAACTTGATAAAAAATAGTATTCCAAACTGTACAGTCACCAGAAGTACACAGTTATCAAAAATGCACACACTTCACTTGGCATCTCCAGCACCTTCAGCTTTCTGTGCCTGGTCTGTTTTGGCATCTCCATTTTCTGCAGGGTTATTCCCCTCCTTGCCAGCATCAGCTTTTCCCTTTTTCCCTTTGGGTACCTTCTCTCCCTTCTTTGCAGGGGCCTTTTTAGTCTTGGGCTCTGGCTTTGGAGGAGCAGGTTTAGCAGACAACCTCGCGGATCTTCTCTGTGGTTCGTCCTTCACCTTGGCTTTATCTCCCTTAGCATCCCCTTCAGCCTTTCTCTTGGGCATGGTGGTGGCGGCGACGGCAGCAGGACGTAGGTGCTGGACGCGGGATGCAGTGGCGCGCGGGCTTTGGTCGGTCTGGGGGTCGTTCTCGCCTCTTCTTCACACTGCTCCGGAGGCGTGTTTTAAGACTGATTTAGATTCAGGCCCAAAGTATTCTTACAGTAAATTAGGAAAAAGTGGCCCTAGCTCAGGCATTTCTTTACATCCATGGGAGGGTATATACGAGGTGGGACCCATTCATTAAGACCTGAACGACAGACTGCGAAATTAAGTGGAAAGAACACAGGTGGCCGGGTGCAGTGGCTTACACCTGTAATCCCAGAATTTTGGGAGGCCATGGTAGGAGGACTGCTTGAGCTCAGGAGTTCGAGACCAGCCTGGGCAACATAGCACAGTTCCCATTTCTAACAAAATGTATATTAGCAGGCTGGGCATGGTGGGTCACGCCTGTAATCCCAGCATTTTGGGAGGCCAAGGCAGGCAGATCACCTGAGGTCAGGAGTTCAAGACCAGCCTGGCCAACATGGTGAAACCCTGTCTCTACTAAAATACAAAAATCAGCTGGGCCTGGTGGTGGAAGCCTGTAATCCCAGCTACTTGGGAGGCTGAGGCAGGAGAATTGCTTGAACCTGGGAGGCGGAGATTGCAGTGAGCTGAGATCACACCACTGCACTCCAGCATGGGTGACTGTGTGAGACTCTGTCTCAAAAAAAAAAAAAAAAGGAAAACAAAACAAAACAAAACAAAACAAAAACAAAATATATATTAGCTGGGTGTGATGGTGCACTTTGTAATTCCAGCTACTCCTGAGGCTGAGGTGGGAAGCTCGCTTGAGCACAGAAGTTTGGGGCTGCAGTGAGCCATGATCACACCACTGCGCTCCAGCCTGGGCAACAGAGCGAGACCTTGAGAAAGAAAGACGGACAGAAAGACAGAAAGAAGGGAAGGAAGGAAGCAAACAGACTGTAGAATTGAGCAGGCTTGGATTTCACTTCATGCTGCGTTGCTTGCAAGCTGGGCGATCCTAGCCTCTCTGAGCCTCAAGAGACTCATCTGAGCCTCATCTCCAATCAAAGATAGTATGAAGGCTGCGGTGTAGTCAGGATTATGTGAACAAAGAAAGGAAATGTGGTTGGTAAGAGAACACTTTGCATATAGTATTGCTTAACAAATATTCTCCCAGTCCACGCCTCCACAATCTGCAATCCCAAATTCCATGATCAGGTTTCAGGCCCTAGGTGACCCCAGGAAAGTCAATGTGTACTGCAATAAATGAGAGAGTCTCACCTCTGATTGCTTTTTCTCCAGGATCTTCCTGGAGTCTCTGCTCTCAGGCTCTGACATCCATAGGTTCCTGGAAGGAGGACAGAGCAAGGGAGCGACTGGATGAGGGCAGGCTAATGGGCATCACAATATCAGGGCAAGAGTATGGTGGGTTCTCAGTGCAGATGCCCAGTGACCCAGGCAGCATTTAAGGGAGCTGTAAGTGTGGATGCCTGAATGGCCTCTTCAGCATCTACCACCGAAGCCTGACCACAGCACCTTACATTCACCATCATCTATAGTCAGTCATTCAGTACACAGCGACTGAAGCCCACTTTATGCTAGGCCTGTGCTGGCCTGATAGGGTGCAAGTCATGGATCCTGCTCTTATGCTATGTGCCATACAGAGAAAGTCGGCTTTCCCTTCTCTTTCCAGACCTCTTGAGAATACCCCAAATTACCATTTTCCCCATTCTACATGGCTTCCAGGTTGCTCTCTGTCCTGGACCCTTGTCCAAAAGACATATTCTAGTTCATCCATTTCTGTGCTAATGTGTAATCCCTAAAACTGGAGGTGCTCCATTAAATAGCAGGGGCGGGGGGGGGTCTCACCAGCATGGAGTGAGGATTTTGGATTACAGATGTTTGGTGTCTTCATAAGGAAAGCCTATTAAAAAAAAAACTGACGTGAGTTCAAGACCAGCCTGGGCAACATAGCAAGACTCCATAACTACAAACATAAATAAATAAGTAAATAAATAATTAGCTGGGTGTGGTGGTGTGCACCTGTAGTCCCAGCTACTTGGGAAGGTGAGGTGGGAGGATCATTTGAGCCCAGGAGGCAGATCTTGCAGTGAGCCATGATCACCCCACTGCACTCCAGCTGAGCAACAGAGTGAGATCCCATCTGAAAAAAGAAGAAAGAAACAAAAAACTGATTTTGACCTCATCATCTGCCCATATCTCTTTGGCCATCTCTGTGCAAGACATTGATATAACTGTGCTGTGAACAATTTTAATGAACTCAAATCACAATCTCCAGAAATTAGCAGTGGTAAAATTCGGTTTAGGTAAGAACATGCCATGAGTGGGTACATTCTCAGAAGGAAGAATACCAATGTTGTAATTGTGAAGTGGAAAGAGACAGTTGTCAAAGGAAACACAGAGGTGGTCATTATTTGCTTGGTCTCCACCTCTTTCTTCTCCTCTCACTTATATTTTGTACGTTTTTGACTTCAGAGTTATCATCTACTCATGGACTGGCAAATTAACTTCTCCAGCCCAGACACATCCTCAGTGTTCCATATTTTTACATCCAACTGCCTCTAAATACTTCCTCCTAGATGTTTCAAAATATCCCAAACTGAAGCTGTGCTCTTCACAAATCCCTTTGCTAAAGCTGGTTCTCTTTCAGAGCTACCTCTATTGGTGAAGTCAACAATATCCATTCTTTTGCACAAAGCACAAACTTAGGAATCTTTTCTTTCTCCCTCAGTCTCCCATATATAATTAACCACTCACCTATTGATTGTAATTTTAAAAGTCACTTGAGTCTGTCTACTTCTCTTCTATCTCCTGCCAATACCCTAGTTTAAAATCCCATTTCTTTCATCAGAACTCTCAAGAGTATCCCAGTTGGTCTTCTCACATGCAATCTCTCCCTCACTGCAGCCAGAGGAATGTTTTCCAAATGCGCAGCTGATCACATTATCCTGCCATTGACTCTGTGTTCCTGGGTACATACTTAAAACTCTTAGTGGTATCTCCTTGTTCCTATGATAAAGATGACACCTTGGAGCTGAAAGTCAAGTCAACTCCCCATGACTAATTATGTGAACTATGAGTGCAGGAAGAGTCCTTTCTCAAAGCCAAATACAGGGCTGTTATCTGCATAAGAGGTGTGGATACTGGGTAGGTAAAGACAGCAGGTGTTCACTGAAAGTCTCTCTCTCCAAGAGAAGCAGCCTCTCAATGGAAAACCTTACAAGGAATAAACAGTTGTTCAAGGACCTATACAGGTGGGCTGAGATATTGAGTTTAGCAAGAGACTGGGAGGCCAGGTAAAGTTATAGTTATAGAAAAGCTACAACTAAGTGGAATCAGGACATGTGTACCAACTTTATTTCAGCCCCATTAAGATAACACTGGCTGGTGAGGCCAAGGCACTCAATATACACACTGCAGCTGAAGCATGTCTATTCATGGATTGGGGGAAGCTGGGGCTGACAGGAGTTTGGCATGACTTGGTCATAATGAATTTCTGTTGGTTTCTCCCTGCTCAAAAACCATCTGTGAATAATGCCTTCTAGAACTGAACTAGGGTTAGACGTGACCCTGCCCAATCTGTATTTCCTGGGATCCAGCCTTGATTGTTTGTCTTGCCTGAAATTGAGCTCATTTGTCTGTATCAGATCTCCTGGTGTTTTTCTCACCCACCTGCCCTGGATTTTTGTTCTTTCTTTCTTGAAGTTCAACTTTACCTTATAATGGATGCCTCCATTTAAGCCACTGATTGAAGTTCTGGGAGAGAAAGGAAGATTAGATGTACTTTTTTTCCTATGCATTCCATCTCCCATGTCTCTCCAGAGATATTAAACAATCAAGCCAGGTCACCCCCCTGTTTAAAAGCTTCCAGTTTTCTGCAGACTGAAGTTCAGGTGCTCAAATGTGGCATATAAAATTCTTTGTAACATAATCTGTATCTTGGAGGGTTTCTTTGCTGCAGACACAGAAACTATCTAGAACAAAAGGAAAGCCTTAAAAAGAATGCATTGGAAAGAGCTCATAGGATGTAAGGAAAAACTGAACAAAGAGGTGCTGAGAAAGAACTGGAACCAAGAACTGGACAGGAATCCAGGAAACAGGAATGAAGAAACAATGTCTTTAAGACCTGGTGACCAACATGAACCAGCTCCAAGACTTTTCCTTCAACCCCTCCATGACTTAAATTAATAAGAACCCTCCCATTGTGTGACTTTTGGTGTGGGTACCAATCAAGGTATCTCACTTCCCTTGGGTAAAAGGCAATGATCTAAGCTCAGCCTACTTGGGTAGAAAGAACAGCGCCATTCTTAAGCCCATGCATGGAGCATCCTTGCCTCATGCCATATACCTTAAGAGGTCTCCACTCTAGTCCTTCACCTGCTACGTGCCTTTCCATGAGATAAGGAGGCCACAGGCCAAGGGCACATACCTTCCAGGACCTGAACCCTCCCTCTGGACCTTCATGTTGCTTGCAGAGACTCCAGACTTCTCTGCCCAAGTTGCCTCTTTCTTGGATCTCTTCTCCTAAGGAGAGATTGTGTGCCAATGTTTAAGGAATATAGAGCCTGTGGTCCACTGATCTTCAGTGTGAGTGTTGTGTTGTACTCACACACTCGGAAAAAGCAACTCAGAGTAAGAGATAGAACTGGGAGTAGGAAGAGAAGTGGAGGGCAGACAGAGGGTTGGGATTTAAGAACCATAAGCTAGGAGCCAGCTCTTCCCATGCTGCCAATATTGGCAAATAAATCTGAGAAATAGAGGATTCTAAATCTAAACTTGACCTTCCAGGCCATTATGAACATAGGAGGAGAGTATATGTTTCACTGAGCAGTTTGTTGGATTGCTTTATAATTTTCAGGTACCTAGGTATGTGGTATATTTCCTTTCATTGGTGCCATTACCCTGGCCCCTGCAAATGTGCTAGATGGGTCTGTCAAAGGAAATTAGGGTGCCGCTACTTAAAGAAAGGGCACAAGAGTGGCCCACATGATGCTGACATGCTGTTTTCTCAGATCTGGTGAGCTGGCCCCCATGTGTTCAATTGCCCCAGTGCTTCCAGTCTTGCCTCTAGGGTCTTTTCTCAGCAGAGTAGCCAGAGGGATCTTTCAAAGCATATAACAGATCAGGCCACTTGCCGGGTCAAAAGCCTCCAATGACTCCCCCTGTCTCTCAGAAGAGTAAAAGTCCTTCGTGTATTTCCCAAAACCTTACATGATATGGATGTATCCCAGCCCCACTCACTCTATAACCCCTCTCTTGCCACTCTCCTGTGGCTTCCTCTGCTCCATCCACATGGTCCTCCTCATTGTCCCTCAGCGACGTCAAGCTCAGCCCTCTGGATCTGCCATCCCAGTGCCTGGAATGCTCTTCCCCGATTGCCCCTGTGGTGAGTTCTCAGGTCCTTCAACTCTCCACTGATGATGCCTTCTCTGACTCAACTAAAAAGGGAGAACTCTATTCCCAAGCAGCATTTTCCTTCCACCTTCCCTACATTATTGTCCCCAATAACACTTGTCATCACACGGTGCATTTACTTGTTGATTTGTATACTGCCTATCTAGACAGACTAGAATAAAATCACAAGGAAACCTGTGTCTGTTTCCCCACTATAGCCCCAGCACCTGAGCCTATAGCCCCCACACCTGTACTGCAAGCACCTAGAAGGGTCCTGAACTCAGAGTCTCAGACTAGGCATTGCCCTAATGTTGAGTAAATGAATGCCTACATGCCCACACCCCTGAGCCTCTGCTCATGGGCCCTCTCTACCTAGGATGACAGCATCGCATCCACTTCTCCAATGGTTCTATTTTTTTTTTAATTATGTATGTATGTATGTATGTATGTATGTATGTATTTATTTTTGAGATGGAGTCTGGCTCTCAAAATTGTCCAGGCTGGAGTGCAGTGGTGCGATCTCGGCTCACTGCAAGCTCCGCCTCCCGGGTTCATGCCATTCTCCTGCCTCAGCCTCCCGAGTAGCTGGGACTACAGTCATCTGCCACCACGCCCGGCTAATTCTTTGTATTTTTAGTAGAGACGGGGTTTCACTGTGTTAGCCAGGATGGTCTCGATCTCCTGACCTCGTGATCCACCCACCTCAGCCTCCCAAAGTGCTGGGATTACAGGCATGAGCCACTGCACCCAGCCTGGTTCTTCCTTCAAGGTCTAGCTCAGTGTTGCCTGATCTCGGTGACATCAGAGATAAGGCAACACTTTTTACTTTATCTCCATCTGACATCACTTTTTGTCCATCTCACCCCAGCAGAATTCTACACCTTCTTTTGGGTACTGCCATCATATTTTACATACACTTCTATAATAATGCTCACCCTATTAAATTACTGTCCTGTTTTTTCAAAAATGTATATAAGAAGTACATGAATACATTCACATTATTAAATATAGGTAAAGTGAAGATGTCTATTACACTCTAAATCTATCTTTCCTTCCCAGAAGGAATCTTGCCTGGGAATTTACATACATATATAGAAATAAAAATGTGAAGTTTTGTTTTGAGTGTGTGTATGTGTGCTTTTTTATATATACATTTTCTATTAGTATTTGCAGCTTCTCCATGAAATACTTTGGACAACTGTCCATTTTATTTTATTTTATTTTTATTTTATGTGGGTACATAGTGGGTGTATATATTTGTGGTATGCATGAGATGTTTTGAAACAGGCATGCAATGTGCAATAACCACATCAGGGAGAATGGGGTATCCTTTCCCTCAATCATTTATCCTTTGTGTTACAAACAATCCAATTACACTATTTTAATTATGAAATATACAATTAAGTTATTATTGACTAGAATCACCCTGTCATTCTATAAAATAGTAGGTCTTATTCATTCTATTTTTTTGTACTCATTAAGCATCTCCACCTCCCCCCACCCTTTCACTACCCTTCCTATCCTCTGGTAGCCATCCTTCTACTCTCTTATGTCCATGGGTTCAATTCAACTCATGGACATTTTATACCTGTATATATTCTCCATTTCGAAAAACTTCCGCATTGAATTACATAGAATTGCATGGCGATTTTGTCAGCCATTCTCCATCTTATAGATACTTAGATGGTTTTCATTATTGCAACAATGCCTCAGTGAATGTTCTTATACCAGTCTCTCAGTGCAGACATATTTCTGTAGACTAGACACCTAAATGGGAAATGGAGGATCTGAAAAGAGTACAGATTTTAATCTACCAATTTGCCCTCTAAAAAGCCTGCAGAAACAACACTTCGCATGAACGCACAATATTTCCAGTGTTTTTACTGTCTGCATATTTACTGGGATAAAATATCTCATTTAAGTTTTATTTTTTATTTCTCTGATTATTACTGAAGTTGGACATGTTTGTGTCTATTTACTGGAAATTAGATTCTCTCCCCCTTTGACTTGTCTGTCCATATTTGGAGGCTCATTTTTCTTTCCTATTGCTGTCAGTATCTTTCTTTCTTTTTTTTTTTTTTTTTGAGACGGAGTTTCACTCTTGTCTCTTGTTGCCCAGGCTGGAGCGCAGTGGCATGATCGCTTCTCACTGCAACATCTGCTTACTGTGTTCAAGGGATTCTCCTGCCTCAGCCTCCTGAGTAGCTGGGATTACAGGCGCATGCCAACACGCCCAGCTAATTTTTTGTATTTTTAGTAGAGATGGGGTTTCATCATGTTGGCCAGGGTGGTCTCCAGCTCCTGACCTCAGGTGATCCACCCGCCTCAGCCTCCCAAAGTGCAGGGATTACAGGGGTGAGCCACCGCATTCGGCCTGCTGTCAGTATGTTTCTATGTCTCTGCTTGTCTTACTTGACTGTGAACACTTGTGGGGTGTTCATCACATTAACCTCAGGTTCTCCCTTCCAGGACACACAGCTGGTGCTTAATGAATGTTTATTCAGTTGTGTTATGGAAGTCATAAGTATTACCCTTAACATAGTTGTCACTGTCATCTTCATCATCATCACTATTCATTTATACTTCCTGTATGCTAAGCACTGCCTTAAGAGGTATGCATCCATCTCCCTAATTTTCATATTACCTCACCCAACATGGTCACTATTGATATCTCTGTTTTGCAGATAAGCAGCCGAGATGGAAACTACCTAGGCTGTCCAAGTACACTGAGCACACTCAGCTCTGGGGAGGTGAGCTTATGAAGCTAGTGCTTCTCCTTCACAGCTATGGTCTTCATCCTGGCTACACGTTGGAATCACCTAAACAGGCTAGGCATGGTGATTCATGCTTATAATCCCACTATTTGGTGAGGCTGAGGTGGGAGGATCACTTGAGACCAGGAGTTTGAGACCAGTCTGGGCAACACAGTGAGACCTCGTCTCTATAAAAGCATTTTTAAAAAATCACCCAGGTGTGGTGGTGCATGCCTGTGGTCCCAGCTGCTCCGGAGGCTGAGGTGGGAGGATCGATTGAACCTAAGAGTCAAGGCTGCAGTGAGCTATGATCATGCACTGCACTCCAGCTTGGGCAACAGAGTGAGGCTATGTCTTTAAAAATAATAATAATGATAATAATAATAATAAAATTTTCAAAATAGAATTACATAAACATTATTTTAAAAGATTCCTTTGTTCCAGCCCTACTCTAGGCCAATCGATTCAGAATCTCAGGGAATGGGTCTGGAGAAGTAACATTAAAAAACGAACAAACAAAACAAAACCCTGAAATCCTGTAGGTGATTCTGATGCACTGAAATAATGGGAGCCATTGGTCTACATCAGAAGTACGGAAACTTTTTCTGTGAAAGGCCTGATAGTAAATATTTTAGATTTTGCAGGCCGTGAAGTCTCTGTGGCAACTACTCAACTTGGCTGTCGAGACATAGAAAAAAAAATGAGTGTGGTTGTGTTTCAATAAAACCTTATTCACAAAAACAAATGGCAGCCACATTGGGCCCATGGACTGCAATATTGGCCTCTGAGCCAATAGCACCCAAGAGTTTCTATCATAATACTTTAACAAGCCTGCAATTTAGGACTGTCCCAGTCAAACCATGATCTCTGATCACATTAAGCATCATGGTCATTCTCCATGGATGATGGCTTAAGAATCCTTGCCCGATCTCGGGAGAGTCTGCTTCAGTGGGTCTGGGCCTGGGAGTCTGCATTATAATGCAGGTCATTAAGATGTAGGTAGTAGACCTTATGGACCACACTGGAAGAATCACTGATCTACTGATGCATAATTGTTCCTGGCAAGCAGCAAAAGCTTGGCTGAAGAAGCAGAACTGGCTCTTATTCAAAAATCCTTTAAGATCACAGATAGGCATTCTGTGCCCCCCGCCTGCCTTATGTTCCAGCATCCTGCCTCCAGCGTTCTGAAACCTTTCACGCCCCAGCATCAAACCCTCCCAGACTGAATGTTGACAGAGAAGAAAGAAAGCTATCCCTTCTCTTTAACTCTGAAATTAGTCAAAGACCAAAGTCCTTGTCTATTTCAGAATATTGAAAAAGAAAGTGGCTGTTTAACCACCTACATAATAAAACTGATGCTGGCATTTATCTCTGTGTGTGTGTGTGTGTGTGTGTGTGTGTTTCAGCAGTTGTAAAATGGAGCGTCCATTCTCCTGTCATCAGCTTTAAAGCTATGTGGCGGTTGAATGCAATCATTTCTGTTTTCCTCTTTAACATCCATTATTTCTCTGTTGTCCACATCTAATAGTCACAATCCTTTTAGTTGTTGATGGCGTGGCGATTACCCGGGCTACCGCTTTAGGATTACATCCAAATGCATCTGAACAGTTGAATTTACTTACTGTTTTCCTCCTAAAAGCTTTTTAACATGATCCAACTGGGATGGTTGCATCAGGAGAATCATTATTTGCAGCTTTCTGTTTTGGGAGATGGAAATAAATTTCCCAAAAGATGAAAGCAAACTGTTCAGTGTAGATCTGCAGTGTGACTTTTTGTTCTCTCTCCTTTTTACATTCCATTTTCACAATTTTCCTCAGGAATGACTCTTCTCTTGGGAAAGAGGAATGTTTTAAAATGCACAATTGAGTCAAATCAATATTTAGAGTGGTTTGAACTTTCAGCCTTTTGCTGGATTTTGGCAGTATCATTTTACACTATAAATCCCTTTTCCCCGGTAACCTATAATATTAATATTAAACATTATTCACAGCTTTCTAACACCCCCCAATTTCACTCAGCTATCAGCAAAACAAATAGTACCCAAGAGTTAAAAAGTTGCTATTCTTCTTCTAAAGCACAAGCACTTTTATGTTAAAATGGTATTGCTGTGTGTTCTCAATATCTATATACCTACCTACCTGTGCGTGTAGTAGCTTTCAACATTGTAATTAGACATTGAAACTGCACAGTGCAAGCATAATGCACACACAGAGATTTGAAAAGCAGCTGTGACAAGTGCATGGTATGGTAAAGCAACTTTACAATAGCTAGGACAAATTCTACAATCTATTTATGGAGGGTTTCAAATAAAAAATTAGGTAGAAGAATCTGAACCCTTTCATGCGGGAGGATTGCATGGATGATGAAATCTCTCATACCTCTCCTCTCTGGTAGAGTTATTTGAAGATGGTGTTTAATACTGGAAGGCTAATAGCATGGGGAAGCCAATCTTCTTGGGTTGAAATCCCAGCCTAGCTGCTGTGTGATCTGGGGCAAGTTGCTTTACCTCTCTGAGGCTCAGTGACTGTTACATTATAGGAATAATAGGAAGACATTCACATCATGACGTTCTAGTGAGGATTAAGTGAGGTCCCAGATGTCGGGTATCAGACACAGCTTCCTCATGTGAGAATTGTAACCACAGTGTAATGATGAGAAGGAAAAGAGATCATTATTACCAGGGAGACTCTCTGAAACACGCGCAGCAATTACAATCTTCCCTTATGAACTGGCTTGGTTAACAGCATCCACATCCACTCCGCTATGCTAGTAAAAAATTGAGAAGCTGTACTTTAAACCCCTGCCCTTCTTGTACCCCCGCCTTCCATGATTAATTGGTCCCCAAATTGTGCCATTCGCCCTCCCAAGTAACTTTCAAATTCTGCCTCCCCCTCTTCATTCTCCCTGCCACTACCTCAGCCCAGGCCCTTACTAGCATTTATCTGGATGAATGCAAGAACCTCTTAACCAGTTTCACTGTCTTCAGCTAGGATCCTCCCTGAATCATTACTAGCCATATTTTGCAGCATAGGAAATTGAAGCACAGAGAAGTTTGACAAATAGCCACAAATCACACAGCTGGTAAGTGGTGTTGGTGGAATCCCAACCCAGGCTGTCTGGTCTCAGAATTTTCTGCTTTGTTTTGGAATACTGGGTTCACTGCGTCGTGTGGATAAAGAAACCCAGTGGTGGCTTTAAGCCTCATGTTTGTACTTCTGGTGAGTCCAATTTCTCCATTGACAAATCTTTCATCAGAGCTGTTACTTGATTCTGCAAGAGCTTCAAGGAGTAGCCAAGGGACCATTGCGCAGGAAGAGAGAGGGAGGAGGAAAAGACGGAAGCCGTGGAGTTTTCAGCCCCACACCCCCATTCTCTGGAGAGGGGAGAAGGGCTGGTAGTGGAATTAATCATTGATCTTTCCTATGTGATGGAGCCTTTACAAAAATCCCTGAACTATGAAGGTTGGCGGAGCTTCTGGGTTGGTGAACACATCTGAGTGCCAGGGTTATGCACCCCAACTCCATGGGGATGGAAGCTCCTGCACTTGGGTCTTTTCCAGACCTTGCCCCATGCATCTTTTCATCTGGCTATTCCTCCCTTTCCTTTATTGTATCTCTTGTTAATTACATGGTAAATGTAAGTTAAAAAAAAATAGGAGGGATCTAGATTAGGGATGGGCAAGCTAGGGATACATATCCATTTCAACATTCCAGGAGTCTAGTCCACTGGATGGGGCCAGGCAGGGGCATCTGCAGGTTGGGATGATGCTTGGATTCTGGTAGGAAGTAGGCTGCTTGCTCAGGCAGATGTAATGTTGCAGGACCATAGTGTCAATCATCCATGTCCCATTGAAGGATACAACCTGATGGAAGCTGGGACCGAGAGCTTTATTATGTCCTGTGGTCACCGGCACCAGAGTGGCAGGGAAGGTAAACTGAGACACTTAAGACCCTGGACAGGATTGATTGCTGACCAGTCTACAAATCTCAACGCTCTCCTGGGAGACTGACTGCCGTCTGTGCAACCATGATCCTGCAAAAGACACTGAGAGCCCATGCGGCTGTGTAATTTGTATATCAACCTGCTCTAAAGGCTGTGGGTGCAGCACTAAGAACACAACTAGAGAGCCTGACATATTACGATCCTGGCATTTGCTTGCTCAGGGTCTACCGTGGCATTTCTCAGCTGTGTCTGAGAGATGTCAGTAGCTGTTACAAGAGATGAAAAAGAAAGGCAGGGGGTAGCATCATGGTGAAAAGTATCAGAAAAAAAATGACCTCTACCCTTTCTGAATTTAAAAAGGCAGCATGATATCACTGACTTTGGAATTCATAATGCATCTTAGCATTAATGTTCTGGGGTAAAGAATTCTTCTTTAGTTTAGTTTAATATATTCTTGCCTGTACTTATTTGACCGAAGAACTGCTTTTACCCAGAAGAGCCAGAACATATTGAAAACATTATCCCTTGGGATTCGGTTTGGGAAATACTAATTTAGTTGAATGTAGCACTAGAACTCGCAGTACATAAGAAGGCAGAAAATGAGCAGGCTCACCAGTGTAGACTGTCCACACTGGTGGATTTTACCTGATTCCCAGGATTCTCCACACTAGATCTGAGCTCTGCTAATGTGGGCACCGTGTCTATCTTGTTCACTACTCACTCTTCCTAAGCCCTTGATGGCTGATTTTTTTGGTACATCCGACACCTTCTTTAGAACAACTATTGTTCACGAATTTTCCATCTCTCTTGACATTGTCATCTTCTTTACTGTTTTCCTGCACTTTTATAACATCCCAAGTTCTCTCTCACATGGATTATATTTTTATGGTTTGAAGCTGACCTTTTCCTTGACCACATTTAATGCATATTTTAACTCTCTTTATTTTATTTTGTTCTCTACACAATCTAGCTTACCACAACCAACCATTTATTCATTTCAGTTCATTTTTTATCATTTCAGCTTTATTTTACATTACATCGAAATTACATTTTTGAAACTTTATGGAGACCATAAAACATTTGCTTTCAAAAAATTACTCTTGTTGCCTATAGTATCTTCTCCATAGGCATATTCTACCTGTGTTTTATGATTTCTATAGCCTTCTTTCTTGCTGCACAAGTTTTGGCTGTGCTTATATTTCCTCATGTAAGGACAGGAAATTTTTTTTTTTTTTTTTTTTTTTGAGACAGAGTATCGCTCTATCGCCCAGGCTGGAGTGCAATGGCGTGATCTCGGCTCACTGCAACCTCTGCCTCCCAGGTTCAAGCGATTCTCCTGTCTCAGCCTCCTGAGTAGCTGGGATGACAGGCACTTGCCACCACGCCCAGCTAATTTTTGTGTTTTTAGTAGAGACAGGTTTTTACCATGTTGGCCAGGCTGGTCCCGAACTCTTGACTTCAGGCCATCCACCTGTCTCGGCTTCCCAAAGTGCTGGGATTACAGGCATGAGCCACGGTACCCGGCCCAGGAAAAAGTTTTATTCAGTCCTGCTGTTTGTCCATGTTAGTGTCTGTAGATCCATCTTTATTTCCCTTCTTTATTTACCTGTGGACCCTTCACTTCACTTCTGATTGCTGTTAGAACCTGTTTCTTATGTCAGTGATATTCACCACCCTGAATCAGATTTTTGGCATCTTGGAAGATGTTTAGCCAGTGTGGCTCTTTAAGACTCAGGAGGATTTTCCTATCTCAGCTTCATGTAGAGAAATTTATATATGTATATATGTGTATATATATATATATGTGTGTGTGTGTATGTGTGTAAACATTACACAATACTTACTGGGGTGCTAGGCACTGTTCCAAAGCCTTTTACATTCATTTAATCTGCACAGTAACCCTCTGAGATTGGTACTGTTAGTATTCCCATTTGACAGATGCAGAAATGAGTCACTTTAATTCATCCAACATCGCACAACTAGTAAGTGTCTAAGTCAAAATTCAAATGTAAGCAAACTGGTGCTGAAGTCTGTGCTGTTAACTAGTACAATATGTTTCCTCTTCATTCCTTTCTTGCAAAATAAAAAAAAAGAGTAAAAAGCTATAGCTGCCTTGATTTACCTGTTTCTGTGCTTTCCTGCTTAAAATAATACATGATTGCTGTGTTCCACAACTGGGCATCATAGTCCTGCATAAGTGTAGGAAGTACTCATTGGCTAATTAGAGGAATGGAGGGCTAAGTTGCCATGAGCACCTCCTAACAGAGTTCTTGCATGATGGGGAAGGCTTCCTGCCTCTGGCTGGCACAGGGTACTCATCTCTAAGCCCCTGTAGGTCAGAAGTTGTAGCAGAAGTGCCTGGCTTTATTTTTCTGCATCAAGGACTCTTCCCTTCTTTGGTTAGTGAAAATTCCTTGAGGGCCCAGAAGATTTCGATCAATATTTTTTTGTTCCCAAGACTGTAGCAACCTTTCATTTATTGGTGTGTGTATATGTTCATGAATATTCCAGTGGGAAGTTGGTGGAAAGGGAAGCTAGTCATTTGTCAGTTGGTGTCTTGCCCAGGAAGTCTCCCTTATCTAGTTTAATCCTTAAAACAACCTTGAAGGATGCTGTTATCAACCCTGCTTTCCAGGTGAGAAGATGAGAGCTCAGAGTGCTTAAGAAGTCATCCAGGTCACACAGCTAGTAAATGAAAAAGGCAGAATGCAAGCCGTGATCTCGTCTCCAAAGCCCTGTTTTCTCAGCTATTACTCACTTCCTTCAGTTTCCAGTCAGTTCATTTTAATTCCTTGTACTTAATTCAATCTTAACGAAGATGCATTTGCTGAACTCCTTTTATATGAGTAAGAACTGGACCTTGGACTCAAGAAGTTCATGATGAGAAGCCAAAGGTAGAAGGTGGTGATGATGGACCATGAGCGGTGTAACAGAGACTGCAGGATTTGGGCAAAAGTGGAATTTCTACTTTTGTGCCTGGTTTGAAAATGTCTGATGATGAGGGCACTCAGAGCAATGCTTGAGGAGAGGCATGACTCCTGCTCCAACCAGATGTGAGGCAATCACCTGAGCAGTGGCAGCACTGCAGAGCCTGGAAGTCCAAGATCAAGGTGTCGGCAGGGCTGGTATCTCCTGAGACCTTTCTCCAGGCTGTTAGATGGCTGCTTTATCCTTGTGTCTTTCCATCCTCTTCCCTTTGGGTGTCTGTGTCTTCATCTCCTCTTCTGTAAGGACACTGTTCAGATTGAATTAGGGCATAGCCTAATGACCTCATTTGAACTTAATTACCACTTTAAAGGCCCTATCTCCAAATACAATCATAACAAATGAACGTAGGAACAAACTTCAACAAATGAATGTTAGGGAGGAAGCAATTCAGTCTATAATAGTCTAGAGCCAATGGCAGGTCCAAGTGGCAACATGAGAAAGGATAGATTGTCGACCATATAGCACAACTCTTGGAATGTTACTTAAAGGAATTGGGACATAATTCTTCCTCTAGGCCACCATTTCCGTGCATGGAACATGCGTCACTGAATATGTGTGTGGTTGTATGTGTGACACAGTTTTAAGTGGTACTAGGACACAGCATTCAACAACATTGAATCCTGGCTTGGTGCAGTGGCTCATGCCTAGAATCCCAGCACTTTGGGAGGCCCAGGTGAGAGGATCCTGGGCCTTGAGAGGATCCCGAGAGTTTGAGACCAGCCTGGGCAACATAGTGAGACCCCCATCTCTATTAAAAATAATAATAAAAAAATAGCCAGGTGTGGTGGTGCATAACTATAATTTCAGCTACTTGGGAAGCTGAGGTGGGAGGATCACTTGAGCCCAAGAGTTCAAGGCTGTAGTGAGCTATGTTCACACCACTACACTCTAGCCTGGGTGACAGAGCGAGACCCTGTCTAAAAAGTAAAAAAATAACATTGAATCTCGCAGCAAGAAAGTCATTCTCTTTCCATTTTTCTTGCAGTTCTTTAAGGAGAATGTGTTAGTTGATCATACTATGTCTGTCATACCTCTCTGCCCTTTGTTAATGTCCCTTATTGAGAAAAAACGGAGATAAGAAGCCTTGAGAAATAATGATATCTAGCTAAAATCGGAGACTACTCTTTTGTTTTCACCTTATTTAATTTTTATGATTGCCTTTTATTTGTGGCAAATGATTCTGGGCTTCTGCTTGTGATATTGACATAATAATTATTATCTTATTATTTCCTTATTTTCTAAAGGTAGTCATGTGTTTAAAAAGTGAGTTAAAGAAAATATTGAACAAAGCACAATAAGTCCTGTAAGTAATGACACATATTAGGAAGGCGGAATGAAAAGCTAGAAGGCTGGGAAGTGCTGCCGTGGGTGAAGGCAAGGTGAGGGGGGAGGAAAAAGGTGGACCTGCTGGGAAGTCCGGAGGTCTACATCCGGAGGTCTACATCCGGAGGTCTACATCCGGAGGTCTACATCCGGAGGTCTACATCCGGAGAATGATGTGGCTGTGAGTAGATGTGCCCGTGCATTTGTACTAGTTGCAGTGGGGAATGCGTGCCTCTGTGTGTGTGTGTGTGTGTGTGTGTATGTGTGTGTCCTTGAGCGGAAAAACACAGTTTTTCCTCTGCTTTTACCTCACAACAGTCAACCCAGAAGAGGTCTGTGACCCCACGTGTGGATTTTCCCCCACACACCAAGCAAGCAAGCAAGCAAGCAATTCTGCAGTGGACACCAACTGCACGACCACCAATTCCATTCTGACACCATCTACCTGGAGATAGCGTCAGATTCCACAGCTTGAGGCTGGGCTCAAGCCCCAGGGCATTTTACCTGTGCCTCTAACCGGTTGGCTACAAATCGGGCTTCTCACAACCCCCTCCTTTAAGTTTGATTAATTTGCAGAAGCAGCTCATAGAGCTCAGGAGAATACTTAGGTTTACTGGTTTATTATAAAGGATGTTACAAAGGATACAGATGAAGAGGCGCACAGGACAAAGCATGTGGGAAGGAGTGAGGAGCTTCCGTGCCCTCCCTGGGTGCACCGTCCTCCAGGAGCCTCCCCCTGTCCAGCTGTCCATGAGCCCCCTGAACCCTGCCCTTTGGGTTTTAAAAGAGGCTGTATTATGTAGGCATAATTGATTAAACCATTGTCCATTGGTGATCAACTTAATCTTCTGCCCTCTCCCCCCTGGAGACTGGGAAGCGGGGCTGAAAGTTCAACCCTCTAATCTGCTTTGGTCTTTCCAGTAACCAGCCCCATCCTGAAGCTACCTAGGGGCTGCCAGCCACCAGTCCTCTCATTAATATACAAAAAGACATCACTTTGGAGATCCTAAGAATTTTAGGAGTCATATGCCAGGGAAGAGGTAGAAGACTCTCTCTCTCTGTCTCTCTCTCTCTCTTTCTATATATATATGTATGTATTTTTTTACAATGTCACAGTCCTCATACCCTGAAATCATCCCATAAGCTGAGATGAATTAGTAGGATTGGATATGCCTTGGTTTTCACTCTATAAACAGGATTGAACATGTCCACACACTCTTAGGTATGAATTACATAATGGCATGAATTCATGTTTCTCCAGAAGCAAATAGCGAATGATAAATAGTCATTGAGCACATTTCACATGCCAGGCACTGTGGAAAGTACTGCAGCTACCACATGGATTAAGACAGACAGGGTCCCAGCTAAGGGGTCAAAGACTCGCATGTGATTCCTTCCGCACCACTCACTAACCAGGCACCCTCCGCCGAGCAATTTGAGCTCCTTGAGCCTCAGCATTCTTGTGCGTCCAGCGGACAGAGGCATACCCCATGCATATTGCTCTGGTGATAAATGAGCGGAGGTGTATGAAGGCACTGCCAGTTGTGTGAAGGCATGCATCCAGTGTTATTACCGTGAGCCTTACATTCTGAGTTTCAAAAGTGCCATTCAGAGAATCCTTGCCTTTATGGCCCCCAGAAGCATATGAAAGATAGAGCTTCTACTCAGAAGGCCTAATTGCATAACTTGAGCAATTTAGCTGGAAATGTTAAACACTGTCTGCATCCTGGAGCTGGAATGGAGGGAACCACGTGGATAGGAGGTCGGGGATCTCCTTTAGGGAGCATTGAGTTTAAGGAGACTGGCACCCTCTGTGTTCATCCAGAGAGGTGTGGTGGATTAATACAGTGCAGACCCTGAGTTTTAATAATGAGCCCAACAAGCGTGCAAGGCTCCAGGGAAAATAATTGAAAGGAAACTCTCTAAGTCAGACTTGGTTCCTCCAAACCCATTTGCAATCTCCCTTCCTGTGGGGGTGGGGAGTGGGGAGAAAACTTTAGGTTAACAAGTTAATGACACCTGCCTACTGTGCCTTTAATTACCCTGCAAACCTCAAGCAGAGACTGACAACTGCAAGAGCCATATGCAGATTTCAGGGCTGTCTACACACAGATAACACAGCCTCCTCCCACAAGCTTTCCTGACAAAGACGAGCATGATTCCAGGAAGCCCACCTTCACAGGGCAAGTGAAACTAATAATTTTTTTTTTTCACAAATTGTCTCTTTTAATCTTCAGAACAGACCCTGAGTGGTCAATATTATTGTGTTTATTTACCCAGGGGGAAACTGAGGCTTAGAGATATTAAATATGTCAAAGATCACACAGACCAGAAGTAAGACAGTTGGGACGAGAGCTCTGGTCTCTCTGGCCAAGAACCTGTGTTCACGCAAGGATTTCATGCAGCTGCGGAGGGCCCCACCACTCTCCCTCTCCCTCCCTCCTCTCATCTTCCCTCCCTCTCTTTTGGTCTTTCTCTAATCTCTTTTATTGCCTCCCTCTCTGTTTTCTGTTTTCCCTCCTTCCTCCCCACCCCACACACTTTCTTTCTTTCTCTCTTTCTTTTTCCTCTCTCCCTTTCTTTCCATTCTCACTCCCTCCCGTCTCTTTCTCTCTTTCTTTTCTCCTTCCCTGCCTCCCTCCCTGCCTCCCTCCCTCCCTCCCTCCCTCCCTCCCTCCCTTCCTTCCTTCCTTCCTTCCTTCCGTCCTTCCTTCCTTCCTTCCTTCCTCTTCCCCAAGACAGGTCATAGAAACCAGAACTCCTCTTTCCTAAAGCCAGCCATGAAATCTAAAAATATTATTTTGACCTGCTGGGTAAACTAATGGCCATAAAGAAATGATCTGACCTACATTGACTATAGATCATAAGATCCCCATTCCAGAGAGGGTTGTGTCCCACACCCAGAAGGAAGGAACACTGCTCAGAGAGGCCAAGAAAAATCTAGACAGAGAGGCCTTGCTGCATGTCCCCACTCAGTCTATTGGCATTCCATCGGACCCTTTTTGTCCAATCCTATTTCTACTCGGCTGTCTACCCTTTGTTGAATCTAGCATGAAAATGGACAACTTCTTCTGTATCTTTGAGTCTTCATTCTGAATACTCCAATGTAAAAAAGTTATTCTTATTACTTCTTAATTATTATTATTTTCTTTTGCAACAGAGTCTCATTCTGTCACCCAGGCTGGAGTGCAGTGCCACAATTTCGGCTCAATGCAACCTCTGCCTCCTGGGTTCAAGTGATTCTCCTGCCTCAGCCTCCTGAGTAGCTGGGATTACAAGTGCCCACCACCACGCCTGGCTAATTTTTGTGTTTTTAGTAAAGATGAGGTTTCACCATGTTGGCCAGGCTGGTCTTGAACTCTTGACCTCTAGTGATCCGCCTGCCTCAGCCTCCCAAAGTGCTGGGATTACAGGCGTGAGCTACCACACCTGATTCCCATGTATACATGTTAAATGAAGATGTTGCCTTTTCTCCTAGGAATCTGCCTCATATCAGAGAACCTTTAGGGAGCCAAGGGCTTTGCCCTCAACAGTCCTCACCAACTCTCATGCTTCTTGGACTCTGAACTGGGATATATTTCTGTGCTCTTTTTTGCTCTCTGTGCTGCTTTGCTCTCATGTGGGGACCTTTATCTCTGGAGATCATTCCCGGTTTAAGGTGGGGATTTCCAATTTACTAAATGTCTGCTTTGTCTAGTGTCTTTAACACTGTTCATCTTGCATAACATATGTTGCTAGCTGTCTTCAGACAATTCCATGAAGTTTATTGGAAAAAGTGAAGTAAACCACAGGACAGGGCACCTAGCGTAAGTCCTGGGTCTCTAGTTTGCTGTGTTACCTTGGGCAAGCCCTTTCCTCTCTCTAAACTTCAGAGTTCCCAGCTGTAAAAGATATTCTCCCGAGATGCTTTCAGCTCTTCCATCTGCATGTAAATCCTGATACATAAGACGCTCCCCTCAACAATCAATGATGACCATGTGGTCTTTCTATAATGATCTGTGAGAGCAGGTGGAAGTCTAGGGTCTCCAAATTTACAAGAATTAAGTGAGATAAGTCATTCTGAATGCTTATCACAGCACTTGGAAAAGCTAATTAATGTTAATACTTGCTGCAATTATTATTTAGCATGCACCTCCAATGTCCTAAAAACATCACACAGAGAAAAATATACAGCAACTTCCAGAAGATTTAAGCAATAAGATCTGAGGAAAAAAGCAGTTCCTATGATGATGTGTATAACATCCTGATGGAGAATTTCAGAATTAAGTTCAGAATGAAGGGGACTGTTCTTTCTCAGGAAGACCAAATTTAAGACTTCAGGAAGTGTGGTTCTGATCATCTGGGGACAAGGAGATCTTGATTTTTGGTTTGGGACTTTCATGTATGTTCCTGTGCATGACACTGGTCAAATATTCACCACTCTGGACCCAATTAACTTGCCTGGAAACCTCAAAACAGACTCTAACATGTATATGCGATTTACCAATATATATATAAAAAATACAACAGAGTCTAGTATTTATTTTCTTATTCGTTACTTGTATTACCATTTACTGTGGATATTTTATGCAAGTGTAACAATACCACCATTTTGTGGTGGTTGCGGTAACATCCACCACAAAATCTCCATAATTTTAAATAATTTCTCACTCATAAAACATGCCTATCATGTGACGGCAGAAGTGCACTGCTCCACAGAGGCATTCAGGGATCTACACCAGGGGAGGCTCCCTTGTGACACAGATTTCTACCACCACAAAGACAAGGAAAAGGAAAGCTTAGCAGAAAATGCACCTGCTCTTAGAGTGATACACGTCACTTCCTCCTACATGTCATTGGTCAAAGCAGGTCATATGGCCGTGCCTGAGATTTAGCAGGTGGAGACAATCCTACCAGGTGCCCTGGGCAAGAGGAACAAATATTTGTGAAGGGTATCTCCTCAGGGTATAAACACAACACCATACCTGACTGGTTGGATTTACATCATAATGTATCCTCACTTCCATGAGAAGGAGAGAGAGAGACAGAGAGAGGGAGAGAGAGAGAGAGAGAGAGAGAGAGAGAAGGAGGAGGAGGAAGAAGAAGAAGAAGAAGAGAAGAAGAAGAAGAATGCATTAAGATTCCTTGTTTTTCACAAGAAAGCCAACTCTCCTCCATTCGAATTAACTTCCCCTCCCAATTGACTCAGTTTACCTAACAAGGCAAGAGCTAAACATCTGTTTCCCATGAATCCTTGTCAATTTCCATCAAGGGGCCAGGGAAGTAGGTGGTTCAGTGTCAGAACCAGTGGCCAGCAGACCAAGTTGGAAGTTTTTGAGAACAATTGGTCCGAAAACCATTGGTGCAAGAGGAATGGCTATCTTCAGCAAAATGAAATGGAAAGATAAGAACTGGGTACTGGAGTGGGACAGCACCAGGTCATTATTTTGGTGGTAATTACCCCCATCAGGGTCCAGAGTTTCAAGAGAGTCTCTGAGCTGAGGACTGGGATTGTGGCTATGGGTTCCACCAACTCATAGTCAGGAGCAGGGGGCACAGAGGTGCTCTGGGAGCCATCGCAAGGTAACAAAGCTGTGTGTTTAGACAGTGCTCTTTTATCTAGTGTGAGATGGATGTTTCTGACTGCTCTTTACCTACCTTTGACCACAGAAAGGTGTTTTCGCTTCTCTTCAGCAGAGAATCTTGACTCCTTGCTACCTCTTTACTGGCCTCTGAAGTCATGGGCATTTCCAAGTGCTGGACTAGATGTTCTATGGGGAACTGACAAAAATTATATCTGATTGTTCTGTGTTGTTCCTATGACATTAAATTCAGAGCTACCCAGCACCGCCAGATCACCATTATCTTTTCTTAAATTTGATGAGTTGTTTTTTTTTTTCTATCCTCCAAGATTGCTCTTTAATGTGAATCATTCATGAGAGAGGGTCAGGGCCCTCAGCAGGGAGGCAGCCTGCTGAGGTCAGAGAGGAAGGCACAGGATTTGAAGTTAGACTGGCTCAGCCCCAAACCTCAGCTCTGGCATTGAGAAGATGTGTGGCTGTGGCTAAGTGATTTAGCCTTTGTGAGGTTCAGTTTTCAGCTAGGAGGATAAAGGAGATGATATTTGTAAAGTACTTTACTTTGCCTAGCTCACAGCAGGAACTCAAGCAATGATGATAATTAGGAAGATCTGGGCACTAGTAGGGGAAACTCTGACACTCTTTTTGGGTCATGGTGGCTGGGAACTGAGGGGCACAATGACTTGGTGGGCACAGAGGCTATCAGGGAAGATGTCACATGCACCTGCTGCTGGAATTATGGTGGTAGCCTAGTTCTGGGTGTTACTCACTAATCTAGCTAAGGCTAGCAATACCCACCAATGCTTAGTTTTGAAAAGTTTCCCGCATAATAATCCTCAGACTTCTTATTTTAAAATCTTCAAATCCTGTAAACCTAGTCACTATCCCCTGGCTAAATGTCTTCCACTCTGTAGAACCATTGCATGTGGGTGCATATGGAAGCTCTATTTTCTTTCCTCTCCTCTTAAGTGTTTTTGGGATGAATAATATGCTGATATATTGTAGCTCACCTTGGCTGAATATACAGAAAGAAGTGGCATGCTAACCGTCTGATGGATTTGATTCATTTGGGCAGTGAAGCTTTGCAGTTTGGGCCAAGGGTTCTCAATGACCTGCTTGTCTGTTTACAGGGTTCGGGCTCACTGGACATTTGATAACAATCTCCTCAGGGTATAAACACAACACCATACCTGACCGGCTGGATTTACATCATAATGTATCCTAATTTGCATGAGAAAGAGAGAGACAGAGAGAGAGAGAGAGAGAGAGAGAGAGAGAGAGAGAGAAGAATGCATTAAGATTCATTGTTTTTCACAAGGAAGCAAACTCTCCTCCATTTGAATTAACTTCCCCTCCCAATTGACTCAGTTTACCTAACAAGGCAAGGGCTAAACATCTGTTTCTCACGAATCCTTGTCAATTTCTATCAAGGGGCCAGGGAAGTAGGTGGTTCAGTGTCAGACCCAGTGGCCAGCAGACCAGGTTGGAAGTTTTTGAGAACTATTGGTCAAAAAACCATTGGTGCAAGAATGGCTGTCTTAAGCAGAATGAAATGGGAAGATAAGAACTGGATGCTGGAGTGGGTCAGCACCAGGCCATTATTTTGGTGGTAATTACCCCATCAGAGTCCAAAGCTTCAAGACAGTCTCTGAGCTGAGGACTGGGATTGTGGCTGTGTGCTCCACCAACCCACAGTCAGGAGCAGGGGGCACAGAAGTGCTCTGAGAGCCATTGCAAGGCAGCAAAGCTGTGTGTTTAGACAGTGCTCTTCCCTCTAGTGTGAGGTGGATGTTTCTGACTGACCTTTACCTAATGTGTGCACACTGGTGGGTGCTATTAGCAGCCTCTTATTCAGTAGACAGAGCTTCTCCCTGCCACTGCCCTGCTCCCAACCTCCTAAAAAATCACAAAGGACATCATTGTGTTTCCCACAGTAATGAACCATGACACATAGACATTTATTTGTCTGTTGCTTCTTAAAAATTTTTCATGATAATGCAGATCAGCATACACTCAGCTCAGCATTCTCTGTTATGTAAATATCCTAGCAATGACAAGTTCAACATCTGTATCAATATTAGTATTATAAAATGTATACCTATTTATAATTGTACAGGTATACTTTGTGGAGTAGTTCACATTATATTGTCATATTTAATCTTCACTGTGACCTTGTAGAATTGGTCCAGGTTGAGCATTCCAAATCCCCAAATTCAAAATCCCAAATGCCCCCAGATCTGAAACTCTGAGTGTCAACATGATGCTCAAAGGAAGTGCTCATTAGAGCACTTTTGGATTTTGGATTTTCAGATTTCAGATGCTCAGCCAGTAAGTACATGATGGAAATATTCCAAAATTTGAAAATATCCAAAATCAGAAACACCTCTGGTCACAAGCATTTTGGATAAGGGGTACTCAACCTGCCCTTGATAGGTGGGAAAACTAAGGCTCAGGGAGGTTGGGTAACTTATCCAAGCTTATCCAAGATTCTCTGCTAAAGAGGAGAGCAAACACCTTTCTGTGGCCAAAGGTAGGGCCTTTCACAGGTACTTGCTTCTCTTGCCCAGGGTACATGGTAGGATCATCCCCACCTACTGAAACTCAGGTGTGGCCATATGACCTGTTTTGACCAAAGGCATGTAGGAAGAAGTGATGTGTATCACTCTAAAAGCTGGTGCAGGCTGGGCGCGGTGGCTCACGCCTGTAATCTCAGCGCTGTGGGAGGCTGAGGTGGGCAGATCATGAGGTCAAGAGATCAAGACCATCCTGGCCAACATGGTGAAACTCCGTCTCTACTAAAAATACAAAAATTAGCTGAGTGTGGTGGTGCACACCTATAGTCCCAGCTACTCAGGCAGGAGAATTGCTTGAACCTGGGAGGCGGAGGTTGCAGTGAGCCAAGATCGCTCCACTGCACTCTAGCCTGGTGACAGAATGAGGCTCTGTCTCTAAAGATAAAGAAAGAAAGAAATAAGCTAGTGCATTTCTTGCCAAGCATTCCTTTTCGTTGCCTTTGTGGGGGTCGTGCAGGTAGAGCTGAGCCTTCATCTGTCTGTGTGAAGAAGAGAGATGCAGGTCTGGGCCAGGTAAAGCCTCCCTCTTACTGTGGAGTGTATTACGGGAGTTTCAGGAAACATCTCACTGGGGCCAGGGTTGAAGGCCACAGTCCTACTCAGAAAATGTGAGAGAGAATTAAAATCGAGTTTGATGGCAATCTGAGAAGTCCTCTCTGAGATTTAATCAGGTCCTGATGGAGGAGTCAGATTGAATGGTGCCAATTGGGAGGCAACACAAGTTGTTGCAAGGAAAACAGCCCCATTAAAGCTTTGCATTATACATGTTCTCCAAGCTATGTAACTGTGGCTGTGTGATTCCTAGCAAGTGACCAAACCTTTCTGAAATTTAATTTCCTCATCTGTTGGAGAAAGGGGCTGAGCCAGGGGCTGCACCACTGCCTGTTATTTGTGCAGTATCTGGGCATCAGCTCAGAACAACCCCTGGGGATTTTCCATTTGTCAAAAGAAGAAAAAGAAATCAGGTCCCAAAGTGATGGTAATATTTTTAGATTGCATTTCTTCCTGCAGGCTTTTTGGTTGACTTAAATGTGGGCTTTGGGGCAGGGCAGCAACACGAGTGAGCTAAAGAGGCCAGCAGGAGAGAGCTCCTTGGCTGAGAACACTGGGGGTGACATGGCTCACAGGCACAGCAGGAGGTGAACGGCTCTGTGGAGCCTGTGGCTAAAAGGTCTTAATGGATTGTGCTCTCTCCTGCCTCATGATTACAGGATTCTTTCCTGTCCATCATGTCTTGGCCAGTGCTAAAGAATTACTGAATTTCCGCTGCACCCTCTCACTCTCCAGGGCAGAGGCAAATCTACTTGGCTAGAAATTGGTTCTGTTGTATCCTTTGCCTCTACTTTGTTCCACAGGGAAGCAGATACTCTGGAATCTTGGCTTTGGAAGCGTCGTCAGAACACCTGACTCAGTCCCTTTCTGGTGCAGATGCGGAAACAGGCCCAGAGAGGGAAAGGGAATAGGTGAGGTCCTAGAAGTAGAACTGCTGAATTGGCTCCTGGTGTCCTGACGATCAGTTCAAATAAGTGAATGTCAAGGAAGGATGATTTTTCTGGCCCCATTCATTGTCCCAGTTCCAACCTGGGGGCTGGGAGGAAGGTGGGTTCTGGCTTTGAAGCCTTGGACTGAGGTGGGAGGCCTGAGGGTCACACCTTGCCAAGGGAAGTGGAAAGAATGTGATTCAAAAGATGAGTTCAAGTTGTGATCAAGCAGAGAAACCCAAAGAAGCGATCCTAAGCCTCAGGTTCAAAGAATGAGACAGAGACAGAACCTGGGACCTAGAAAAAGGCGATGGCAGAGTGGAGGCGAGGGAGAGGTCTTGTCAGAGTGGCAGGTTCAAGGGTTCAGGGTGGCAAATGAGGTGGGGCTGTATTTGGGCTGTTTTTTCCCTTCCTCCTTCCTTTCCCTCCACTTGTCCCCCTCTCTCTCTTCTTCCCTCCCCTCCTCTCTCCTTGCCTCTCTCTCTTTTTTTTGAATATTGATCACAGAGTGTGATATGTGATTTGCTTACAGAAATTCACCAAGCCAGAAAAGGCAAAACCATTTCCACAAAACATTATCTTTTATGCCTAAGAATGAAATAAAGTAGGGCGGAGAGGGTCCTTTAGCTACTTATACTGGAAAAATAGGCATCGTACAAAAACTTGGGTGAGAAAACCCAAATTAATTAACGAAGTCATTCATTAATGCATTGATTGAACGGCATGACTAATAGTTGCCAGGTTTCCATCTCCATCCTCCTCTGACCGTGTGAAGCAGGCAGAACACATAAACCCTCTTAGCCTGATCTGTGAAGATCATGATAACACCTCACTGGGATTTGATAGGATTAAATTGGTTACTCCAGGAAGGTGAACACATTTTAATATCTTTCAAACGCGCTAGTATTATTATTACTATTATTATTTTATTTTATTTTTATTTTTTTTGAGATGGAGTCTTGCTCCGTCGCCCAGGCTGGCATGCAGTGGCACAATCTTGGCTCGCTGCAACCTCCGCCTCCCTGGTTCAAGCAATTCTCTTGCCTCACCCTCCTGAGTAGCTGGGATTACAGGTGCCTGCCACCACGCCCAGCTAATTTTTTTGTATATTTAGTAGAGATGGGGTTTCACTGTGTTGGCCAGGCTGGTCTCAAACTCCTGACCTTGTGATCTGCCCGCCCCGGCCTCTCAACATGCTGGGATTACAGGCGTGAGCCACTGCGCCCAGCCTATTACTATTATTTTTACTTGTGATTGTTTTGATTGTTGTCAGAACCCTGAGTCCGTGCATTAGAGGTTTCCTTATGGCCAAATCAGAGAAACCCAGCCCTGCCCCGAAGAAAGACTGGATGACTGCTCAAGCTTCCTAAGACATGAGAGGACTCAGGAGACCCATGAAGCAGGTGCAGTCATTTGAGCTTGACCTATGTTGTCCTTTTATTGGAGTCTTTGGGGTGTCCACGGCTGGTAAGGTGGGAAGAACAGTAAGGATACATTAATTGAAAGCTTTCCCACCAGATTAACTTCAATTCTACACCAGCTCGTCTTACTCCCTTGCTCCAGGGACTTCCTGGTGGCCATTGAGTTGCTGAAGTACACTGCTGTCTGACTTCCTGCTTCCTGCTCTCCAACAGCTCAACATTTTACAGTCTTCAGATACTCGTCATCTTTTCACTGCCCTCTACTTGGTTTTCCATAGCAGACATTGGTCATCAATCTTTGCACTGACACTTAGCTGTGACAGGGACTGGGACTGTTTCTCAGCATAGTTCTGCAATCTCTCATTCAGGTGGGAGATAGCCAAGGTCATCTGAAATCTGGTATAAAAACTTTTATAATGATTGAGCACCTCATATGTGTTTGGTGTTCTCCCAGACACCATACTGAGGCATAAAGCAGCAGTTTCTATTTCTCTTTGGTCTAGAAATGCCCACAACAGCAGGAGAATTTCAAGTACCACCCTGCGATCGGTTGGCTGGGATTTTGTAATTAACTCATCAGTCATTAATTACTGATTGGCTGGGTATTCCAGTTCCTCTGGCTTCTCACTAACCAGAAGAATTCACTGTTATCCACATACTGAGGTTTTTCACTCTGCAGTGAGTCCTCAGTATTTTATAAAGATGTTTAGTAAGACAAATGCTGTCTTGATCTTTGAAGAATCTCACTTATTACATGTTCCCATCTTCTAAAGGGCTTGTTTATTTCTTCTCTATTACTGCTTTCTGAGCAAATTCATGGCAAAACGCACACACATCCCAACCCCATGGTGATGCAGTGTTTTGAACAGCATTTGATGTAGAAACTTGTCAAAGTTCTTCTTATCTTTCTTCTTATTTTTTTCTCAGTCTAATTAAATCATTTCCACAGACTAGTTTAGCCAGATGCCTCTTTGCCATCTCAAAAAGCACTAATAAATTAGTTGAGCATGACTGTGGAAAACACGTTGTCTTCCTTTAACAGGAGATTGCTCATTATACAGCATGTACTTGTTGCTGAACGGCGTGGTCCTGGCTTACAATGCAGTGTTAGTCATGGCAGAGAATAGCCAGGATTACCAACTTCCAAGTCTCCACATCTCTTCTTTCTTCAAACTCTCTTTGACCTCCACCACCATCTTGGCTACACATGAGCACCAGGAACAATTATGATCAGGAGGTGGGTAGATTTAAGAATCCTGGCCAGAAGCTGTGGAACTTGGCCTACTTTTGACTTTACTGTTTGTCCAGAATTAATGTAGGACTTTTGTTGGAAGTGACGCAAAATCTGACCAAACTAGTCTAAGTGGCTGGGAGTTTCTTAGCTCAGGAATAGGAAAAGGATAAGTTATTCTATCTCTAAGTGTAGCTTGACTTAGGGGCCCAAATAATGTCATCAGGCTTTGTTTCTCAGTTTCTCTTTCTTTATTCATCTCAGGGCTCAGATATCTGTGTCAACTTCATTCTCCAACCAAATATAATCTCGTGGTGGCAAGATGGAACCAGCAACTTTATCTTCAAATTCTCCCATTCAAGTTCCATAGGGAAAAGGGAAAAGAAGCTTGCTTTTTTCATTTTTGTTTTTATTTTCTCCTTCTGGCTCCTATAAAGGTCAAAATTCACCCTAGTTGGACTGATTTAGGTCACATGCTCATCCTGAAATGAATCATTCTGTGGCCAGGGTGATGAATATTCTGGATAGGCTACATCATGTGTTCTACCATCTGGAGTTGCTGATGGAGTTCTACCTGAAGTATGTGGGCTAAAAATGGACAAAAAGATTAATGAGCTTTGAGTGGGTAAAACAGCACATGCCCATTATTCAGCCATTAAATTTCTATCTCAGGGCTGCATTCCCCAAGTCCAAATTCAACCCAACTTCTTCCAACTCAGAGCATTTAGAGAAAGACACACTGGA